>NC_000014.9:105368716-105671717 GCF_000001405.40 Homo sapiens
TGCCTCGCCACATCTCCTGGCTTTAGCCTTGTGTGGCCGCTAGGCTCAGTGGGCCCTGAGCAAGGCTGGGAGGCTGCCTCGCTGCCAGGCTCACTCCATGTGCAGAAACTCCGGGAGGCCATCCTCCCTTTTGTCCCGTCAGGTGCCCACATACACCTGAGTGGGCTGGTTCCCCCATTTTTGTTTGGGATCTGGCCTACCTACCTCCACGGTCCCCAGGAGCTTGGCAGGGCTGTTCAGCATTTTTTCCCTGAGGAAAGCTCAGGCAGCTCTTTCCTCAGAGGCCGTGTCCGGCACTGGCACAGAGGGTCCACCGCCTGGCGCCTGGACACCCCAAGGACAGGCACGGTTCCAGGGAGGCCAGCGCAGGTGGGCGGGGAGCTCTGTGCCTGGTGCTGACAAGGGACATGGGCACAGCCCAGCCCGGACACCGCCGCCTCCTCTGGCAGCATTCAAGGGGGCGCTGTGGGCAGACGGTGCCAGGGACGGGCAAGCTGCTCCCAAAGTGGTGAAGCTGTGTCTTGCTGGCCTGGAGAGCAGCCCCCGCTGTGCAGAACACCAGCTTGAGCCTCCATTCCAGGGCCCCCTTGGGCCCAACTGTTGTGAAGGGAGGGCGTGGGCTGCCTTTGTAGGGTTGGTCCCCGAGAGGGTGGCTGAGGGTCCCGCTCACCCAGTGGCTGGAGCCGAGGTTCTGCAGTCCAGGGTGGCACGAGGCACCCACGGGGCTCAGGCTCTTGGAGCACGCCCCACCCCACACTCGCCCACCTGCCCACCCCACGTGGGTGCCCAGCACCTTCCTTCTGGGGTCGGCCAGGGCCTTTCCTGGGAGGGGGTGCTGAGGGAAGGGCCCCGTGAGCCTGGGAAGGGCTGCAGAGGCTTCTGGAAGAACCATGGAGTCCGCACACGCCTCCCCGGGTCCCCCTTGGCCAGGAATGGAACTGTCAGACCTCAGGCCTGTTGGGAAGCCTCTGGGAGCCACGAGCGAATCCATCAGCGTGGCTGGTGCTGAGGCCTTGCTGCTCTCCCACGGCGGGCCTGGGTGCGGCCTGGGCCTGAGGAAGGGGCTCCAGCGGCGGGTCTGCAGCTCTGGCGGCGGCTCTGACTCTGCACCGCCTGTCTTGCAGCAACAGAACTTCAAGCAGAAAGTGGTAGCGCTGCTGCGGAGGTTCAAAGTGTCCGACGAGGTGAGTGCGCCGCGCCTTCTGCTCGCGGCCCCCACGCCTGCAACAGCACCTGGTCGGGAGGAGGCCTCTGGGGTCTGTCTCCGGGCCACCTCTGGTTCTGCCGCTCACCGTCTGCACGGCCCCGCCAGCATCGCACAGTCTGCGAGGCGCAGTGACAGTGGCACTGCCTCCCGGGCTCCAGGTCACCCGCTGGGTCTCTGCTGAAGTAGAAGTCGTGAATACCCTGGAAGTCGGAAAGTCATTTTCAGGGGGATGTAACCATTAGTTTGTGTGTTTTTTTTTTTATAAATAGACTTTAGTTTTTAGAGCAGTTTTAGGTTTACAGCAAAATTGAGCAGAAAGTTCAGAGTTCCCATGGACCCCTCCCCACCTGACAGCCCCCCACTATTGACATGGGCCCCCCCTCCCCACCTGACAGCCCCCCACTACTGACATTCCATGGATTTTTAATGTTCATCTTTTAGCTTTTCTCTAATCTCTGAATTTTCTACAATGAGCTTGTATAATTTTCATACCGAAAAGAAAAACATGGCTGGGCTCAGTGGCTCATGCCTGTAATCCCAGCACTTTGGGAGGCCAAGGCAGGCAGATCACTTGGGCCCAGGAGTTTGAGACCAGCCTGGGCAACATAGTGAAACCCCATCTCTACAATAAAATACAAAAATTAGCTGTGGGTGGTGGTGTGCACCTGTAGTCCCAGCTACTTGGGAGGAAACCTAGTAGGCCAAGGCTGCAGTGAGTGGAGATTGAGCCACTGCACTTCAGCCTGGGCAACAGAGCGAGACCCTGTCTCAAAAGAAAAAACTTCAAATCTCGGCTCACTGCAACCTCTGCCTCCCAGGTTCAACAGGGTTTCACCCTGTTGGCCAGGCTGGTCTTGAACTCCTGGCCTCAAGTGATCTGCCTGCCTCTGCCTCCCAAAGTGGTGGGATTACAGGCGTGAGCCACCGCGCCCAGCCTTTGTTGTTTCTTTAACGTCAGAAGAAAAACGTGCCTGGGTTCAGGACCTGAAGTGGAGAGGTGGCGTTTAAGCGTCTCAGCCTTGAAGCAGGGTTGTCACCCGTCGGCCTGAGAGCACACTGCCTGTAGATGGCGCTGTGTCCTAACATACTCGGGATGCATCCAGCTCAGCCCCTGGGGCACACACTCAGCGAGGCTGTCAGGTCCATGTGCCGAAACAGGTGCTTTGTGGCCCGGTGGGGCAGGCAGCATTTCTGGGAACAGCGTAACATCACCAACTGGCCGCAGAGGAAGGGCAGCTCCGCCACTGGGATGGTCATCGGGCCCCTGTGTCTTTTGGTTTGCATCTTGGATTGGAACATTCCCAAGTGCAGCTGAAGATGGGACTTAGCCAAGTCGGCTCCCTGGCCTGGGGCTTCCTTGAGCCCTGCTGAGCGCCTGTGGGTTCAGGGGTGGGTGTTCTTGGTTGAATCTTGACCGTGGGGTTCTGCACTCACCTGGGCAACTGAACTGAGTCCCAGAATGCATTTCACTTACACAGATTATGGTTCTGAGACTCACAACCCAAACTGTGAAAAGATGGGCCAACGTCACAGACGCTGTTCAGGGAGAGGACATCGTTTTCATAGGGATAATTGCACAGCGTTGTGTGAAATTCATGCAGGTCAACACAGTACTTTAATGGAGTGATGGGATCTCTTTCCGTATTTTCCACCCATCACTCCCTTTCCTGAAAAGACCAGACCATCTCCGCCACAGCTCTGAACCTGTGTCTTGGCCACTAGGAGTGCCACACCTGGCACTGCCCCCTGCCCAGGACTTCACAGCAACCCTCAGGGGGCAGGAGATGCACAGTGAGACGAGGTCACCGCCTGGATTACAGCCATCTGAGATTGTTCATGCTGCTATAACAAAATACTTTAGACTGGGAAATTAATAAACAACCAAAGTGTATTTCTCGCAGTTCCGGAGGCTGTGAGTCCAAGATCAAGGTGCCAGTAGACTCGGTGTCTTGAGGGCCCGTTTCCCATAGAGGGCACCTTCTGTGTGTTGTGTGGTGAGAGGGCCTGACAAGCTCCCTCAAGCCTCCCTCATCAGGGCCCTGAGCCTATTCAGCGGGCAGAGCTCTCGGGCCCTAACCACCTGTTAGAGGCCCCACTTCCTAATTCTAGCACCTTGGTGGTCAGGTTTCAGTGTAGGAATTTTGGGGGTACAAACGTTCACAGCCCCCAGGCTGACCACAGAGCACTGGCATCCAGGCTGCCCTGTGCCCAGGTGCCACACAGTGGGTCTGGTGAGGAGGAGAGCAGGGCTCTGCTTGGGACCCATCCTGTGAGGAGGAACCAGAGTGAAGTCTGTTCCTTACAGCCCTCAGCTTCAGCTCACAGCGAAAGCGTCCGCTGAGGGCTGCCTTCTGAATTTTTCATTGTAAAAGGTGGCACACCTGGATAGTCAGTTGATTTTCAACAAGGGTGCCAAGTTCATTGGAGAAAATATCTTTTCGCAAAAAAACTGAGGCTTGACAATGCACACCATGTGCAGAATTCAGCTTGACTGGATCATATTCCTAAATGTAAAAGCCTAAAATTTAAATTACCTAGATTCTAAGCCTTAAAAAATATGAACTTAAATCCTGCACTAATGCCACTGAACTGTACACCTAAAAATAGATAAAATGGTAAATATTATGTTTTATATATTTTTAACACAATAAAAAAAGTAGAAATTTGCTTTCTGAAAGGTACTGTTAAAAGAATGAAAAGATGGCCAGGTGCGGTGGCTCACGCCTGTAATCCCAGCACTTTGGGAGGCCGAGGCAGTACGAGGTCAGGAGATCGAGACCATCCTGGCTAACATGGTGAAACCCCATCTCTACTAAAAATACAAAAAAATTAGCTGGGCGTGGTGGCAGGCGACTGTAGTCCCAGCTACTTGGGAGGCAGAGGCAGGAGAATGATGTGAAACCAGGAGGCAGAGCTTGCAGTAAGCCAAGATGGGGCCACTGCACTCCAGCCTGGGTGACAGAGCGAGACTCCGTCTCAAAAAAAAAAGAAAAAAGCCACAGGTTGACAGAAAATATTTGCAAATAACATACCTGGTAAAGATTTGTATCCAATAGATATATTAAAAACTTTCAAAACCCAATAAGAAAAGCAACCTGATTTTTAAAATGAGTAAGACTCATACAGTGAAACTATGAAACATTTTTTAAAGAAAGAAGATATAAATAAGTGGAAAGATGTCATATGTTCATGAATTGGAAAACTTAGTCTTGTTAAGGTGGCAATAATCCCTAAATTGATGTACAAATTCAACAAATTCAAGTGCGTATCAGATTCCCAGCTGTGTTTTTGTAGAAATTGACCAGCTAAAATTTATGTGTAAATGCCAGAGACTCAGGGCAGACAGAACAGTCTTGAAGAAAGAAGACTTATACTTCCCAATTTCAAAATGTACTACAAAACCACAGTAGTAATCCTGACCATGTGGGGCTGGCCCAGGGACAGGCATGGAGATCAGTGGAATGGAGGTGATAGTCCAGAAGTGAACCCTTCCATTTATGGGCAAGTGATGGTCAACAAAGATGTCAAGATATCCATGGGGGAAGAATAGTCTTCAACAAAGGTGCTAGGACCACTGGATATCCACATGCAAAAGAAGGAATTACAGCCAGCTGTGGTGGCACATGCCTGTAACCCCAGCACTCTGGGAGGCTGAGGCAGGCAGATTGCATAAGTCCACATAGTGAAATCGCATCTCTACTAAAAATACAAAAAATTGGCCGGGCATGGTGGTATGCACCTGTAATCCCAGCTACTCGGAAGGCTGAGGTGGGAGAATCACCTGAGCCCAGGAGGTGGAAGCTGCAGTGAGCTGAGATCATGCCATTGCACTCCACCTGGGCAACCAGAGTGAGACCCTGTCTCAAAAAAAAAAAAGGAATTTGGACCCCTACCTCACACCATATTCAAGAATTAACTAAATGGATCAGCTGGGTGCGGTGGCTCACGCCTGTAATCCCAGCACTTTGGGATTAGTGGCCGAGGCTTGAGGCTCAAGTGACCCGGATCACTTGAGGTCAGGAGATCGAAACCAGCCTGGCTAACATAGTGAAATCCCGTCTCTACTAAAAATACAAAAACAATTAGCCAGGCATCGTGGCGGGTGCCTGTAGTCCCTGCTACCTGGGAGGCTGAAGTGGAAGAAACACTTGAACCTGGGAGGCAGAGGTTGCAGTGAGCCAACATTGCATCATTGCACTCCAGCCTGGGCGACACAGCGAGACTCTGTCTCAAAAAAAAAAAAAAAAACTTGAAATGGATCAAATATCTCCATCTGTGAGCTAAGATTATAAAGCTCTTAGAAGAAAATGGGCCAATCTTATGACCTTGGGTTAGGCAGGGGTTTCTTAGATGTGACATCAAAAGCATAAGCAACAAAAGGTAAGTTTTTCTGGACCACAGCAACATTTTACAGTTTTGTGCACCAAATAGTGCCATCAAGAAAACCGAACAGTAGAACAGAAGAATGTTTTTTGCAAATCATATATGTGATAAGGGGCTTGAATCCAGAACACATAAAGAATGCTTATAACTGAAAAATAAAGACACAGACAGTCTAGTTAAAAGCTGAACTGTCCATTGCTTTGAGAACGATGCAGCCTCAGGTGCCACGGAGCTGGGGCCCGCCCACTCCTGCCCTGACTCGCTGCTGTCCACTTGTACTGAGAAGTCGACCAGGAAGCCGCCTCGTGGCCACGGCTTTTAAAGACACCGGGAGGACACCTCTGGAGCCCGTGGAGTGATTCCTTGAATTAGAATTACCCTGACCAGCTGCAATGTAAAATCCCTGGAGGTGTGTGCTGGCTTATGAGGGGCACGGAGAAAAACAATCTCAAAGTGAAAGAACCAGTTCTGATGCCTGCCAAGTCTTTGAGAATCACTAAGAGAAACACACCTTGTGGTGAAGGTTCTCAGACACAGGATCACTTCCAGACGAGAATCCATAAGCAGCTCGTGGACCTGCCTGGTCCATCCTGGATTGTGAGGCTGATTGCTCTGTTGGAATTGAGCTGCGAGCCGCGGTTGACATCACCATTGCAGATGCTTAAGCCAAGTGTTTTAATAAAGTGATTATCACTTGTCAGAACCAGGCACAGTGGCTCACACCTGTAATCCCAGCACTTTGGGGGCTGACGTGGGAGGATCACTTGAGCCCAGGAGGTCGAGGCTGCAGTGAACTATGATTGTGCCACTGCGCTCTACCCTGGGCAACAAAGCAAGACCCTTTCTCAAAGACAAAGAACAGTGAATTGTCCAATTAAAAAATGGGCAGGGGGCTGGGTGTGGTCGCTCACACCTGTAATCCCAGAACTTTGGGAGGCCGAGGCGGGTGGATTACAAGGTCAAGAGATCAAGACCATCCTGGCTAACACGGTGAAACCCCATCTCTACTAAAAATACAAAAAGTAGCCGGGCGTGGTGATGGGCGCCTGTAGTCCCAGCTACTCAGGAGGCTGAGGCCGGAGAATGGCGTGAACCCGGGAGGCGGAGCTTGCAGTGAGCCGAGATCGTGCCACTGCACTCCAGCCTGGGCAACAGACAGTGCGAGACTCCATCTCAAAAAAAAAAAAAAAAAAAAAATAGGGATCTTTCTAAATAGATTTCTTCAAAGACACACAAGTAGCCAATAAGTACACGATCATCATGATCATTATCACTGGTCATTAGGGAAATGTAAACCAAACCACAATGAGACACTACTTGATCCCCACTAGGATGGCTGGAACAAATGAAATGCAACAGGGTGAGGTGTAACAGCAGGAACCCACACCCTGCTGGGGGAATGTAAGGTGGTGTGGCAGCCACAGGAAGCAGTTGCCAGACACCCAGCACCCCTGTTCTTCAGTGTTGACTTCAGGGAGGTGAACACACACATGCATGGACCCACTCAGACGTTCACAGCAGCTTCATCTGTGATGGTCATAATGCCCGTCAGCTGGTGATCTGTTAGACTGGGGTCCACCCACTCAGTGGCGCACTGCAGAACCATCAGAGGAAGTGAATAAAGGAAAGAGGTTTAGTTGACTCACAGTTCAGCATGGCTGGGGAGGCCTCAGGAAGCTGCCAATCATGGCAGAAGGGGAAGCAGGCACCTTCTTTATGGGGCAGCAGGTCGGAGTGGGTGCCTGCAGGGGAAATACAAGATGCTTATAAAACCATCAGATCTCTTAAGATGTGCTCATTATCATGAGAACAGCGTGGAGGAAACCACCCCCAGGATCCAGTTACCTCCACTTGTCCTGCCCTTGGCACGTGGGGCTTATGGGGATTACAATTCAAGGTGAGACTTGGGTGGGGACACAGTGGAACATGAAGTGTGCCACGCTGGGTGGATGACGCCCTCCTCCCCCCGCCACCGAGAGCTGCAGGCCACATGATTCCTTTTGGGTAGCACTCGGGAAAGGGCAGAATGTACAGGAACAGAGTGAGATTCGCAGGGCCTGGGGCTGAGGGAGGGGACGCACTAGAGGAAGGCAAAGGGGAGCCTCCTGGGTGTGGGGAGCACTTTCTGTCTTGGTTTTGGTGGTGGCTGCACAGTGGCCCACACCCGTCAGAGCTCACCTGCCTGCACCCAGGCCCTCCGTGCACCCTGGCAGCCCAGATGACTGCACCAGCCCAGGGGAGGTGGAGGAATGCCACACGCACCGGTACCTGGGGACCGGGGGTCCTCGGTGATCATCCCGAGCTCCAAGACAGAAGCTGGACTACAGCCGTGCTGAGTGGAGGGGTTTGGTGGCTGGGTGCCCGCCTCCTATTGCTCCTGCAGACTCTGGGGTCTCGGGCGCCCCCAGTGGGGCAATGTGGGCTGCTGCAGGGAACTCACGCGTGCCTGGCACCCGTGCAGGTCCTGGACTCGGAGCAGGACCCTGCGGAGCACATCCCCGAGGCAGAGGAGGACCTGGACCTCCTGTATGACACCCTGGACATGGAGCACCCCAGCGACAGCGGCCCCGACATGGAGGATGACGACAGCGTCCTCAGCACCCCCAAGCCGAAGCTGCGGTGAGCCCTACAGGGCGGGGCGGGGAGGAACAGCCATTTCAGATGCCCCGGCCACTCTGCGACCACTCTGGCAGACCCATGTCCAGCCCTGGAGACGGGGTGGGCAGGGCCAGCTGCCTCGAAGCCTGGGAAGGCTCTGGTGGCTGGAAGGAGGGGTGTGCGGCTGCCTGGCAGGCCCAGGCTACGGCTGCACTGAGCCAGGCAGCTTTCCTTTCATAGGCCAGGGGGTGCAAGCTCTGGGCTGGGGAGGACCGAGAGGGGTCCCCCAGGGTGCTGGCTGGGCTGGGTGTGGCACCCCGTTGTAGGGGATCCGTCTCTGGGGGATGCCCTGGGAACTGCAGGGGACCTCCGTTCACTCAGGTGGGGAGTAGAGCTCCCATGCTGGGTGCCCCTCCCTGAGGAGGAGGAGGCAGAGGCAGGTGGGGAGGGGGAGGGCAGGTGTCTCTGTGGCTGGATGGGAGGAGGGGCTGGCTGGGGTGGCCTGGCCTGGGCAGGAGGAGAGGATGCAGGGCAGGCAGCTCTGTGCATGGGTCTGGGTATGGAGGCCTCGGTCAGCTGGGGGCAGGAAGGCAAGCACACCAGGCAGAAGGCAGGTGCCAGCCTCTGGGCAGCTGCTGAGGAGCCAGAGGCCCCAGTCAGAGTCAGGAAGCTTGGTAGACCTTTTGCTCTCACACTTTTTTAACCTAAACAACACGAAGAAGGTGGCCTTGCTGCATGTTGGAGGCGCGGCCCCAGTTAGCCCTGCAGCCACGCAGCGGCCTCCCACCTCACCTGCCCCGGCCTGGCAGCCCCAGCCCAACTTGCTGCTCCTTCAGTTGCCAGCAGCCACCATAACAGGTGACCGCGGATGTGGCCACCAGAAACAGCCTCTGTTCCTCCTGTTCTGGAGATTGCCATCCCGAGGCTGTGGCCTCATTCTTGGCCAGGGTCTCGCTGGGCTCGGGTGGAGGTATTGGTGGCTGCCCTGACTGGGGCTCCGAGGTCATGCAGTGCAGGCCCAGCGTGGTGGTTGGTGGAGTTCAGCTCCGTGTGGCTGCGGGATGGGGGTCTGGCTGCCCTGCCGCCTGGTGGCCGTTGGTCATTCTTGCCTTCTGGCAACCGTCCTCGTACCCTGGCCCAGGGTCCCTCCTCCACCTTCGGAACCAGCAAGGCCCAGTGAAGTCCCCCTCACACTTTGGGCCTCCCTGGCCTTCCTGCCTCATCTCTTCTGCCTTCAGCCGGAGAAAGTTTTCTGTCTTTAACGGCTCACGTGATTCCATAGGAGACATCTTTGTGGCCCAGATCCTCTCCCATCTTAAACTCCGTGGTGTTGGCTGTATCTGCAGAGCCCTGGCCAGCTAGCATTCATAGTTTGAGGAGAGGCGTGTGCGTCTCGGGGCTATGATCTTGAATGGGCACACACAGCAGCAAGTTTCCACGTGGGTTTGTCACCCAGGGTGGAGCAGCAGACACTGCTAAGTCCCGTCTGTTTTTTTAGGGGGCGGGGGAGTTGTTTGTTTCTTGAGATAAGGCCTTGCTCTGTCAGCCAGGCTAGAGTGTAGTTGTGCAGTCGTGGCTCACTGCAGCCTCAACCACCTGGGCCCAAGCGGTTCTCCCACCTCAGCCTCCTCAGTAGCTGAGACCAATGGCGTGCGCCACCACACCCAGCTAATTTTTATATTTTTGTAGAGACAGGGTCTCCCTATGTTTCCCAGGCTGGTCTCGAACTGAGCTCAAGCGAACCACCTGCCTTGGCCACCCAAAGTGCTGACACTACAGGTGTGAGCCAGTGCACCTGGCCTCCTGTCAAATTTTTTTCACTTGAAAGGTCTTTTAAGTCTTATTGAATCTGTAGGTCTCCCTTCCTCCTTTTTCTTCGTACATATTATATCAACCAGGGATGAGACATTCGGCCTGGATGGCCTGGATCGGCCAGATGGTCTGCAAGGGTCTGGTTTGTCTGGAAAGGCATGGGTGGCCTGGATCAGCCTGGATCAGCCTGGGTGGTCTGGAAAGGCATGGATGGCCTGGATCTGCCTGAGTGGTCCGGAAAGGCATGGGTGGCCTGGATCAGCCTGGATCAGCCTGGGTGGTCCGGAAAGGCATGGATGGTCTGGATAGGCCTGGATGGTCGGGAAGGGCCTGGGTGGTCCGGAAAGGCATGGATGGCCTGGATCTGCCTGAGTGGTCTGGAAAGGCCTGGATGGTCTGGATTTGCCTGAGTGGTCTGGAAAGGCATGGGTGGCCTGCATCAGTGTGGATAGTGTGGAAAGGCCTGGGTGGTCCGGAAAGGCCTGGATAGTCTGGATAGGCCTGGATGGTTTGGAAGGACCTGGATGGGCCTGGGTGGTCTGATCTGCCTGGTGGGTCCGGAAGGGCCTGCTTCATCTGATGTGCCCTTGTTGTTTTGTCGAGCATGTTCACCTGTTTGCTGCAGGCTGGCTGCAGATCCCAGGGCTGCCCTCCAGCAGGATTGGCCAGTGGAGCTCTCCCCAGAGCCCCTTCGTGTTTGTGGCAGCCTTGCCTGGAGCTAAGGCTGCGAGTTTCAGGGGTGTGTGTTTCCTGCAGCTGATGTCAGGGCAGGTGGAAGAACCAGGACGGGGCAGCCAGGTTGGCCCAGCGCTTAGTGTTGCCAGCTCCAGAATCATTCTGTGCCCTGTGCTGCAGCTGGTGCGAGCGGGGTGTGCGCTGACACGGGCTCTTCTCTGGACCCAGCTCTGCTCTGCCGTTGGATTCTGCAGTCTGTCCCTCCAGGTGTGGTGGGAGAACTGCGCTTTCAGTGCAAGAAGGGTCCTGGAAATTAACGTGTCCCCCACCCCTGTTCCCTGAGCCAGGCCATACTTTGAAGGCCTGTCGCACTCGAGCTCGCAGACGGAGATTGGGAGCATCCACAGCGCCCGCAGCCACAAGGAGCCCCCAAGCCCGGTGAGTGGGGCCACACTGATCTCCCAGAGCAGACCGTGGTCTGACTGGGCTGTGGTGTGGCCCAAATCTCCCAGCATGTCCTGGGCCCAGGGCCCTGTCCAGCTGTCCTGGAGCCACTCTGCACCCACTGTCCAGCACACTGCCACGCAGGTACCCCGGGCCTCCCTGAGTCCCAGCATTCCCAGTCCAGAAGTCAGCGCCTTGGCACCTGCAGTTGAGCACAAGCTGATTCCCATCTCCTCCCCCACAGGCTGACGTGCCCGAGAAGACGCGGTCCCTGGGAGGCAGGCAGCCGAGCGACAGTGTCTCTGACACGGTGGCCCTCGTAAGCAGGCTTGGGCCGCACCCACCCGTTCCACACATCAGGCACACCAATGCTGCCTTTAAGGGTCTGACCTGGAGGGGCGGGGCCCACATATAGGTCCTCATGTCACACCTGGTGTGCAGAGGTGGGGTCAGCCCTCAGGGGTGGCCAGGCTGCCAGATGGTCAGAGTATCCCAAAATTCACTCCAGCTTCAGGGTCAGGGCGCCCTGGACTCACCCCACCCTCAGGGTCAGGGCAGCTGGACTCCCCCCACCCGCAGGGTCCGGATGCCCTGGACTCCCCCCACCCTCAGGGTCAGGGCAGCTGGACTCCCCCCACCCTCAGGGTCAGGGCAGCTGGACTCACCCCACCCTCAGGGTCAGGGCCCCTGGACTCACCCCACCCTCAGGGTCTGGGTTCCCCAGACTCACCCTACCTTCAGGGTCAGGGCGCCTGGACTCACCCCACCCGCAGGGTCAGGGCCCCCGGACTCCCCCCACCCTCAGGTGGATGGCACCCAGGAACGCCTGGTTCCCCCCTGCTGCGTTGCATGGGGTCTCCTCAGTTAGGAGGTCCTGGGCCCAGGGCAAGTCAGGTCCTGGGAGGTTGGGGGCTGGTCACCCTGCATGGCCCGGATGGGAGCCCTGTGCTTGGAATTTGGCTCAGCTAGGCTCCCTGGTCAGCGTATGGCCGGGTCCACATGTAGGAGCCACGGCCTAGAGAGGCCTAAACCCTCACCCGAGCCAGAGGCCACAGGGCTGGAGAGGCCGCAGCACGGGTGTGGTTTCCACGGGAGGCTCCAGGCCCGTCTCTGCTCAGCAGGGTGTGCCAGGCCCGAGGGAGCACCCTGGACAGCCTGAGGACAGCCCCGAGGCTGAGGCCTCCACCCTGGATGTGTTCACGGAGAGGCTGCCGCCCAGCGGGAGGATCACCAAGACAGAGTCCCTTGTCATCCCCTCCACCAGGTGATGGGGGCTGCACGGCGGGGCGGGGCGGTGATGCACCTGTCGGGGGAGGGGCCGTCACGGGCATCAGTCGGGGTGGGTGCGTGTCAGTCCATCCTGATGAGCTCCCTCGGGTGTAGACAGCAGATTCAGGGCCTCGTCCTTCTTAAAAAGGAGAAGCAAACCCCCTGGCCCGGCATTGGGTGTCAAGCCTGCAGCCCCAGATTCCACCCTACCTGTTTGAGGGCAGGGTCAGGCGGGTCTGCCCTCCAGCAGGTGCCCCCACATCCCCCTGAGTAGCCCCTGCCTCAGCCAAAAGACACACATACACCAGCTTGATTCTTCCAGGATTTCAATTTCATGTTTCTGTGATATTTGGGACTTTTTCCAAAGCAGCGAGTCTGGGCACTGGTTTTTACCTTGTGGTGGCACGCAGGTGCCTGTGTCCGCGCTTTGGAGCCAGGTCGCCCTGGCAGCCTCAGTGCCCTGCACTGGCCTGCACCTGGCTCTGCCCAGCTCTTGGCCCGGGCAGGGAGGGTGAGCTCAGTCCTCACGGTGGCTCCAAGCCTCCTGGCCTGGCTCGAAGTCTCACAGGCAGAGCTGTGTGGGGTCCCATCGGAGGCACGGCCTCACTTGTACTCAGCTGCTGCTGTGGCCCTCCCAGGGCTGGTGACCTCTCTGTGCAGCCCATGTTCCCACTGCCCATCAGTCAGCCCTGTGCTCACCCTTCCCTGTCCCCACCACAATGTGTAGGCCACTGCAGGCCTGCCCCTGCCTCTGCCCCTGTTCCTGTTCCTGCTGCCACAGCCACTTAGCCTGTCCTGGTCCCCAATAGGTCCGAGGGGAAGCAGGCTGGCCGACGGGGCCGGAGCACATCCTTGAAGGAGCGGCAGGCAGCACGGCCCCAGAATGAGCGGGCCAACAGCCTGGACAACGAGCGCTGCCCGGACGCCCGGAGCCAGCTACAGGTGCAGCTGCAGGTGGGGGTGGAGGGCGTGGCACGCCCAGGAGGCAGGGCTCGTGGTCACCCTGGCACCAACCAGAGCAGGGCAAAAAGAGAAGCACAGGGGGCCAAGGGTGCTGGGCCACAGAGCATGCCTGGGCTTTGGAGGGCTCCTGCTACACAGCAGGGCGGGCGGGCCATGGGTTGGTTTGTCAGGAAGACCATGTGGACCCCAGGGCAAGTTCTAGTCCTTCTGCTGCCCTCCCTGGTCCAGGGCAGCCTCATTGCTTGGCTGATTTAGCCCAGGGCAGTTCTCCAAGCTGGCCAGCTCTCTTCCTGCCACCGAGCCTCTGTGGCTGCAGGGGGAGCAGGGGCACTGCAGGCACCAGGGCTGGCGTGGTGGGGATGGGCGCTGTGCTTCTCTTCTGGGTGTGGACAGGGCTCTGTGCCTCCAGATCCCCAGGAAGACTGTGTATGACCAGCTCAACCACATCCTCATCTCCGATGACCAGCTTCCCGAAAACATCATCCTTGTCAACACCTCGGACTGGCAGGGGCAGGTAGAGGGGCAGTCTCTTGGAGTGGAGGGTCAGGGTGTAGGACAGAGGAGAGTGGGTTCCTGAAGCTGCCCCCTACCCGGCACACCTGGGTGCTGGAGCTGCTGGCTGTGGTTTGCCTGGACGTGCCTGGGGTCTCTGGAGCCCCTGAGAGCTTTGGTGAGGGTCAGGTGCTGGGGGTGGCCTGGGCGGCTGTGCCGAAGTCAGCGTCTGCCTGTCTTCTGCCAGTTCCTCTCCGACGTCCTGCAGAGGCACACGCTCCCCGTGGTGTGCACGTGCTCTCCTGCGGACGTCCAGGCGGCCTTCAGCACCATCGTCTCACGGATACAGAGATAGTGAGTTGGGCTCCACCCTGTACTCACCACCCAAGTACCCCTCGGGGTCCCTGCACCCCCACCTCTGCCCATTGCTCCGGGGCTAGGTGCGTCCTGGACCTGGGGCTGTGGCTGGTGTCCACAGAGGCTGACCCATGCGCTCTTCGCAGCCTGGCCTCCCCTCAGTTGTGGGCGGGAGCAGCAGCCTGGTGGGTGTCCTGCCACACTGGAGTGGTGGCCTCCTGGCCTGTCCTTGGAAGCCTGGGCTGAGGCCATGACTGTGTGGTCCCTCAGCCTGGGCACGTTTGGGCATGTGGGGGTCCTGGGCTTGGGCAGCTCCAGGGCAGTTGTGGCATGAGCGGCCACAGGCACGGAGCCCCCTGGGCTCACACTGGCATCCTTGGATGGAGGACGGCTCCCCTGAGGCGTCTGTCCCCTCTCCGTCCCACCTGCCTCTGGATTGCAGCTGCAACTGCAATTCCCAGCCCCCGACCCCCGTGAAGATCGCCGTGGCGGGAGCGCAGCATTACCTCAGTGCCATCCTGCGGCTCTTTGTGGAGCAGCTGTCCCACAAGACACCCGACTGGCTCGGCTACATGCGCTTCCTGGTCATCCCACTGGGTGAGCACCACGCCGTCCACCTGGGCCTGGGCACAGATGCCACGGGCAGTGTGGCGTGGCATGGAGTGGTGTGGCGTGGCGTGGCGTGTTGTGTGGCGTGGCGTGGCGCGGTGTGTCGTGGTGTGGCGCGGTGTGGCATGGCGTGGTGTCCCTGCTTGCTACACATTTGTTGTTTTTAAATGTTTGTTTGATACAGTAACACTTTGTTAATTTTAATTATATGCAAGATAACTTGATTGCCCTAAAACAGCCATTTGGGTCAAGATAAAGCCATCGCCCTCTGAAGGGGCCTGAGCTGGGTGTCTCCTCCATCAGTCGCTGTGATAACTCTATGCCAGTTTCGATTTCCAAAGTCAGAAGTGCAAAGCAGGGCTCGTTATTAATCCTCTCAAATCGTCCAGGTCCTGTGTCGTCGAACTCCATTACTTCTTTAGGTCCATACGATGTGTCTTACCACGAAACAAACCCACCCAGCCTTAATCTGTTGACCAGCAGCAAGGCCTGGAGGCGACACCTCTCCCGTGTGGCCCTCACGATGCCGACGTCAGAGCCCTGAGCCAGCCGAGGCCTCTGCACGGTCACATGTGCCCTGCTGGGCCTTCCTCAGTGGCACTCAGGGCTCTGGGACCTCAGCTCAGGGCTGGAGCTCCTTCAGCGGGGCCACAGGCATCCACCAGGGAGGGGCAGTGGTGGCTTTCTCTTTCGGTGGCAGGAAAGTGGGCTTGTCTGGAAGGCAGCAGCACAGGCCTGGGGTCGGGTGGCCCAGCTTTTGTGCCGCGGTGGGAGCCTTGCAGCTCCGAGTCCCCCGTGGTGACACCAGCCCCACCCCTGGCATGCAGGCTCCCACCCCGTGGCCAGGTACCTAGGCTCCGTGGACTACCGCTACAACAACTTCTTCCAGGACCTGGCCTGGAGAGACCTGTTCAACAAGCTGGAGGCCCAGAGTGCGGGTGAGGCCCGGGCGCGTCCACAGCCCACGCCACGGCGGGAGGAAGGGGCCCCGGTTTCCCCAGATGCTGTGCCCAGGAGGCCCTGCACCTGCTCAGGCTCAGCCTCAGGGAAGAGGCCATGGACAGGGCCTGCTGGGGCCTTGGCCAGGATGCCTCCTATTCCCCTGAGCCTTGGAATGTTGGAAGCTGTGGGGCCTGTCTGGGAAGGGGCGGGCACAGCCCTTCAGGTCTTCCCACGCTTGCCCTGGTACTGCCTCGAGAGTAGAGCACCAGGGCCCCTCAGCTGCAACCAGCGAGCCCTGCCGCGCTTCGGGGTACGGGAGGCCTGGGCGGGGCACCGGGGAGGCCCAGCTTAGCCCCGCCTGCAACCCCACCTGGCACCAGCCTAACCCCCCACCGCCTCCTCCCCCTGCAGTACAGGACACGCCAGACATTGTGTCACGCATCACGCAGTACATCGCAGGGGCCAACTGTGCCCACCAGCTCCCCATCGCAGAGGCCATGCTGACCTACAAGCAGAAGAGGTAACGCGGTGGGCCCAGGCACCATACCACAGGCTGCCGCCAGCCACCAACCCTCCGTGGGCCTCCCCACCCGCTGCTGGGCTTGGCCTGGTGGGCCGCAGAGCCCTGCACCGGGCTTAGACCAGAGCCTGGGCCAGCTGGGCAGCTCTGGGCCTCCCTGACAGCAGGTGCTTCCCCGCACCCCAGATCCCTCATAGTAAGCGCCATTTCCGCACCTGTTTCTGTGCATGTTGAAACCCCGCGTGATAAGAAGTTGACAGAATGGATAGCTGTCATGGGGCCAGGGTGGCAGTGGCCCAGCCCCTCCAGTCTGGGCACCTGTTCCTTCCACAGCCTGGGTTTCTCGGGCTGGGGAACGAAGGATTCCCTGGGCCTCGGGCCCTGTGGGTGAGTGATCAGCTCGTGTCCTCACCTGCCCAGAGCAGGACGGTGCTCAGGAGCCCCCGGCCGAAAGTCCTGCGGAGACCTGTCTGTCCCGCCCGGCGCCTCCTCCCTGCACATCTGGCGCCACTGTCCCACACCTTCCCTAGACTACAGGGGAGAGAGCCGAGTGCAAGGCGCAAAGCCAGCGCTCACGGGCTCTCCCACGCAGGAGCCCCAGTGAGATGGGAGCCACTGAGTGCCCTCGGCGGTCCCTGGAGGGGTCCTGAGGGCGTCGTAACGTGTCTGTTTTCTCTTTTGGTGGCTTTCTGAAAAGGAAAAAGCATTTTCATTTTGACTTTACCCTAAGGTACGGCTCTGTGGGTCTGCCTCCCACCCTGTCTGTCCCCAGGCTGGTCTTCAGGGCTTGTTTGGCAGAGTCACGTAGGAATCACCCCGCTGTCCTCTCTCCGGACTGGGAGTCAGGCCCTGAGGGCCACCAGCTGCAGGCTGAGAGCCCGCACGGGAGAGGGGAAGTGGCCCCAACCCGAGTCACTTTTTGCTGACGTGGACCCTTTTCCTCCATCCGATCTCTGACACTGAGTCAGGAGAGCAGCAGATGGGCCCTCCTGTCCCTGGCCAGGCCCGTGTGCTGGGACTCCACCCCAGAGCCCTGAAGCCTGCAGGTCGGCCAGGCAGGCCTTTCCCCGGCTCTGTTTTGACCCTGGGTTTTGATTTAAGAAGTGGCCAGGTTTAGCCCCTCCTCGTTTTAAACCAGGAGCGAGTGGCTGGTGTGGACACCAGGATCACCTGGGCCAGGCTGTTTCCCAGGCCCTTCACGTTTGTGAAGCTGGCAGCAGCCTAGCAGGGGCACGGGTGCACGCCCTACACACGGGGACGCCCAAGCAAGTAGTTAAGGAGCTGGCCTGGTGACACGGTGGTCAGCGGCTGTGCCTTGGGCCCCCTACACACTGCAGAGCCTGGCTCCCAGGGCTCCCTCGAGCACCTGGGGCCAGCAGAGAGGGGTTTCCAGCATCTTGTGGCTTACCTGGAGACGGGGCCAAACTACCGAGACCTCCAAATGGGGGTAAAGAGTTTTCATTCCGAGGCAGCTCCACCCCCTACAACCTTTCATGTTCAGAGCCAAGTCCCAGGCACCCCCAAAGCTGCCCTTTCAGACAGAGCCACCCCTTTTCCTTGGCCAGGTGTGTCCTGCTGCAGGGTGGGGGCCCCTGCTGGTCCTCCCATGGGCTCGTTCTCTACCCCGTGTCTTCTGCCCTGTGTGAGGTCATTTGCTGTCCTAGGAAACCCCCCCAACCCCCTGACCTCAGTGCAGGGTAGTTGGGTCCCTGGGGCCCCCTTGCTGGCCTAGGAGCTGCTCGAAGTGGGCAGCCTGGGACCACCCACAGCTGTAGGGCTGGGCGCTGGGAAGACACAGGAAGGGGGCTGAACATCCTATGTCTTGTCCTGCTAAACAAGCCTTCACAGGTGAAAGACCAGCCGTGGGGGCCTCCCCTGCTGACCCCCAGCAGCCTCCGCCCTTGCCCCCTGGCTGTGGCACGAGGAGCCTGCAGCATGTTCTGGCCGCCCGGCCGCCGCAGGCCGTGGACGCAGCTGCTTGTATCTCCCAGGTCAGCTCTTCCAAGCAGCAAGCCAGGGCCTTAGGGGGCCTTACACCCACTCCCACCCTGCACCTCCTGCCCCTGCCTCCGTGTTGCAGGGGTGACACTGGCTGCCTCCACGTTATAAGGGTGACACTGGCTGCCTGGGGTCCTGGAAGGAACCCAGCAAAGGCCATAAGTGTCTTACCTGCTCTCTGTACCCAGAGGAGGGTCAGTCGGGAGGCTGAGAGAGTGCAGGCGGTGGCACAGCCCTTGTGACGGGGGACCTGTGCAGAGCCCTCTCCAGCCAGGCTCCCCTGCGAGAGTCCCTCGTGAGGTGACTCCTGCTGGCCCGCCCTCCTCTGCCGAGAATGGCACTCCTCCTATGAGGGCAGGCCAGGCCTGGAGGGCGGCCTCGAGCCCCAGCCTGCCCGTGCAGCGCATGGGTGGAAAGGGCTGCTCAGGCATCCGGCAGCTTGCCCAGGGCCATGCGGAGTGGCCCCCAAGGCATCTGTGCCCTCCGTGCCCGCGGGGCCTCCCCACGCCACGGTGGTATGCTCCTTACACTCCTGACCACACTGCCTCCACAGACATGTGTGTGCCTCCAGGGTCAGGATGAGGGTCTCAGTGTCCAGCCGGTGTCACCCCTGTCATATTGGCCCATGTCCAGGGCTGGGTGCTGTCTGCATGGCCCAGAGGCGCAGCTTGGCTTTGAGAGTTCCAGCAACATCCCTGTGTTGTGACGTCTCCTGCATTCGGCCCTCATCTGCCACGCACTGCCCCATGGGCCTCGGAGCAGAGCATGGATGGGAGGCCAGCCTGCCATGGCTGGCTCGGTGGGGGGGTCTGGCTCGGCAGAGGGCAGGTGGCCCTGGGAATTGGAGCCACCCATGCCCTGGGGACCAGCAGCCACCACCTGTCTTCTGTGCCTTCGCGTGCCTGGGAGGACACAGATGTCACAGATTTCCAAACACTGGTCTGCTCAACAAGGATAGTGGGATGTCAAAGGCCACGTCCAGGCACTCCTGCCTGACAGCTGTGGACACAGCCAGGGTGCTGGGGGGCCAGGAGGCCGCCCTGAGGCAGAGGTGGGCCTCAACACAGGATTTGCATCGCTTTATGTTATTTGAAATGGACAAGAAGAGGGGAAAGTTTCAACTCTTCTCCTTAGAAATGGAACTAGGCCTGGGGCATCTTTAATGGGATGGGAGGAATCTGTAGGTGGTTTCATCCAGAGGCATTTGCCAGGTCTTCTGCAGAGGGTGGGCCAGGAGCCGTCCAGGTTGGCGTCTGGGGAGGGTGGGTCTTGCCAGCCGCCGTCTCCTCACACTGGCGCTGCGAAGACAGGGAAGGCACCTGCTGGGACCAGCCGCAGAGGCTGCCTCCTGGGAGTGTGCTCTGGACCGGCTGCCGGGCAGAGGCTGTTTTACTTGTGGGCACACTTTGTGGGGAGCACTGGGATCAAGCCTCTGCCCTGCAGGGCTCTTGAGGAGATAGCGCTGCTGGTCCTGGGAGCTGGTGCTCCAGGCAGACGGCTGGGCTGGGCCTGTGGCATCCTCCGCTGGGCCTGTTTCCTGCAAGGGATTCTCTCTGAATGACCCTGTGCTGGACGACAACCCAAGGGAGGGCCGGGGCCACTGTGCGAGCCCATGTTCTGCACCTGGTGCCGGGCTGTCCCTGAGGGCCACCCTGCTGGCCTGGCCATTCTCGTCCTGCCCCCGGCGCTCCAGGGGCAACAGGTGCTCCTCTGCACTGTGTGTGCACAGTCTCCGCCTGTAAGACAGCCACTTGCCGGCATCAGACTCTGCAGTTTGGGGAAATGAGACAGAAGAAACAGCTGAGGGAGCTGCCCAGAGAGAAGGCACCAGTTGCTGATGCGGTCTGGCTGAGGAAGCTGGGCGGGGAGGCACCTCTGTCCCTACGTGCAGGCCACGGGGGGCCTTGAGGCCAGGGGAGAGGAGGAAAGAGGAGAGCCAGACCCAGCCCACCACTCAGGATAGGCCCTGCCCTCTGGATCTTTCCTGGGGCCCAGAAGGAGATGCCCTCACCTCACCCTAGCTGCCGGCGGGGCCTCATGCTGTGCTGGCCCCTTGTCTTGTGGGAGAGCTCCCTGGGCCCAAGCCCAGGCTGCAGTGGGCACAGTCAGCAGGAGCCTGTGCGAGCTGGACCACAGGACAGCCCTGCTTGAGCTGCACACGTCGGAGGGGAAGACAGACGGGTCCCCTCAGCGGCCCCGCGGCTCCTGTCCTCCACCCTTGGCATCTTCGTGTGGACGGGCTGTGACCAGACTTCCAGGAGAGGCTGCTGTTACCTGCCAGATGTTGTATGGGGCCAAGTCCAGGCAAAACCTCCACTGCCCGCTGAGTACATCAGCTCACGCGGGGCACGGCCTGGGGTGTGCTGGGCCTGCCTGCAGGCTGTGCGTGGGGTGTTCTGGTAGAACATGGAGGCCCACTGCAGCCAAAGCCTGGCCTCTTATGTGGGCATGGACGTTACCCAGATAGTCTGGAGAAAACTTCTGCACCCTGGCTTTGGTGCTGCTGATTACCAGAGAGGGCCCAGGCTCTTCCTGGGAGTCCCAGGGCACTGGCAGCTGCCCTAACCCCAGCAGAGCAGGGGTGCCCAGCTTGGTGGGGAAGTGGAAATGCAAGCCGGACAGGGCTGAGCTGGCTGTGTGGGCGTCGGGCACCTAGGATGGCAGAGTGAATCCCTCCGTGGAGCTGTGCCCTCTGGCCTGTCCTCCTGACCATGGGTGCACAGAGACCCCTTTGTCCTTCCAGCATGTCAGCATGTCAGAAGGGGCCCAGGCGTTGGTCCTGGGGGCCAGGCCAGGGCTGGCAGTGGTTGGAGATGGGTGGGGCCGGGACACACAGGGCAGGGCTGTCCGGCAGGGCCATCCGGCAGGGCCGCGGCCCCAGGGCTGCGCCAGGTTCTCAGGCCAAGAGGGAGCTGTGCCCACCAGGCGGGGCTGTGCCCTGAGGAGAGCTTAACTGTCTGTTTCCTTGCTCTTAGCCCTGACGAAGAGTCCTCCCAAAAGTTCATTCCCTTTGTCGGGGTGAGTACTGGCCAGCTTTATGTGATGGGAAACCGCACACCTGCCAACTTGTCGTTTACAGTCAGAACGTTTGGGGATTGACTCGATATATTCCAGAACCTTCCCACAGATACGAGCTGGGGATTTGCCTTCCCATCTGGCCTGTCTCAAAGCTCGCTTCCTTCCCTGCTGGAGTGGGGTGTGGGGCCAGAGGTTGTTAGTTCCCCTTAGCTCTGCCTTGGGGGCTGATAAATGGAAGCAGAGACAGGTCGGTGGGGCGAGGCCTCAGAACACCCAGGAGGCTTGGCCCCACGTCTCAGGAGAGGAGAGACTGCCTGCCCGGGTTGGGGAGGGCGCCTCTGTCCTTTAGGAGCCCAAGGCCCCGGGAGCTTCCCAGTGCTCACTTGGGCTGCAGCCTGCAGTGTGTGGGTTTCACTTCCTGCCCTGCCCAGGGTTAGGGCTGCTTCTGCCAGCCAGGCCATCTCCCTGCCAGCCCTGGGTCTCCACAGCCTGTTTCCTGCCATCTTTTCGCTCTGTTGTGTGGCCTCCCTCCCGCCAGGTGTCTGCTGTGAGACAGACCCACAGGGCCTGGCAGACAGGTTGCCCAGGCAGCGGAAGGGTCTCTGGGCCTCGGTTTCCCCACTGGTGGAACAGAGGCCTTTTTGTGCACCGTGCAGTGGTTGGGTCTGCTGAGGGCTCTGGGGCGATGGCTGGCCCTCTGGGAGGGTGGAATTCGTCTTGAACAGCGGCTGCCCAAAGAGCTTTCTCCGGTGACAAGAGTACACTGTGCTCGGGCACACAGGCCTTCCCATGCAACCAAGGCCCTGCGGTGTCACTGGGATTCACGGTAGATCTACGTAGCCGCCTGTGGCTCGTGGCTGCCAGGTCCGGGGCCTATCCCCGTCGGCCCGCCAAGGTCCCTCTCACCAGCGTCCTGTTTTTACTGCACACATAGTTTGCAGCTGCCCTGAGGGCCGACTTTAGAGAGAGCAGTCCCTCCTGCTGAGGCCACGCACCCTGAGCACTGTCTGTCCCCACATGGCTGCTCTGAGCTCAGCTCTGCTCCACAGATGGGGAGAGAAGGGCAGGAGGGAGCTGGCACCACCTGGCCGCTCCAGCATCATGGGAGTGGTGGCCACGGTGGGGAGGCGGGAGCCCCACTGGGAGGGCGCTGGGCTAGCTGAATTGCACGGCTTTCACCAGCCAGTGCCTGTTGTTTTCTAGGTTGTGAAGGTTGGAATTGTGGAGCCATCCTCGGCCACATCAGGTAACCCCGTCCCACCCTGAGGCCTTGTGAGTGGCCCGTGGGTGGGCTGCAGGAGCACGGTCATTCGAGTCCTGCAGACCAGATCAACCTTTCAGGGCCTGAGAGCCGCCACGTCCCAGTCTTGCTGTGGTGCTTCTGTCCTGCGGGGGGTTCATCCTCCAAGGACTGCTGTCACAAAGCCCCACATCAAGGCTGGCAGGGTTGTCTTCCAAAAACCGAGGAGAATCCGAGACCCTCCCGTCTCTCACAGGCCACTGGGGACTCCCACCCTGCCCACCCCCAGGAGCTGCCTGGCCTGGCCACATCCTGGTCCGGAGGGCCTGGTGGCACCCGGGCAGAGCAGCAGGTGGGCTCAGCCTGCCCTGTGACTCCTCCCCAAAGGCGACTCGGACGACGCGGCCCCCTCGGGCTCTGGCACGCTCTCCTCCACCCCGCCGTCCGCATCTCCTGCGGCCAAGGAGGCCTCACCCACCCCGCCCTCCTCCCCGTCGGTGAGCGGAGGCCTGTCCTCCCCCAGGTAAAGGTGCCTCACGGCTCAGCACGTTTCACTTACCCGCCCCACCACATGCTGCCTGATTCAGTCATCCTCCCCTATGTCACATCCACCTCCCAGGGCACCTGGCCTGTCAGCCACGAAGGCGGAGGGGCTCTGCAGGACGGCTGGGTCCTCTCTGGCCACCTCCTGCCACAGATCTGGTGTTTGGGGGCAGGACCTCTGGGGGACAGAAACTCCTGCACAGTGAATAAACATGGGCGTTGTGCTGGGCTGTCTCTCAGCTCTGTACACAGTTGGGGCTTTTAAAAAACAAGCTGAGGGCAGAAGGTGCAAGAGACGTGAGTCTCTAGACGGTCCTCATGGGATGAGCTTCGATAGCTGTGCTGAGGCCCCGCTAGCCCGCCCGGGTCTCTCCGGAGCAGACCTCACTCAAGTGGAACTAAGCCATGGGGGGTTGTGGGCCCTGAGGCCAGGCGTGGTGCTGGTGCTGCGTGCAGGGCTCACACCAGCAGATACCCCCCCGACCCCCCTGCCTCTGTGTTTCCAGCCGCCGGCTCCTTCCAGGCTGCGCCTGAGGGAGCTGGTTCGCACGGGCCCTCACGACTCCAAGGGGCAGCTTGGAGAGCAGGTGGACAGGCCTCCCAGGCCGAGGCTCTCCTGTCGCCAGGGTCCCTGTAATTTAAGCAGGACCCTTGTGGGGGTGACTGGGCATGTGAACAGCTCCACAGAGCATGCTCCAAGCACCCGGCCCTCCTCTGCTGGCAAGTTGGCACAGGTGCTGGCTGTCACCTCCTGGCCTGTCACAGGGACAGTGATGTCCCCATCACTAGGCCCAAAGATGCAGGTGTGAATGCCTCCCTCTGCCTTTCCCAGCCAGGGTGTCGGCGCCGAGCTGATGGGGCTGCAGGTGGACTACTGGACGGCAGCACAGCCTGCGGACAGGAAGAGGGACGCCGAGAAGAAGGACCTGCCTGTCACCAAAAACACGCTCAAGTGCACTTTCCGGTCCCTCCAGGTCAGCAGGCTGCCCAGCAGCGGCGAGGCTGCAGCCACGCCCACCATGTCCATGACCGTGGTCACCAAGGAGAAGAACAAGAAGGGTGAGGTGGGGCAGGCTATAAGGCCACACGGCGCAGAAGGGCGGCTCTGTGGGAGAGGGCGGCTCGCAGTCAACAGGGATGACAGCCCCCGGGCTGGCCTCGGGCAGCCCACATGCGCAGGCAGGGGCGGGTGGGGTGAGGGAGCCTGAATCCTGAGGGCAGTGAGGGTCAGGTGCTTCTGACCAGAGCCTCAGGCGGAGGCCAGCTGGGTGGGCAGGAGAGCAGCTGTCCTCAGTCACCGTGGAAGGCAGGTTTCCTAGGTGAGCAGTGCCATGACCAGCTGAGCCCCCAGTGCCTCCCCCACACGTACCCCTGGCCCTGGCCCCAGCCCCGAAGGAGCAGCAAGATGACAGCAGGGCCTCTTTTCTCCTCCCAGTGATGTTTCTGCCCAAGAAAGCGAAGGACAAGGACGTGGAGTCTAAGAGCCAGTGCATTGAGGGCATCAGCCGGCTCATCTGCACTGCCAGGCAGCAGCAGAACATGCTGCGGGGTGAGCACCACCGGCCCCGGGGTCTGTAGAGTGGGACGTAGGTGAGAGCACAGCAAGGCTGCTTTGGAGCCCAGCCTAGGAGCTGCGGGTGTCTCGCTGTGACACGCACATTCCACGATTCAAGGTGCAAGCACATTCGATGAAGCCCTCAGTGAGGCTGACAACCTTCCAAATGCTGAGAAAGAATTTTTTTTCAACCCTTTTTGCTTTTTAAAAATAATGACTTGTTTCGTTTTTCTTGTTTGTTTTTTGTTTTGGTTTTTTTTTTTTTGAGACAGAGTTTTGCTCTTGTTACCCAGGCTGGAGTGCAATGGTGTGATCTCAGCTCACTGCAACTTCCATCTCTCAGGTTCAAGCGATTCTCCTGCCTGAGCCTCCCAAGTAGCTGGGATTACAGGCGCGTGCCACCACGCCCGGCTAATTTTTTGTATTTTTAGTAGAGATGGGGTTTTACCGTGTTGGCCAGGCTGGTCTCAAACTCCTGACCTCAGGTGATCTGCCTGCCTCGGCCTCCCAAAGTGCTGGGATTATGGGCGCGAGCCACCGCACCTGGCCTAAAAATAATGGCTTGTAGTTTAAAAGTGTTGGCTGAGCGCAGAGGCTGAGGCAGGAGAATGGCGTGAACCCGGGTGGCGGAGCTTGCAGTGAGCCGAGATTGCGCCACTGCACTCCAGCCTGGGTGACAGAGCAAGACTCCGCCTCAAAAAAAAAAAAAAAAAAAGGGGTTTTGGAGAAGATACTCTGCAAGTAACTGTTTCAGAAACGGAGCTCTGGGAGGCTTTCCTCTTTTTGAGCACGGGTCAGATGACCTCCAGGTCGACGTGGCCCTGTCTCCCCACAGGGGTCTCTGTTTTAAGGGGGCTCCCACTGTCTTCTTCCCACACCTGTGCAGGTGGAAGTGGATGTGGACGAGCAGCGCCTGGCGGAAGGTGGTGGGGTCTGCTCCTTCCACCTGCAGGCAGCCCTGGGGGAAATGCTGCCCTCCCCACCCCCCAGGGCTCTGAGTGTGGAGGGCAGGGGCAGGAATGGCGTCCCTCAGGAGCCAGCATGGCCCTGGAGCCCCCGAGTCCCTGAGGAAAGTGTTGATGCCCTCCAGCATGGGGCTCCTTCTCATCCTGTACGCCCGGCTGCCACCCAGCCTGGTGGGCCAGGCAGGCAGGTGGATAGGGTGGGCAGGCCGGGCAGGGGGGCAGGCGGTCAGGCAGCCCTCTCCCACAGTCCTCATCGACGGCGTGGAGTGCAGCGACGTCAAGTTCTTCCAGCTGGCCGCGCAGTGGTCCTCGCACGTGAAGCACTTCCCCATCTGCATCTTCGGACACTCCAAGGCCACCTTCTAGCCCCACCCACCAGGGGGCCCACCTCCTGCCCCATGCTGTGAGGGGCCCAGCTGCATTTCTGTTAACATTTCAGTTTACTACAGAGACAGACGCTTAAAACACAAAGAGAAACAGTCTTAAGTATGAATGTGCTCACAACGTGGAAACTAACGGGGGAGCTCCTGCCAGGAGCCGAATAACTGCTCTGCTTATTAACCCGAACGTTCGGCCCGGGGCTGGGAAGCCAGAAGGACGATGCTGAGCCATGGATCGCGGAAGGCGTCCTCTGGCCTCAGGAGCCACCCAGAGCCTCACAGGCTGAGTTCTTGCCTCTGTGTCCTGTCCTTCCTGGAAGTCAGGACTCTGCTTCCTCAGGGAGCCCGGGGAAGGCGGAGCTCAGTGGCCACAGGCCGAGGGCCATGGGGCCGCTCAGTCCCGTTGGGGTTGTCCTGAGTTGAGCCTGGGGGGGCCGTCCTGCCCGCCTAAGAGATGCCCCCAGCACCGCACACTCGTGGTTCCCAATAAACTCCTGCCTGCGGCGGAGGTTTTATAGCAGCAGATATTTTTAATGCTTTTCAATACATGTTCTAATGTAGCTGCCAAACATGTTGCTCTTCTGAAGTCCCCCTGGGGCTGGGCAGAGCCAGCAGAGCCTGCCCCCACTTCCCCAGCCCCTGCCCCACCCCGCCTCACACCTTCCCCACTCTCAGGCTGTTCTTGAAACACCATGAGGCTTCTGCGTGTAGTCCCTGCCCCAAACTTAGCAAGCACAGGGGCCTCCACAGCCCAGGTGGCCCCAGAAAATGTTCCAGAGCCCAGCTTGGTACATAGTGAGATGCTGCTGGGGTTGGCCTGAGGTGGGGGCCACTTCCTCCACCCCAGTGGGTATGTCTGAGGTCAGCCATGGGGATATCTGGGTTGAGATTCAGGTTTTGGTGAATATGGGGCAGGCGTCCAGATGTGTTTGTGTCACCTGCTGCAACGCTGTAGCCAATGAAGATTCCAGCGGGATGGCCTGACCAGCGGGGCCGGCACTTTGGAGCCGTGGGTGCAGCCAGGTACCCCGTGCAGGGCCTGGGAGGCTCTCCAGGCCACAGTCCTCAGAGCGTGTTGGGTCCCATGTTGTGTGTGGGTTCCATGCCCTCCACACAGCAGGAGAGGGCTTCCCTGACCACACCTGCCCCCTCAGTCCTGCTTCTCCCCAGTAAGCCTGCACTGTGGGGTCTCCATAGGAGGAGCTGGGGAAGCTGGGGCCCTCCCAGGGGTCCTGATCGACCCTGGGGGCTCTTGGCCTGGTTTCGTAAGATGGAGCACTGCAAAAGGCCATGCTCAGAAAGCAAACGCAGGGCAGGGTGGGCCTCGAGCCGGGGCTGGAGGGGTCTCCACCCTTGCTGGCCTGAGAGATGGCCCACATTTCTTACTTGTGACCGCCCTGCTCTTCCTGGCCGCCCCCCCCAGGTGGCTGAACAGGGTGATTTTGTTGTGGTGAGGGGCCAGGATGTGGCCTGGTGTGCAGCCTCAGCTCCCTGGGTTCAGGCCTCAGAGGTAGCCTGTGTGCAGGAGGCAGAGCCCCAGCCCCTCCCAGCCAGAGCCCCTCCACACCAGGGACTCCTCCTTCACCTGGGACCAGGAGCCTGGGGCACACCCCAGGGTGGGGGAGAGGGTAGGAAGGTCTCCCATTGAATCCTGGCTTCAGGCTCTGCCCCGAGAAGTGTCTGCGGTGAGGGTGTGAGCCCCGGGCTGATGGCCTCTGACCCCGGCAACAGGTGGGACCCTGACTGACTCGTTCAGCTGCCCCCAAGCTGGGCTGCAGAGCATCTGTTTTTCTGCTCTCCAGTTTCTTTTCTTTTTTTTTTTTTTTTTTTTTGAGATGGAGTCTTGCTCTGTTGCCCAGGCTGGAGTGCAGTGGCATGATCTCAGCTCACTGCAGCCTCCGTCTCCCAGGTTCAAGCAGTTCTCCTGCCTCAGCCTCCCGAGTAGCTGGGATTACAGGCGTGTGCCACCACACCTGGCTATTTTTTTTGTATTTTTAGTAGAGATGGGGTTTTGCCATGTTGGCCAGGCTGGTCTTGAACTCCTGACCTCAAGTGATCCACCCGCCTCGGCCTCCCAAAGTGCTGGGATTACAGGCGTGAGTCACCGCGTCCTGCCTGCTCTTCCTGTTTCTTTCCCAAGGGTCACACTCAGTAGGGAGATGAAGGTGGAAACATCCTTGCTGTGGCTTTCTGGCCTCAGAGCAGGTTTTAGAGGAAGGGGCCACAGGCTGCCTAGTGCATCCTGGCTGTGGGCAGCCCCTTTCCTGGAGCCCTCCTGCCTACCCCGTACCTCCCATCTGGCTGCACAGCTCCATCCTTAGCCACGCAAGGGGAGAACATGGGCAGAGTCTCCATCCAGCAGCTGGGGGTTCTGGTGGCACTCCCTGTGCCCCTGCTGCTGCTGGGCTGTGGGTCTGCCCTGCACCCAGGAGCCCCACGGTCCATCCCCCACACCATGCCCAGCACCAGGGAGGTTGGGCAGACAAGACCTGGGCCATGCCAGCCCTCTGTGCCTCGGTTTTCCCACTGGTTACACAGGATGGTCGCATTTTCCCTGCCTACCTCACAGAGCTGTTCTGAGGGTGCATGGAGGAGCACTCTGTCCCACCAAGGACAACTAGAAACCAAAGCCATCTGACAGCCAGTGCGGTAAGGGCGGGGGATGTGTGTGTGAGGTGTGCACACCCCCCGAGAACCTGGCCCTGGACTGGCCTCACAGGACAGGAGGCAGCCCCTTGTAGAGCTAGGGCTCAGCCCCATCAGTCTCAAAGGTTAAGCCACCAGTCACCACCGAGGCACCCCTCAGGCCTGGTGGCCACTGTCCACTATTACGTAGACAGACCCCACCCTCACCCAGGCCAGCTGTGGGCCAGTCCCGCCCTGCAATCTGGTCTGCTGCCTTCCTCTTCCATGTTGGTCCCCTTGGCCACTGTCTCTGGGCATGCAAGCCAGTGTCCTGGTTCAGTGCCTCGGCCAGAGCTGGGGCAGGAGAGGGGCCTCTGGGTGAGAGCTGGGGGTGTCTCTGCAGGGTACTGGCAGCCTTGCCACACTGTCCTCATTCCCAGATGGAAAGACCTGAGTGCCTCTCGCCTTCCTCCGGGAATGAATTCCTCATGAAAATGACCAGGCCACTTCTTCCGAGGGCCAGGCCGCCCCCTCCCCGAGACCTGTCCTGCCGTCCGCGGGTGTGTGGCCTGTAGGGGACTGAGAGCTGGGCTTGCTGGGCACCTCTGGAATCTGACCCTGTGGGCCAAAGAAGCACCACTGTAGTTTCTGCAGACCCCCATGCGGTTCATTGTGCATTGTTTGGTTTCTAGGATGTATGTGTTGCTAGTTTTTTTTAATGAAACCCTGGATTAATGTAAATAGCTTTTTGGGGAACGGATTCTAATGTCACGTATGTGACCGTGTGGACTATTTCAAGGTGCTGATGCAACACTAATAAACCTGGAGGGGCCGGCCCCCGCCTGCAGTGTGATTCTCTCGGCCGTCCACCCCTTGGGAGCACGCGGCGGAGCAGCGCCTCCCTCCCGCCCGCGCGCCCCGTCCTGGGTCGCCCCGCCCCAGCCCTGCGGCCCCGCGCGCGCGGAGGTGGCCCGGGGCTCAGCGGCATCGCGCCGCTTGAAGGGCGCAGGGCCGAAAGGGGCTCTGGCCGACAAACCCCAAGTTCAGGTCTGTGCTTCGGGAGACCCCGGAGGCCGACGCCCGGAAGGGCCCGTGGGGCGGTAGCGGCCATAGACCCGGATATGCGCCGGGGACCCCCAGACCGCGCCCATCCCCCACCCGCCGCAACGGAGCCCAGAACGCAGGCGCGGCGCAGACCGGAAGCGGAACCGGTGGGGGCGGGGCTTGCCGTAGCGGACGTTCTGGAGCGAGGCGCCGGCCCCTTGGGCCCCCTCAAGCCGCGGTGTACTCCAGCGGCCCCCTGTGGCCTCTCCATCCGCGGCGGGTCTGTCCCTCCTTCTGTCTCCGGGTGCCCACGTACCCCCCACCTCCGACCGCCGTTCCCGTGTACCCCGCCCCCCCGCCGAACCCCAGAGTGCCCACGGCCTCCAGCGTGTGTCCTGAGCCTTCTTCCCCCGTCCCTCCGCGGACCCCGGCCGCGCAGACCCCGCCTCCCCACCGGAGAGGGCGGGCACGTAAGGGCTCCGGGCTGGGCCTGGGGCGAGGCCTGGGCCGCGTGGAGGGGAGGTCTCAGGGTCGGAAGCGGGGCTGTGGCAAGAGCTCTGGGCCTTTCCTTCGCCCCGGGCGTAGCAAGGCCGGGCCCTGAGAGCGTGCCCGCAGTGCTGGCTGAGGGCTGATGCCCCTGGAACGTTTGAGAAGGCTGGCAGAGGCGTGGAGTCCGTGCAGCAGGCTGCCGAAGGCTTTCCAGGCTCCCGGGGTGGGGTCGGCAGGGGCAGAGAGGACAGTTCGGGAGGCTGGTGTGGAGAAGAGCTGCGGCGGGAGCTGGGGGATCCACTCCACCCAGAGGGGTCAGTGATGCCTGACCTTTGGCTGGAAGGTGACCCTAGCAGACCGCGATACTGCCACCATCTGCCCCCAGGGACTCAGGTATTGGTGGGCACGTGGGTGGCCTTGTGGGCCCCGCCCCACCTCCCCCTGCTCCTACCCCCAGATCTCAGAGGTGTGGACAAGCAGCCTACTAGGGCTAGAGATGGACAGCAGGAAACTGTCCCCCCGGGGGAAGAAGCTGGAGTCGCACCTCTCCCAAGAGCACAGGCGGCCCCCACTGGGCCTGATAGCAGCCTGGGGCCAGCCCAGTATCCAGAGCAGCGTTCAGCAGGGACTGCAGACTCAGGACTGGGTAAGCGGAAGGAAACCCTGGCCGAGGCTACTCTCCTGTCCCCAGCCCGCCTGAGGCCGCTGTCTCTGAAAACTCCAGGCTGGTCGTGATGAGCAGCCTCAGGGGAGGGCTGAGTGGGGACTGATGAGAAACAGATGGCTGGACTCAGGAGGCTCTCTTCCCCATGGCCCTGGACGAGCACCAAGGTGGACCTGCACCCTTCTTGCTTCCAGAACCGTGGGCCGCTGGGCTCTGTAGAGAGGTCTTCCAAGGCCAGGAAGGAGGCAAGGCAACACACTTCCCTTAGCTCTCCCCAGTGCCTCCCACCCCAGGCTGAAGGTGGCAAGAAGCGGGAGGGAAAGCAAGGTCCCCAGGGGGGGTGGTGTCCTCCCAACCAGGTGGGGCAGCTGTCAGGAGAAGGATTTGTCACTGAAAGTTGACCAAAACAAAATAGTGGGAGAGGCTCTGCTGTGATTCCCCAAACTGGAAGCATCTCCTGGTCTCTCTACTGCTGGACAGTGAGCTACAGGCTTGTGTCAGGCCCAGTAGTGAGAATGGTGGGATATAGCTGTTCAGCCTTAGGACGTTCTCTGAGGGCAGAGGAAGCCAGAACCCCACTCGTGTGGTTCCACTTTTGGAAGGTTCAAAGCCAGGCTGAGAGATGGCTCTAGGCTGTGGCGAGATGGGTGCAGGGGCTCCTGGGCACTGGCAATGCTTTGGCAGCTGGCGCTGGTCATGCGGCCAGTTCAGTGTGGGGAGCTCATTGAGCCATGCACACAGGCGTGTCTGCGTGTGTTCCCAGGGCTGCCCGCTGAGGCCCCTTTGTACCCTCTCAGTCATGTCCTTCAGGCCCAAATGCTTTCAAAACCCCTATGATGGTGTCAGGTGCTGGGGAGTGGGGTGACCAAACCAGCAGATGCAGTGGCTTTTGGGAGGCGAACATCTCATGACAGGCAATCCGGACTATAAATACACATAGGTCACCTGTCTAGTGAGGGCCGCTCAGGAGGAGGGCCAGGGGGTGTGAGGCTTCTGTCCTGCACAGGGCTGGGGACAGGGCACTATGTCTGAAGGGGTAGGGATGTGGATGCAGGAGGAGTGTGTATTGGACCCATATCCAGCAAGGACACAGGGACCCAGTGGCTCTTGGGCAGGGGCAGCCAGGCTGTATTTGTAGTTCCAAGAGATGGACTGGTGGCTATGGGTAATGGTGGTTGAGGACAAGGCTGGGAGGCAGAAGAGTGGGCTGAAGGCCTCCAAGGGCAGGCGAGCAGTGGGAGAATTAGGTTGTTGGCCAAGGGTGGAAAGAGGTATGGGTGCATCTCTGCTGACGGGCAGGTTTTTAGTTTGGGGACAGGGAATCTTCCCTAAAAAATGTGGGTGCCCAGATGACTTTATAGGTGGGCACTCCCAAACAAGAAATTAGTCATCCTCATTGATGAAGCTTCACCTGCCCAGAGCCACTTCTGATATGGACCTGGTATCACCCAATACCAGTGCCAGAAGAGAACAGAGGGAGAAAAGGAAAAAGAGAAAATGATGTGCCAGTCTACCTGTGGGCATAGATTGAAAAATCCTGAGTAAGTACTAGACCAAATCCAGGAGCACCTGAAATGCAGAATTTCATAGCCGTAAGGATGGGTCCTGCACACTTCCGCCTGCCAGGAGAGCAGGCACATGTCTCTTCACAGCTCTGTCCCAGTGCTTAGGACAGTGTCTGGCACATAGTAGGTGCTCAATGAATGTATATGGAATAAATGAAGTTGTATGTAAATAAAAGAAGATTGTAACCCAAGGACAAAGGAATTTTGAAATCTGTAAATAAAGTTCAGTAACAACAGGTGGAAAATCACATGATTATCTCAATAGATGTTGAAAAGTAATACTAATAAATTCCAGTATCTTTCCTTAAGAACAAAAGAAGTCGCAGCCATAAAAAAGGATGAGTTCATGTCCTTTGTAGGGACATGGATGAAGCTGGAAACCATCATTCTCAGCAAACTATCGCAAGGACAAAAAACCAGATGCTGCATGTTCTCACTCATAGGTGGGAATTGAACAATGACAACACTTGGACACAGGAAGGGGAACATCACACACCGGGGACTCTTGTGGGGTGGGGGGAGGGGGGAGGGATAGCATTAGGAGATACACCTAATGCTAAATGACGAGTTAATGGGTGCAGCACACCAACATGGCACATGGATACATATGTAACAAACCTGCATGTTGTGCACATGTACCCTAGAACTTAAAAGTATAATTTAAAAAAAACCGAAGTATAGAAACCTGTAGGTTCTGGATAAGATGGGAAGAGATGGACATCTCCATAGCCTGACGGAGGGGAGCTCTCAAGAGCTTGCAGTGGCCACCAATGGAAGTATTTCAGATGCAAGCAGATGGATGCATGGTACCACTATGACGTCAGAAAAATCGCCAGGTGCGGTGGCTCATGCCTGTAATCCCAACAATTCAGGAGGCCGAGGCAGGCGGATCACCTGAGGTCGAGAGTTGGAGACCATCCTGGCAAATGGGATGAAACCCCGTCTCTATTAAAAATACAAAAACTAGCTGGGCATGGTGGTGGGTGCCTATAATCCCAGCTACTTGGGAGGCTGAGGCAGGAGAATTGCTTGAACCTGGGAGTTGGAGGATGCAGTGAGCCGAGATTCCGCCACCACACTCCAGCCTGGGCGACAGAGGGAGACTGTCTCAAAAAAGTAAATAAACAGTATTCTGGAAACCGAAGCCCTTATAGTAAATCAAGAAAATGAGATGTGTAAATATCTGAAAAGATGACAATCACTATTTGCATCTAATATGTTACCTACTTGGAAAATCCAATTTAAGAAACATGAGTACAGATAAAAGAGGGAGTTTGGATATGTGATCACCATTCACAACTTTTCAACACAGTAAAAAGCAGAAAATGGAATGGAAGCAAAGGATACTATTCAACTTAGCAACAGGAACTATGAAGTTCTTAGAAATAAACCTGTTATTGGCCGGGTGTGGTGGCTCACGCCTGTAATCCCAGCACTTTGGGAGGCTGGGGCGGGCAGATCACAAGGTCTGGAGATCAAGACCATCCTGGCTAACACGGTGAAACCCCGTCTCTACTAAAAAATACAAAAAAATTAGCCGGGCGTGGTGGCGGGCGCCTGTAGTCCCAGCTACTCGGGAGGCTGAGGCAGGAGAATGGCGTGAACCCGGGAGGCGGAGCTTGCAGTGAGACGAGATTGCGCTACTGCACTCCAGCCTGGGCGACAGAGCGAGACTCCGTCTCAAAAAAAAAAAAAAAAAAAGAGAAACCTGTTGTTCAATTCCTTCATGAAGAACACTTTACAATGTTACTGAATAGCATGTAGAGCTCCTGATGGAGATGGTTATCATATTGGATGGGCAGATTTCATATGTGTGTTTTTGAGACAGGGTCTTGCTCTGTCACCAGGCTGGAGTACAGTGGTATGATCACAGTGTTACTGGAAAAGGGATCTCCATCTGGACCCCAAGAGAGGGTTTTTGGATCTCATGCAGGAAGGAGTTTGAGGCGAGCTGCAGAGTGCAGTGAGAAGAGATCATTTATTGAAAGCCGCTCCACTGCAGAGCAGGGCATCCTCAACAAGCAAGCAGAGGAACAGACCTACTTTGTTTTTAGTTTTTCTTATATCGAGGTCTTATCTATGTAAAGACCAAGCTGTGCCTACGTGTGGGTGGGCTGACAGCATAACAATTTATTATTCTATTGATTAAAAGGAAACTATTTTACATTTTAGTGTGCAAGTACATTAAAGCATCACTATAATTATCTTGAAAGCATATATTATTGTGGGTGTTGGGACATCTGAACTTCCTTTTCTATGAGTTTGTCCTTGTAGGCATTACCAAGCTGCTTCCTTAGCTGTAAACATCTTAGGTCCGTGGTTGTGACCTGTAAGGAATGTGCTCTATTAGTCTCAAGGTGGAGTTGAACATAAAATGATGTTATCCTGGCTCTCCTAGACTCCTGCTTCTCTAATCACAGCTCACTACAGCCTGGACCTCCTGGACTCCAGCTATCCTCCCACCTCAGCCTCCCAAGTAGCTGGGACCACAGTGGCATGCCACCATGCCTAGCTAATTTTAAAAAAATTTTTGCAGAGATGGGGTCTTACTGTGTTGCCTGGTGTGGTCTTGAACTGGGCTCATGTGATCCTCCAGCTTTGGGGTCCCAAAGTGTTAGGATTATAGGCATGAGCCATTGCGCCCAGCCAGATTTAACGTTTTAAACATGCCAAGCTTCCCAAAAACAATTCAGTGTTTTTTAAAAAAACAGACTTCATGAATCTTGAAAATTTCATTTTAAATGTACATAGTGATTCTGGAAATGTATTACTAGTTTACTTTTTAAAAAAAATTACAGACAGGGTCTCACTATGTTACCTAGGCTGGTCTCTAACTCCTGGCCTTCCTAAGAGCTGGGATCACAGGCATGAGCCACCATACCCAGCCTTTGGCAATGTATTGGTTATCCATTGCTGCATGACAAATTTCCCCAGAGCTTAGCAACTTAAAACAGTAAGTATTTTTATCTTAGTTTCCGTAGGTCAGAAATTTGGGAGCTGCTTAGCTGGTGGCTTTGGTTTGAGATCTCTCAGGAGCTTATAGTTGAGATAGCAGTCAACACTTCAGTCATCTCAAAGCTTGAGGAAGGCTGGAGACTGCTTCCACGGCAGCTCACTCACATGACTGGCGAGTCCATGATAGGGGCTGGCAGGAGGCTCAGCTCCTTACCACGTGGATCTCCCCATAGGACAGCTTCAGTATCCTCAGTATGGGGGCTGGCTTCCCCCAGAGTGAGTGAGTGGAGAGAGTGAGCTGAAAGCTGCAATGACTTCCATGACTTAACCTTGGAAGTCACACTCCTCTCTTTCTACAGTATCCGTTTTGGATACACTGGTCATCCTATTTAGTGTGAGAGGGGACGACACAGGGGCATGGATACCAGGAGGTGAGGATCATTGGATGCCATCTTGGAGGACAGCTCTCACAGGCAGTCATTTAGTCTATACGCTTTAAGAAATTATGTACTGAGAAGCATAATAGTGAAATTGTAGAATGCCAGCGACAAAAACCTCAGAAGCAATTTGAGTGGGAAGACAGAACCTTCAAAGCAGCCACGGGAGCTCGTCACAGTAGAGCAGTAGCATGCCTGTGCTCAGGGGAAGCCATGCTCAGCCTGGAATAGCAGGCCCAGCAAAAATGGATTATACAAAGGGCTAAGTAAAGTTTTTAAATGATAAAAAAGAGAATTTGCCCCCAGCACACTCTCACCTCAGTTCTGAAGAAATGATCTCAAAGCATCATGAAAGTGATGAAAGGTCTGAAATGGATAAAGCATGAGAGGAAGTAGGAAGTGTCTGAGTAAACTGAAACTGACAGTCACTGGATGTCACTCATGCACAGAAAAGCAAGGATACAATCAATATATGTACCTGCAATGGCATAAATGTCAAGATGGTGCCTGTGAGTGGAACTAAAGTGTTCTCAGTTCCTCTGAGAAGAGGAGGGGGGTGGGCCATGGTGGCTCACACCTGTAATCCCAGCACTTTGGGAGGCCTAGGTGGGAGGATTGCTTGAGCTCAGCCTGGCAACATGGCAAAACCCCATCTCTATAAAAAAATCACAAAAAGTTAGCCAGGCATGGTGGCATGTACCTGTAGTGCCAGCTACGTGGAGGCTGAGGCAGGAGGATCACTTGTGTCTGTGAGGCGGAAACTGCAGTGAGCTGAGATTGCACCACCACACTCCAGCCTGGGCAACAGAGCCAGACCTTGACTCAAAAAAAAAAAAAGATCGAGTTGCTTGTCATCTTTGGAGTTAGATGAGTTTGCCTGCCCTCACATATTACAGCAGAAGAACAGAAGGAGATACGATGGCAGATAGAATCGCCGGTACGTCATTTAATTCAGTCAATGAAAACGGACTAAGTGTTCCAGTTAAAAGACAGACATTGTCAGAGTGGGTTGAAAACAACCAAATTCAGCGGTAGGGTTGTGAACGTGTGCAGCGGTAAGCACAGGAATATTCCAACCGCAGGGTGAAGATGGACACCAAACGGCCGTGCATCAGTTCACATTGCATTTTTCTGTCAAACAGCAAACTTACCTCGGATTTGGGAATGTGGTTGTGTGGACGCCTGTTGCGTGCAGCCGTGAGCGTGAGTCTCATAGACCTGTTCCTGAGTGAAAGAGGCAAAAAGGTGACAAAATTATTCATGCCATGTGGCTTTGTTCAGAGTTCAAAAGCATGCAGAAGTAAACAAGATATTGCCAATATTCATTAAAGTATAATTTGAAAAAATAAAGATGTTTTAAAATGTTTACTTGGAAAAGGAACCATACAACAATTTTGGAAAATAAGAGCAAGGCCTGGCTTGTCCGCACCAGCTCCAACAACTAAAACTGTGTGGCCCTGTGGCAGAAGGTGGCAAAGACACCACTGCCTGGACAAGTAACCCGGAAACCAACCTGTGCATAAATGTGGGGATTTAATTTATGTTGAGCATGGCATTTCAGAGTAGTGAGAAACAGACCTTTCAATAAGTGGTATTGGGGTGATTGGCTGTATAGTTAGAAGACGGTAGAGTGCGGGTCCGTCTCTCAAAAAAATGCACACACAAAAAACATTAAACCCAAACCATGTGAGCACTGAGAGAGTATATGAGAGAATATTTGGGATCTGGAAGTGATAAGTGCCTTTCGTAGGCCAAACACAAAATCCTTGAAGGAAAAGCCTGACAAATCTAACTACAGAGTTTTTAAACATTTCTGTGCAATCAAAGACACAAAAATGTTAAACGACAGCCTGGAAGAAAATACTTGTAATATTTATAACATTCAAATGTTTACCAACCAGAATCTATGAAGAGATGCTTGAAAGCAATGAGGAAACTATTTTTAAAACTGGATAGAAAAGTGGGCCAGGCACAGTGGTTCACTGCTGTAAATCCCAGCACTTCAGGAGGCCAAGGCAGGAGGATCACTTAAGGCCAGGAGTTCAAGACCAGTCTGGACAGCATAGTGAAACCCTATCTCTGCAAAAAATAAAAATTAGCCCGGGTGGCGTGCCACTGTAGGCTCCCAGCTGCTCGGGAGGCAGAACAAGACCCTGTATCTTTAAAAAAAAGGAGGAAAAAAATGAATTAAGTCTACGTACTTGCAGTTCCTAAAAAAAAAAAAAAGGAACTAAATGAAACAGTGAAAAAGTTGGCAAAAATTATAAAGGTGGATCTATGTGGAGTTGGTGAGGATGTAAGGAAAGAGTAAGTCTGTTTTATTGGTTTTTCAAAGAGCCCATTGTGATCATTATTCACCATTTTTAAATTTTAATTTAGTCATTAATCTTTCCTAATTTCATCTTTAAGCTTTCAGACCATTTCTTTTGCTGTTCTTTTTGTATCTTTTCAAATAATTTGCACGGTCATGGTTTGGGGACCTTTTTCTAAAGATGTATTTAAAGCTCCAGCTTCTCGCAGCACAGCTTTGACCATACCTCACGTTTTGGTGTGTCCTGATTTCATCGTTCGTTTCTCAGCCACCATGTCTGGCTAATTTCTTAATTTTTTTTTTTTTTTTTTGAGACAGTCTCACTCTGTCACCCAGGCTGGAGTGCAGTGGCGTGATCTTGGCTCACTGCAGCCTCCACCTCTTGGGTTCAAGCAATTCTCCTGTCTCAGCCTCCTGAGTAGCTGGGATTACAGGTGCACACCACCATGCCTGGCTAATCTTTTATATTTTAGTAGGCATGGGGTTTCATCATGTTGCTCAGGCTGGTCTCGAACTCCTGAGCTCAGGCCATTCACCCACCTTGGCTTCCCAAAGTGCTGGGATTACAGGCATGAGCCACCATGCCCGGCCAGTTTCTTAAATTTTTTTAGAGATGGGATCTCACTTTGTTGTCTAGGCTAGAGTGCAGCGTGTGGCACCATGACGGCTCACTGCAGCCTTGAACTCCTAGCCTCAAGTGATCCTCCCATCTCAGCCTCCCGAATAGCTGGGACTGTAGGTACACGTCACCATGCCCAGCTAATTATTTTTTGTAGAGATGAGGTCTCCCTATGTTGCCCAGGCTGGTCTCGAACTTCTCTGCTGAGGTCAAGCCATCCTGCCTAGGCCTCCCAAAGTGTTGGGATTACAGACGAGAGCCACTGCACTCTGCCATTGTTTCTTTCTAAATAAATTGGTATTTCAGTCTTTATTTTCTTTTTCACTCAGGACTTAATTAGAAGGGTGTTTTGGAATGTCCATATCAACAGGAGTGTTTTGTTATCCTTTTGCTATTAATTTCTAATTGTGTCACTTTGTAGTTGCAGAACCCTGTGTTATGGGGGTCTGTCTGCATGGGGGTCCATCTGTGTTATGGGGGTCTGTCTGCATGGGGGTCCATCTGTGTTATGGGGGTCTGTCTGCATGGGGGTCTGTCTGTGTTATGGGGCTCTATCTGCATTGGGGTCTATTTTGTTTGTGGCCAATTCATGTGCATGTTGAGCTTGTTTGGGAAGAACATGGATTCTCTATGAGTTAAAGAGTTCTGTGCATGTTCTCCTGTGTCTGTTGGATTACTCATTACTTAAATCTTATTTTTTTTAAATTTTAAATTACTTTTGTTAAAACATATATATTTAGAACAGCAGTCCCCAAAGCCACTCTCAGCCCTTGCAGACGTCCCACCGCATGCTGAGGTGAGAAGTGCACTTTTGCCGGTGCGCTGCCTCCTTTTCTTTCTTTCTTTCTTCCTTTTTTTTTTTTTTGAAACGGAGTCTCACTCTATCACCAGGCTGGAGTGCAGTGGCGTGATCTTGGCTCACTGCAACCTCCGCCTCCGGGGTTCAAGTGGTTCTCCTGCCTCAGCCTCCCAAGTAGCTGGGACTACAGGCACCCACCACCACACCCAGCTAATTTTTGTGTTTTGTTTGTTTGTTTTTTGTTTTTGAGACAGAGTCTCGCTCCATCACCCAGACTGGAGTGCAATGGCATGATCTTGGCTCACTGCAACCTCTGCCTCCTGGGTTCAAGCAATTCTCCTGCCTTAGCTTCCCAAGTAGTTGGGATTACAGGTGCGTGCCACCATGCTGGGCTAATTTTTGTATTTTTAGTAGAAACAGGGTTTCGCCATGCTGACCAGGCTGGTCTCAAACTCCTGACCTCTGGTGATCTGCCCGCCTCGGCCTCCCAAAATGCTGGGATTACAGGCGTGAGCCACCGTGCCCGGCCGCACTGCCTCCTTTTCATTCCTCTGTCTTGCATTCTGTCCATGCCCCACCGCAGAGACGAAGGGTGTAGCGCCCCTTCCCCATCCTCCCACCAGCATTCTGTCTACTCAGCAGAAACCCAATTCCACTGTTAGCTTTACAGTGACCATGTGGCATCGTGACCGTGGGATGGCCGTGTTGCCTTTGTGCTGTTTTCCCTGGAGGAAATCATTGTGTTCCCCCCTCCTCCCCCTCCCCCTCCTCCTGCTCCTCCTCCTCCTCCTCCCTCTTCTACGAACTGATTATTCTTTCCTAAACCTTCCAACAAATCTAGGACTCTCCTCTCACAGACCCCTGTACATTGGGTCGTCTGGAGCTGTGTTTTCTCCTTGGCAGTGGCCTTCCTGGAGCCCTGGACTGCCAGCAACCAGCCCAGCTGGCAGGGCCACTGAGTAGCCTTCCCCACTCCCTCTCCCCTCCCCCTACAATCCGCCTGCCTCCTGTCTACAGGACCCCTTGTTTCCTGGGCCCCAGCTTGTTCTCCTTGGTTTATCCTTTGTTTTGGTGGAGTACATCTAGCAGCTTCCTCCAAAAGGGTTCAGAGGATGTGAAAGTTTTTGAGACTCTAAAGATATGAAAATATCTTTATTCTGCCTGTATGCTTGAATGACACCTTGGTTGGGTGAGATACTAGGTGGGAAATAATTTTCTTTCAGGATTTTAAGGCTTTGTCCATCACCTTCTAGCTTGCAGCGCTGCTGTGTGGTGGTGCCCTAGACTATTAAGACTTCTTCTTCTTCTTTTTTTTTTTTTTTTTGAGACAGAGTCTTGCACTGTCACCCAGGCTGGAGTGCAGTGGTGCAATCCTAGCTCACTGTGGCCTTGAACTCCTGGGGAGTTCAAGGGGATGGAGCGATCCTCCCTCCTCAGCCTCCTGAAGTGCTTGGATTATAGCTACTGTGCCCAGCCAGGATTTTCTTACATTTTCTGTTTCTTTCTCCCTTCCTTTCTTTCTTTCATTCATTCTTTCTTTCGTTCTTTTTCTCTCTTTCTCCTTCCTTCCTTCTTTTTCTTTCTCTCTCTCTTTTTTTTTTTTCCAGAGTCTTACTCTGTCACCCAGGCTGGAGTGCAGTGGCAAAATCACAGTTCACTGCAGCCTCAGCCTCCTGGGCTCAAGCAATCTCTGCCTCAGCCTCCCCAGTAGCAAGGACTACAGGCATGTGCCACTGAACTTGGCTAATTTTTTAATTTTTCTTTTGTAGAGATGGGGTCTCACAGGCTGGTTTAGAATTCCTGGCCTCAAGCGATCCTCCTGCCTTGGGCTCCCAAACTGCTGGGATTGCAGATGTGAACCATGGCGCCTAGCCTCCTTACCTTTTTTGTTTGTTTGTTTGAGACGGAGTTTTGCTCTTGTTGCCCAGGCTGAAGTACAATGGTGTGATCTCGGCTCAGTGCAACCTCCACCTCCCGGATTCAAGCGATTCTCCTGCCTCAGCCTCTTGAGTAGCTGGGATTACAGGCATGTGCCACCACGCCTGGCTAATTTTGTATTTTTAGTAGAGATGGGGTTTTTCCACGTTGGTCAGGCTAGTCTCGAACTCCTGACCTCAGGTGATCTACTCGCCTCGGCCTCCCAAAATGCTGGGATTACAGGCATGAGCCACCACACCCGGCCAGCCTTTTTACTTTTTAAGGCTTAATAATATTCCATTTTCTGGATCTGCCACATTTTCTTTATCCATTGATCCATTGTGGAAACCTGGATTCCTTCCACATTTTCGCTATTGTGAATAATGACCACTGCTGTGTTGGAGTGCGCACATCTGTTTGCCTTCCTGCCTTCAACTCTTTTGGGTACATACCCCAAAGCGGAATTGCTGGATCCCATGCAATTCTGATTTTAATGTTTTGAGGAATGAGAATTCACTTCGGGTTTGCATGAATCCCACTCTTAGCATGGCACTGCCTTCTCTCCCCTCTCCCCTTCCCCCTGGTGAGGGAGGTGGAGGATGGTGAACCTCAGGCTGAGCAGAGTCTGGAGGAACCGTCTCCTGCAGCCCACGTGGGAAGTTCCTTCTTGGGGGATAGAGGTCGTGCTGGGGACCTCACCTGCTTCTGGCCTTTCCCTGTGGCCCTCCCACAGCTTCTCCAGCTGGTGGTCCCTGCCCTCCAGTCTCCTGTACCCTGCCAGGGGCCCTCCTCCACTGGCGCTGGTCTTTTGTCTATGGATTCATGATCTTTATTTTCTCCCGAACTCTCTTTATGATCATTTCAGAGGGGTCTGGGGAGAAGGGCAGTCTGGAGCTGGCCTTAGTCCTGCCTTTCCTGAGGCACGCATCAGTGCTCGAGCTCCGGGGGTTCTCCTGCCGGTCAAGCCGGGGGCCGGCCGTGAGGACTAAGCGGTCCACAGGCAGCCCTGCTGTACATGAAGCGGGGCAGGTACTGGGTTGGGCGGTGTCCTGGCACAGATGACTGTGCAAAGCCACAGAGGGCCACACTGCCTGAGGCCCCGCGCCGGGAGCTGGCGCTGGAGCAGCGGGAGGCTGAGCAGACGGCGCTTTAGAAAGCGCCCGGGGGCGAGCTCTGAGGGTCGGCGGGTGCTGGGTGGGAGCGGCGAAGGGGAGCTGGCGCCGAGGCCCTCGCCGACCCGCTGCCCTGTCCCCCAGGTGTGCGAGCCGCCGGAACGCAGGCGCCCGGGCCGCCGCTGGAGCGTCAGCATCGACGAGCGCCGGCGGCTGGCCACGCTGGGCGGCCGGGAGAGGCCGGGCGCCGCCGGGACCCAGCTGCACTGCAGGGTGCGCGGGGGGCGGGTCCTCCCCGCCCCGTCCCCGCCCCGCCCCGCCCCTCCGCCTCGCCTCCCTCGACTCAGTCCCACTGGGCCCTTTACCCCGGCGCTCCCGGGCCCCGCCGTTGTCCCCTTCCCGCCCCTCGAGGCTCCCTGACCACCCTCGCCCGCAGGACGTCGTGCAGATGGTAGCCCAGCTGGTGTCGGAGGACGTGGACAAGGACGTGCTCCTTCCCCACCCGCTGAGGTCCACCGAGTCCACCAACGCCTTCCAGGCCTTCCTGGCGCGCAGTGCGCCTTTCTGGCATAATGCGACTTTCGAGGCCTCGAGGTCACCCCCTTCCTAAGAGCCCCATTCAGCCCATTGTCTGTCTTCCAGTGCCTTTCCTTGGGGGCCCACGGTGGGGGCAGCCTCTGCGCCTTCTTTGTGCCCCACCAGGGGGTCACCACCCACCCATGTTAGGAAAACAGGCCAGGCAGGACCTGGCTCCGGACAGCCTGCAGCTGCTGAGGCCTTGGAGACCGGGCTAGGGGCTATGGGAGGCCATCTAGGGGAGGGGAACACTGCCCCGGGTCAGTCTGAGAGGGCCCTGGCAAGGCCTGGGTAGCAGGAGCTTGCCCTCGGGGCCGCTGGGAGGAGGCCTGGGGTACCTGGGCCTGCCTGAGGTGCACTGGTGTCCTGGGAAGCCCCAGTGGCAGGCGCTGCCTGGAGACTCAGCTCCTTGGCTGGCCTGGTCTGGGGAACTGGGTATCTGCCTGCACCAGGCTGTGAGATGGGCCAGGCAGAGTTCTCCAGGGGGCGGGGTCTCACATTGGGTCCTGCCTCTGAAGACCCAGAAGGGCACACGGGACCCCAGGGGTGCTGTGGTGGGGAGCAGCAAGCCCAGGGACCCAATGCAGTGCCCAGCACAGAGGGAGGCTGTCTGGAGGCAGAGATGCCTCCTGGCCTCTGGACAGCGATGCTGGTGGTGGACGAGGGCCAAGAGGGTATCCTGCGCAGGGGGTCTGAGCAACTGTGAGGAGCTGGCTGCCGCAGGGGCCTGTGGGACATGGTCCACTGGGTGACTGCCTCGTTTCCAGGCTGCAGGGCCCTCGGAAGGGTGCTGAGCCGGGGTAACGTGTCCCAGCTGCATTTTGGGGACACTAAGTTGCAGGGGGACTGGATTGGGAGGCGGGGCAGGAGAGCTGTGAGCATGGGTTCCCAGCCCGGGGTGGGTGGGGGTGGGGAAAGGGCCCTGAACTCTGTGACTGACTGTTAGGGGCCTGACTGGGCTTCTGTGGAGGTGGCTAGGTGGAGGAGGCTTTGGGGCAAGCGGAGGTGATCACTCCTGGGCTCCAGGTGAGGGCAGGAGCTGGACCTGTGCGGTGGCCTGGACCACCAGATACACTACATGCTGGCTGTGCTGCCCACCTGGCCTGTAACCCTCCCCTTCCCGCTGCTGAGAAGCCACCTGACTGCACTGCCAGCCACCTGCTGCCCTGACACAGGATCCCTGGCCCGAGTTGAATCCTCTGCACCTGCCTGTCTCCCCTTCTTACTGTAAGACTCAGTGAAGTTCCCTCCTCCTTCAGGAAGCCTTCCAAGATTACACAGCCAGGTGCTCCCCTTCTCTCCCAAGTCCTCTGAATGTCATTTGGTGCACCCTAGGGATCCTCTGCATTTCTCAGGAGCCCTAGGGTAGGTGGATGGAGGGCAGATCCTCCAGGGGCTAGGGCAGGTGTCCTTAAGGGTGTGGGGAGTTTTGGGCAGGGCACTGTCCTTAAGGGTGTGGGGAGTTTTGGGTCATGACCCACCCCCTCTGAGGCCCCTGATGATGATGTGGGGAATGGGATCCTATGGGCCCAGCTGCATGCCAGGCAGGCATCCCCAGGTGTAAACAGGGCAGAGCGGAGCTGACAGGTAAGCAGTTGCCATGGGGGTGATGAGCTGGGCAGTCCTCTGTTGCTGAGTGGCTTTAAAGAACCACTCGTTGTTCTGTGACTTGGGGGTTGGCTGGGCTCATCCTGCCAGCTCTCCTGCTCTCGTTTGAGTGTCTCCTGAGGCTGCAGTCAGAGCGTGGTGGTCCAGGATGCTGGTGATGCTGGGATGGTTGCCCTCTCTGCTCCATGAGGTCTCCCTACAGAGCACCTCCCCCATGGTGGCAGCAGAGACAAAACCCTGGCCTCCTTCAGGCTGAGGCCCAGAGCCAGTCTCCTGGTGGGTAAGGTGGCCACAGGGCCAGCTGGCAGCAGGGTATTGGCACTGAGAGGCACAGGCCTCTCCAACAGAGGTGGTGCCGGGACAGGGGCAGTGCCTGGAGACCGCTTAGGTTGTCACAACTGGGATTTGTGTACTAGTTTTCTGTAGCTGCCATAAAAATTGCCACAAATTCAGTAGGTTTGGTTTCTTTTTCTTTTTTCTTTTTTTGGTGGTTGGGGCGGAGCGGGGGGCAGGCTTGCTATGTTGCCCAGGCTGGTCTTGAACTATTGGACTCAAGTGATCCCCCGACTTTGGCCTCCTGGGTAGCTGGGACTGCAGGTGCATCCCACCACACCCGGCCTTTATTTTTTTTTTTGTAAGTTTTTATAGAGAAACAGTCTTGGTATGTTGCTCAGGCTGGTCTTGAACTCCTTGACCCAAGCAATCCTCTTGCCTCGGCCTCCTGAGTAGCTGGGGTTACATGAGTGTTCCACTGGTGCCTGGCTTTGAGTGTTTTAAAACAACACAAATGTATTAGCTAAGTTTTGTAGAAGTTCAAAATGGGTATCTTTGGGCTCAGAATGAGGGGTTGGCAGAGTTCTGTTCCTTCTGGAGGTGCCAGGGGAGACCCTGTTTCCCTTTTTCTAGCCTCAAGAAGCCACCTGCATTCCTTGGCTGGTAGTTGTGGCCTCCTTCGGAGCGGCCGAGCCCCTCTCTGCCCTGCCCTTCTCTGCCCACCTCTCCATTGCCTCCCTCCTGCACCCTGAAACACACTTGTGGCTACGCTGGGCCCACCCGGAAGATCCAGGGTCGCCTGCCTGCTTTCGGGTGAACTGGTTAGCCCCCTTCCTAACCTGCCACTTAACCCAGTTAACCCAGCCTGCTCCAAGGTTCTGGGGATTTGTACACAAGTATCTGTGAGAGGGGCATTCTGCCTTCCACAGGGGCTGCCGGCACCTGGTGGGCAGAGGCGGCGGCGCTGTGCTGCTCAGGATCCCGCAATGCATGGGCAGCCCCAAACCATGAGGGCCCGGCAGGAAACCCGGGGGCAGAGGAGGGTGCGTGCGGCGGGAGCGCATGTGAAGCCCACCTTGCAAGGGGAGGGGCGCGCTCTTCGCGGGACGGCAGAGGGAGGGTCTCTGAGGCGCGTGGAATCAAGGGGACAGAAGAAGCAGTCTCGGGAGTGGGAAGGATCCTGGGAGGGGAGTGGGAAGGATCCTGGGAGGGGAGTGGGAAGGATCCTGGGAGGGGAGTGGGAAGGATCCTGGGAGGGGAGTGGGAAGGATCCTGGGAGGGGAGTGGGGATCCCCCGAAGTCTCGCAGCAGTAGTGTGGTGCTTAGGCCGTCGCCCCGGCCGCCACTGCGCCTCCCCACCCGCAGGCCTCCGCAGCGCCACGGGCGGCCGCGCGGGGTAGCGTTTGGGGGCTCCCGGGGACGCGGTCTCCGGCGCGCAGGTCCGCCCAGGGTTGGCCGCGTGGTCCCCCGGGCTTCCCACGCCCGATTCGAATTGTGACTCCGGCTGGCTCCGGACCGAGCCGAGGACGCTCCGGCACCACAGCAGGAGCCGCGCGGGCGGGGGCGCGGGGCGCGGAACGGGGCGCGGGGCGCCTGGGAGATGTAGTTCGCGGCCTTCCCCGGCGCACCAGACAATGCCCGACGCGGCCCCGCTGGAGAAACGCCTTCCTTGGCTTTGCAGAAACACCGCTTGCTATTAATACAGCAACGAATACAGCTTTAAAAACGCGCCCAGTGTCCTCCCTGGAATAACAGCTGTTAACATTACCTAAAGGTTATCCCAGATATTTCTAAATGTATATGGGGAGATAAAAGGATGTAATGGAAATACAGAAATACGTGTCGAGTTGCTACTTATAGACTTTTAAATATTTAAAGAAAAAAATTGCTAAAAGCAGATGAATGCTTCTTCACCTCAAGTTTAAAAGTCTCCTTACGATGGCCGGGCGCCGTGGCTCAGGCCTGTAATCCCGGCACTTTGGGAAGCCAAGGCAGGCAGATCGCTTGAGCTCAGGAGTTGGAGAACAGCCTGGGCAACAAAGGGAAGCTCCATCCATACTGAAGATACAAAAATCAGCCGGGCGTGGTGGTGCTCTCCTGTAGTCCCAGCTACTTGGGAGGCTGAGGTGGGAGGATCGCTTGAGCTCAGGAAGTCGAGGCTGCAGTGAGCCGAGATAGGCCCACTGCACTTGAGCCTGGGTGACAGAGTGAGACCCTGTCTCCAAAAAAAAAAAAAAAAAAGTCTTCTACGATTATTTTTAGAAATTACAAAAACATCAAGAGATGAGTGTGTTTGGTTTACAGCAGCAAAGCACGGTTCGGCTGAGGCGGCACCGGCTGACTTCTGCCTGTGAATGGTGAGGAACTGGCACTGACATTTCCATATCCCCTGGCAGGGCATTTCTTACCAGAAGATCAAGGCTCACCGCCAGTATTTGACCCACTGAAAGTCTTTGTTTTGATTTACATCTTTACTGGCTGGACTTAAGATCAGTTTTTGTTGTTGTTGTTAGACAGGGTCTTGCTCTGCCACCCACGCCGCAGTGCAGAGGTGCTATCTCGGCTCACTGCGAACTATGCCTCTCAGGCCTAAGCTATCCTCCTGCCTCAGCCTCTCAAGTAGCAGGGACTACAGGCATGCACCACCACGCCCCGCTAATTTTTATATTTTTCAGTAGAGATGGGTTTTCACTATGTTGCCCAGGCTGGTCTCAAACTCCTGGGTTCAAGTGACCTGCCCAAAGTGCTGGAACTTCAGAGCCAGAGCCCTGGTTTTATACACTTTATTATGTTCCCCTCCCTGCTAGATTGCAAACCCTCTGAGGGCAAAGGTGCTGTTTCCTTACCCTCCAAGGCCTAGAGTGGCCTGTAGCTTGAAGTAGATGTTTAACAAATAATCAATGAGTAAATTATTGTGTTAATCACTTTGTCTTGCTCTGAAATTATCTCAAGCCTTTCATCTCCAAGTAACTTGATATTCTGCCCTTTGCTGTTTATGACTTGATCCAGCCACGGTGCGATTTTGGTGCTTCCGGTTTGCTTGGCTCTTAACTCTTCCTCCCATCCTGCTGTTTTGTCGTCAAGCATTTGAATTCCTGATTGTTGAATTCATGCTGCTATGAAGCTCTGAAAGAAGTCCTGTGGAGTCCTCTTCTGTTTCTTTGGTTGCGTTTTCTTATTTATTTATTTATTTATTTATTTATTTTTTATTTTTGTTTCTTTGAGACGGAGTCTCACTGTGCCGCCCCCAGGCTGGAGTGCAGTGGTGTGGTCTCGGCTCCTGGGTTCATGCAATTCTCCTGCCTCAGCCTCCGGAGTAGCTGGGACTACAGGCACGCGCTACCACACCCAGTTAATTTTTTTGTATTTTTAGTAGAGATGAGGTTTCACTATGTTGACCAGGCTGGTCTCGAACTCCTGACCTCAGGTGATCCTCCTGCCTTGGCCTCCCAAAGTGCTGGGATTACAGGCGTGAGCCACCACGCTCAGCCCAGTTGTGTTTTCTTCCATACTGGGTTTCTCACCGGCCCCTCACACCCTCGATGACTTGTTTTTCTGTTGTTGAATGACATGGATGTGGTCACGTGCCACCTCTCAGCAATGCTCCCACCTCAGCCTCCGGGGATATGCCACTACTTCTGTAGTGCTTTCTGACGTGAAAGCTCTTTCCTGAATGTCTATTCGCTCTGCTACTAAGTGGATGGAGTGGATGGATTTTTTTTTTTTTTTTTTTTTTGGAGACGGAGTCTCGCTCTGTCGCCCAGGCTGGAGTGCAGTGGCATGATCTCGGCTCACTGCAAGCTCCGCTTCCTGGGTTCACGCCATTCTTCTGCCTCAGCCTCCGGAGTAGCTGGGACTACAGGCGCCCGCCACCACGCCCAGCTAATTTTTTCTATTTTTAGTAGAGACGGGGTTTCACCGTGTTAGCCAGGATGGTCTCGACCTCCTGCTCGTGATCCTCCCGCCTCAGCCTCCCAAAGTGCTGGGATTACAGGCGTGAGCCACCGCACCCAGCTGGATTCTTCTTAATTCTTTGTTTTTATTGTTTGACTCACCTGAGGTCTTTGGACTTTGCCTCTGAGCTGGCTTAAGGGCAATCCACCTTGTTCACTGGTCTGGAGTGGGGAGGCAGAGTATGGGTCGGCTGGAGGAGTGGGGCTCTGTGCTCTCTTTTGAGAGTTTACTAAACGTCACTCTGCATGGTGAGGGGTGTGTCCTCTCCGCTGGGGAGGCCTGGCTTGAATTTCAGATTGCCTCCCTGGGACACCAGACCCTGTGCTGTGCTCCCTCAGAAGGACAGCCTTGACTGTCTCCACTCCAGCAGTCAGTTCTCTCCACTCCCACTGGGAGAAGGAGCAAAGGCTGGTGTCTTCAGGAGGCTCCTCTCCAGGCTGGGGCCAGGGAAGAGTGTGCATGTCACTGTCAGGATGTGTCCCAGTGGTGTGGCTGGGTTCTCAGGGTGAAGCTCGTCCATTTCTGGGATGGCAGCGGAAGCAGGCACTACACACGCAGCTTCAGGGGGCTCTCCCCATGCTTCCTAGCTGCCTGGCACTTTCTGGTGTTTCTGGCTAACTTTCTGGCCATGCCAGGAGTTGGTGGAAGGAGATCTCAGGCTGCAGCTTTGCTTTCCTGCTGAGGAGACAGAGGTAGGCTGGGGCTGTAGGACAGGGGAGGCCAGCAGCCCCACCTTCCTTCTGGAGAGACGCTGCCTGTCTGTCATTGCCCCTCTCCTGCACCTGGCCGCTGGCTGGCTGCTCTTCCCTCCCAATCACCAGCAAGCCAGCTCCTGTTCCCTGCAGCCCAGCCCGCAGGATGTGTCCTGGGACCCATAGCCCTCTCTCCCCAGAGACAGCACCGCCCTGCAGCTCGGGTTCCTGGCCCTGTGCTAACCCTGGTGGGGCTTTCCTTACTGGTCTGCTCTGCAGCCATGACATTGTGGCCACCGCTCTCCTTGGGACCCCCACCTGGCTTTCCTCCCAGCACATGCTGTTTCCTACCCACCTGGATGGTGTCCTGTGTGCTGGATTCCCCATGCTGTGTCCCCAGCATCCTGACCATGTCTGTCCCGCCTGCCTAGATCTTGCACCGTGGCCACGGGGCTCCCTCCTGATAGCCCTGAACGCTCCGCTCCATGTCCTACAGAGAGGGATGTCCCAAGTAGATGTCAGCTCCCTCCAGCATCTGAGCAGGCAGGACAGAGACCCACGGTGCTGCTCACATCAGCAGCCTGGAACCCCGAGACAGCTCCTTTTGCTCACCTCCCCCAACACTGATGTTGCACCTGTCTCCAAGCCACTCTGGGACCATCTGTTTCTCTCCATCTGGGAAGCCCCCTTCGCACCTCATGCTCTTCCTGGCTGGGGCGTCTGGGTCACTCACTGGACTCTCCTCTCCTTAGACCTGTGCACAAGCACACACGGGAAGGCATCCTGACAGGTGGTGGGAAGAGAAGGCAGCTGCCTCACTGCGGAAAGAGCACGGCCGCTCCTGGACTCCAGCCCTGTTGGGGCTGGCGGGGTCAGCAGGCGCTGGGTTCCAGCCTCAGGTGGGGTCTTTGGAGGTGGCCTCTGGGCACAGGCACCTCCTCTGCGGCCTTCTCACCAGGTCACGGTTCAGGGAGGCTTTGCCGGCTACGGAGCCTGCCCACACCAAGGCGCGCACGACCACCTGTCCAGAGATGCCACGCGGGCTGGGCGGCGAAGGCCAAGGACACGCCCTGCCTGGTGTCGGGGGCAAAGGTTAGGCCTGGAAGGGAGGTGTGGGGTGGGGACCCCGAGGCCAGGGCTGGGCCGCTGAGCTTCAGGGCCCTTGGGGGGCTCAGGGAGGAATGCCGGAGGACCCCAGCATCAGGAGGAACCCCTGGAGAGCTACGGCAGGACTCACCTGTGGGGCACAGGGAGGGATCACCAGGGAAATGGCCCTTGTGGAGGATCTCCCCTCTACCCCCAGGGCACCAGGGGAGGATCTACCAGGGGGTTCTGGTGGAAGGGCCCACCCGGGAAGCGGCGCGCGGGGAGGACTCGGGGGCGCCGAGAGGAACTGTCCGGGAAGGGGCGCGCGGGCCGCGGGCGGCGCGGGGTCGGTAACGGCCCGTGCGGTGGGCGGCGGCGCCCGAGGCCCCTCCCCGCCGCCCGCGGCCGCTCCTCCTCTTCCTCTCCCGCCCGCGCCGCGGCCCTCCCGTCCCTGCGCGGCCTCGGCGGCCTCGGCGGCGGCGGCGGCGGCGGCGGCGGCAGCAGCGCGGCCCCTTTAAACGCCTGCGGCGCCCCCCGCCCCCGCCATCGCGCCTCCATTTTCCCGGCCGCCCGCGCCGAGCGCCGCGCCCGCCCCGGGCCCCTCCGCCGCCGCCGGCCCGGACATGGCCGCCAACATGTACAGGGTCGGAGGTAAGGCCGCACCGCCTTTATGCCCGGCCCCGACCCGCCCGCAGCCCCCACCCGCCGCCGCTGCCGCCTCCCCCGCCCCTCTGCCCCGCAGGCCCCGCGCCCCCCGCCCGCCCTCGCGGCCCCCGGCTCCTTCCCGAACCGCCCCCCGCCGTGCTCACCCCAACCCAAAATGGCCCCGCGGGTCGGCCCCATCGGGGGCGGGCGGGGCTCGGCGGCCCGGGGGTGGGGGGCGGCCCACCTGTTGGGGCCGAGGGGGCGGCCGCGGGGGTGGCGGGGGGGCGCGGGGCCTGCGGGACATCCGGGGGTCCGGGGCCGGGAGCCCCCAGCGGGAGCACGTGGCCTTGGGAGGCGCCGGCTGCCGGTCTGGGAGCAGGAGTTTTGGGGCTGTGGGGTCTCCCCCGGCCCGCGGCCCTGTGCTGGGACTCCGGTGCATCCCCTCTGGGGATGGGGAGCCCCGGTGAGGGGCCACGTTCCTCCCTAGAGCCCTCCTGCAGCCTGGCCCCGGGGCTTCCCCCAGCAGGGATCCCTCAGGGGGTCTTCAGCAGGGAGCGAGCATCCCGAGCACGCCTCTAAGTCCCCCCAAACTTTTCCCTGCCTCTCGCTCACCTCAGCCCATTCGGGAGGCGCTTTGCAAGGGTTGGGGAGAGGCCGGAGGGCCTCCTGGGCAGGGGCTTCCTCCGTGGGCCCAGCCTCCTGTTGCTCGGGCCCCCCGGGCCTGCAGCTTTGAGCCTTGCCCTCCTTCGTGTGCCTGGGACTCCGTGGGGTCTTTCACAGGAAGGTGGGGGGTCGTGTGCATTCCATCATTCCATCAGCGCCTCCCTCCCCAGGACTCTGAGACCCCTCCCTGCCTGTGACCCTCTCGGGCAGGTGCTCATTACCTTTCCCACCTGCAGCCTGCGCTGCTGGAGGGAGCTGGGGTCACTCCCGCTCTGGCTTGATCCCCATGCCCCTGACCCCGAGTGCCCAGAACACTCTGTGTCTCTCGAGCGTGGCTTCTGCTGCCTTGGACGCCGTGTGGTCTGGCCGGCCAGTCCTGTGACCTTGGGGACGGTGGGAGCCCCCTACATCCCGTCTGTGAGATGGGCGGTCAGTCCGCATCAGCAGCTCTGGGCCTCCCCTGTCCTCTCAGAGGGGCGGTGGGCCTGTACCCCATCCAGCGGCAGCCCCTCCCACAGCCTCATACAGCTTTGCCAGGTCCCTGTGTGGACCCAGGTGCGCTGAGCCCACCCCACGCTCAGGGAGCAGCCTGGGTGCGGGGTCCCTCGAGGGAGGGGCCTGTTCCTTCCTGTTCTTTCTCCCCACCTGGAGACCCCCCTTCCAGCCTGACATGAGGGCCCAGTTTCTCACCCTGGCAGAGAGGATGCCTGCTGCCTGGGCTCCAGCCGGGCCCACTGCGCATGGTTTTGGGATTGGTCCCAAGAAGAGCTCTCCCTGCCCCCACCCATGTTGGGGGTGGGGAGTGGTGGCAGCTTTGGGCTCTAGGGCTGGGGACACCCCGACCCCAACTCATGCCTTCCTAGTGGCTGCATTGCTCGGCCTTCAGGCCTGCCTGCCTGTGATCTTGGCGCCAGCCTGGCTGCCCCCCCTCCAACCTTCCCATGCCTCGGTTTCCCCATGGTGTGGGTGAGGACCTCGTCTCTCAGCCGTCCTTTTGTGCCCTGTGGCAGCTGTGCTGTGGCTGATGAAAGCCAGGACCCTGCCTTGTCCCATCCCGGAGGTGCAGCTCCCCTGGGCCCCACACAGGCTTGGGAGGAGCCCTTCGTGGGGCTGCGCCGCCCTCCCCGAACCCTCTGTCCCCCTGTGCCCGCAGGCCCGTCCCAGGGCCTCACTGACCCACGCACTCCAGTGCTGTGAGGGTGGGTGGCCTGGACTCCTAGGCTGTGGCGGAGGGGCCCCACCATGCCTGGCAGAGATGCTGCTGGTCTCTTTTCCTGTGATGAGGAGCATGGGAGGTTGGGTGCTGTCTGCTGGCAGCACAGCCACGCGTGGGATCCAGACTGCTTCTGCGTGTGCAGTCCGTGGTCACTGTGGCCGGGTGTGCTCGGAGCTGTCAGGCCCCCCACGTGCCCGCCCCGAGGACTTCCTCTCCCTGCAGGTGAGACTGTAGGCCTCCCCCTCTCTACTCTGACTGTCCCTATAGGAGAAGCGGCATTTATCCCTGGCTTCTGGACCGGAACCCTGGGTTCCGGCAGGACCCCGGCAGAGCCCTGTGGTCGCAGTGGGCTGGGCATTGCAGGTTGGCTTCCTGTCTTGGTGCTCGCTCGGGGAGGTGGGCGTCTGGATTCTTGAGCCCCCAGACAAGAAAGAGGAAGGTGTGCAGTGTCTCCTGAGCAGCCTTTGTCCGTCTGTCGCCGGCTGCCTGGCACGGGCTCCATCTGGGTGGCCAGTCCTGGCCTGTGGGAGATGCCGGCAGGGACCCAGCCTGGGAAGGGGCTTGCTCCTGTGCCCCCCCACCCCAGGGACCTTGTGTGTAGAGGCACCAAATTTAGTTAAGAAAAGTACAGGACGCCCAGGCAAATTTGAGTTTCAGATAAACAGAAATTTATTAGTGTAAGTATGTCCCAAATATGGCATGGGACATACTTGTCCCAGAAGATTCTTATCTGACATTCACAGTTATCTGGGCAACCCGTATTTTAGCTGGCAGGCTACTCCGAGGCCCTGCCAGGTTGGGCTAGGCAGGGTGAAGGTGTGGTGGCAGTATTTTTGTGCCAGCTGAGCTGGGTGAAGTGGTGAGCAGGGAGGGAACAGGGCCTGTTTCTTCCCCATGGAGTGCCCTGGCCACGGACAGAGGCCTTCTGTCTGTGCCTGTGAGGGCAGCGGATGGCCTGGGCAAGGGTGGCGGGGTCAGGGTTCCCTGACCTCTGCTTCTCAAGGGTTGTCCATCCCGAGGGCTGGGGAAGGCTTGAAACCTGCTGTGGGATGAGAGGGCCCCAGGGCAACGGCGGGATGTTTCTTCTCTGGGTTGAACATGAAGATGTTAGATAGCATCCAAAACAGGACAGCAGGAATCGGTGCCTGCCAGCCGCCTGCAGCTTGCTCATGTGGGGCTTCTGCTTTTCAGTGGACAGGCCATTACCATTTTGCCTTGGGTGTTTCTGTTTTTCATTGCAAGAGGTTAACACCCCATCTTTTGGATTTTTTTTGTTTAATTTTTTTTTTTTTTTTTTTTTTGAGATGGAGTCTTGCTCTGTGGCCCAAGCTGGAGTGCAGAGGCGCGATTTCGGCTCACTGCAACCTCCGCCTCCCCGGCCCAAGCGATTTCCTGCCTCAGCCTCCCAAGTAGCTGGGACTAGCCAGGCGCCACCAGGCCTGGTTAAGTTTTACATTTTTAGTAGAGACGGCGTTTCTCCATGTTGGTCAGGCTGGTCTGGAACTCCTGACCTCAAGTGATCCACCCGCTTCGGCCTCCGAAAGTGCTGGGATTACAGGCGTGAGCTCATGCCCGGCCTTTTTGTTTTAATTTTAATAAAAGTTGAGGCTGGGTGACAGAGTGAGACTCCGTATCAAAAAAAAAAAATTTTAATGTAGTTTGAAAGGATGCCAGAAAGCCCCTGCCCCTGCAGGGCCGCGGGCTCTGCCCCGGTCTCTGGCGCAGCCTGGGCGGAAGCACCCTGTCCGTGCTGCTGGTCTTCACTGGGCTTGGCATGTGCCATCATCTGCGCTCTGGCGCGCTGTTAGAAATGTTGCTTTTGTATTTTTATTCTAGTGTTTTTTTGAAGTTTAAACTTTATTGCTCTATATACTTGCCAGTGGGGAAAAAAGTAAACTTAAAAAAAATGTCAGATTTGTAGAGGGCTGCAGCCAGCGCCGCCCTACCCTGGAGTGCTGAGTGCACCGTGTCCCTAGGCACTTGCTGCTCCATGGGCCGACTTTTGGGGTCCCACCCATCTTTTCCAAGAAGGCAGGGAAGAGCCCTGGAGACACGGCCGTCCTGTGAGCACCAGGAGCGGGAGTGGTAGAAGTGGCAGGGGCCCAGGTGTGATGTCCTGGAGGGGATGGCATGGGGCTGTCCCACTTGGCCTGTGAGGATCGGCCTCAGCACTGCGCCATTGGCAGCCCTGGCTCACTCTCCAGGCAGGATGGGCCACTGAGCTTCTCCTGCCTCAGCCACTGAGCACTCCTGGCTTGCTCCACCTTTGTTTTTTTGAGACGGAGTCTCGCTCTGTCCCCCAGGCTGGAGTGCAGTAGCGCAATCTGGGCTCACTGCAAGTCCGCCTCCCGGGTTCACACCATTCTCCTGCCTCAGCCTCCCAAGTAGCTGGGACTACAGGCGCCCGCCACCATGCCTGGCTAATGTTTTGTAATTTTTTTTTTTTTGTAGAGACGGGGTTTCACTGTGTTAGCCAGTATGGTCTCGATCTCCTGACCTTGTGACCCACCCGCCTCAGCCTCTCAAAGTATTGGGATTACAGGCGTGAGCCACTGCGTCTGGCTTTTTTTTTTGTTTTTGAGACAGTCTCACTCTGTCACCCAGGCTGGAGTGCAGTGGCACAATCGCGGCTCACTGCAACCTCCGCCTCCTGGGTTCTAGTGATTTGCCTGCCTCAGCCCCCTGAGTAGCTGGGATTACAGGTGTGCACCACCACACCTGGCTAGTTTTTGTGTTTTTAGTAGAGACAGGGTTTCACCATCTAGGCCAGGCTGGTCTCGAACTCCTGACCTCAAGTGATCCACCCGCCTCGGCCTCCCAAAGTGCTGGGATTACAGGCGTGAGCCACGGTGCCTGGCCCCATATTGTTCTGAGTGGAGAATTTGATCGTTAAGCTCTCAGAATAATAAAAAAGTAGCTGTCAGTGAGAGATGTTGGAATATATGGTCCAATGAAGCACATCCCTCGCGCCCGACCCGCCCTGGCAGTGCCGTTCCCGCCCGTGTGTGTGGGTTCTGGGTGTCAAAACTGCTGCAGTGGCCCTGCAGGCATCCTACCTAGAGGTGGGTCCCCAGCTGCGCATCTGGACGCTGGTCAGCAGGTGAGGCTGGGATGCCAGAGGAGGTGCCGTGTGCCTGGCCAGGTACCCGGGAGGCGGCTTGGGGGAGCACTGGCTGCAGGGCCTCCTTCCTCCTCCTGCTGAACTTGGAGTGCTCTTGCCAGATTATGGGCTGAGTCCTGCTAGGGAGGGTGGCCCCCCTTCCCCAGGAGGAGCCCACCCTGAGACCTGGTTGGGGGGCAGCTTAGACCCTACCTTAGACTCCAGCAGGCTGTCTTGGGAGCATGTAATTATGTTTTTTTTGAGACAGGGTCTCCTGTTGCCCAGGCTGGAGTGCAGTGGCACCATCACAGCTACTGCAGCCTCCACCCCACAGGCTCAGGCGATCCTCCCATCTCAGCTTCCTGAGTAGCTGAGACCACAGGTGCACACCACCATACCCAGCTAATTTTAAGATTTTTTATAGAGGCGGAGTCTCACTATGTTGCCCAGGCTGGTCTCGAACTCCCGTCCTCAAGCGATCCTCTTGCCTTGGGCTCCCAAAGTGCCGCTGGGTTTGCAAGGCTGTGAACTACCATGCCCGGCAGAGCATTTAATATTCTCCAAATGTCTTTCCTCGTGTGCTACCTGGGCTCACTGCTTTCTGGGGCTCTCGTGTTGCTGGTGTCTCCACCCCCACCCCCACCCCAGCTGGCCTGCTCCATTCCTGTCCCGGTGGGCTCATGTCTGAGTGTGCGGACTGGGGGATCTTGGTGGCGATGGAGCCAAGCCCAGGGAGGCTGGGGCCACCCTCATAGTGCAAGGCCACCCAGCACCTCGCCCCTATACCCCACCCGCCCCACCAATGTGCCCCCGGCACCCCCGAGCCCAGGCCCCAAGGCTTGCTTCTATGGGCTTTGCACCACCCTCTAGGCTGCTCCCGCCTGGGCCATGCAGCGCACCTGAGGGGTCTGAGGTGACCGCTCCTCAGAGCCGCCCGGCAGCCTCCCTGGGGCGGGCCTCAGCACTGCAGCCCCGTGATCCGGCCTGGCGTGGGCTTTGCTGCTTTCTCTGCCCGGTGGCCTGAGGAGCTCGAGTGCCCGCCTGCCCCCAGAGCCCTTTCACGGTCAGGGCCTGAGCTCTGTGGGTGCCATTAGGAGGAGGGTCTGCAGATCTGTGCGGTTGGGGGACCCCTGGGGCATGGAGGGGACCACGCGTCCCTTCCCGTCCGTGCCCTGCCAGGCTGTCCTCACAGCAGCGTCGTCACAGGGGAGGAAACCAGGGCAGCGGCAGCGGCTCCTGGTACCAAGCATACCTTAAAAATGAGCCCATGGATGTTGCAGTGAGCCGAGATCACGCCACTGCACTCCAGCCTGGGTGACAGAGCGAGACTTCGTCTCACAAAAAAAAAAAAAAAAAAAAAGAGCCTCAAGGCCTGTGCAGTTGGTCAGCGGTGGAGTCAGGTATGGGGCACACCTGATTCTGCCCTGGCTCATCCCCTGCCTTCAGAGGACAGCAAGGGCGCAGCGCACGTGGGGGCTGGCCCTGAGGTGTGGCGTTCTCTGGGCTGGGCTAGGGCAGTTCTGAGGGAGGGGCGTGTTCTGTCCCATTCCTCCAGGAGACACAGTGCCTGGGCCATCTGGCCACTTGCATGAGGGAACGTCTGTCTGCATCCCCTGGGGGCCGCTGTCCCCATCCCTTGACTGCCGGATGCACCTCGGATGCTGGGGCTCTGGTCTCCGATCCTTCTTGGACTTTGTGGGGACAGCAACGGAGGAGGATGACCCCAAGGATGGGCCGGGCGCGAGGCTTGCAGCAGTGCCCAGGTTTTGCAGATAAAAATACAGGACACCCCTGCAGCATTTGGGACGTTGTCACATGGAGACCCGGCTCCTGGAGCAGGGGTGCTGGGGGCTTTCCTGACCACTGTTGCTGTTTCTCTTGACTCTGTTCCCAAAAGGGAAAAGACAAAGTTCCTCTCTGTGCTCCCTGGTCTCCTGTCTCTGACCATGGCAGACCTGGCTGTGGGTGAGCTCAGGAGAGTGGGCTGTGCCCTGGAGGGTCCCGGACAGGCAGGGACCACGGGCACCGCCCTGCCGCACAGCTCTTGTTGCTCAATGATCTTGGGGGTTGTGTCTGTTCTCCCCCAATTCTTCTGTGGCCCCATCCCCTATTTGTTAAAACTTACGTGTAACCCCAAAATTCACACTTATGTCACTTTCCCAGTCATTTGCGGGCACGCACAGGCTGCTAAAAGCCCAAGTTGCGTGGTGCTTGGGTGCCTGCTGGGGTGAGCGAGGCACCCTGCCCTCTGCCACTGCTCCCATGTTGGAAGCAAATTGTCCTTTCTCCATCTACTGAGGGCCATGCTTCTTGCATTTGGGGGCTCTTGGTGATTTTGCTTTTTAGATGCCCCTGGGGGAGGTGCCGCAGTGCTGTTGAGTGTCCCTGGACACAGGCAGGCTGGGATGGGTCCCATGGAGAGAACGTGTGTTGGACAGGCTCTGCCCCACGTGAGTTCAGTGTCGGAGAACAATAATAATTATAAAGTTCTTTGACAGAAACGTAAAATAAGGCTGTTGCGTATTGATTGGTTGCTGAAAATGTTGTGACCAGAGGCTCGTAGGAACCTGACCCTGTATTTCCTGTAGGAACAGAGGTACGGTGTTCAGTATTAGTGGTGACTTTATGGAACGTAATTACTGCAAACAATGAGAATTGACTCTGGGTGCGTGTATATTTTTTTAACTTAAAGTAAGGTTTAGGCCGGGCATGGTGGCTCACACCTGTAATCCCAACACTTTGGGAGGCTGAGGTGGGCAGATCACTTGAGCTCAGGAGTTTGAGACCAACCTGACCACACAGCAAAACCCCATCTCTACTAAAAATACAAAAAAAGCCAGGCGTGGTGGTGCGTGCCTGTAATCCTAGCTACTTGGGAGGCCGAGGCATGAGAATCACTTGCGTGCAGGACGCAGAGGTTGCAGTGAGTGGAGATCGCACCACTGTACCCCAGCCTGGGCAACAGAGTGAGACTCTCTCAAAAAAAAAAAAAAAAAAAGTTAGGTTTATTGAGATACACGTTTCACATGGCAAACCCACTTATGTGTAGGGGCCTGTGGTTTTCCACTCATGCACAGCTGTGTGGTCGCTGCAGCTCTTCCACACCTGACATGCTTCTCTTGTGACCTTCTGTAGTCAGCCCCCTCTTCTCCCCCAGCTCCCAGCAACACTGACCTATTTTCTGTTCCTGCCGTTTTGCCTTGTCCAGAATGTGGTAGAAGTGGAATTGCACAGCATGTGGGCTTTTGAGTCTGGCGTCTTTCTTTTTTTTTGAGATAAGGTCTCAGTCTGTCACCCAGGTTGGAGTGCAGTGGTACAGCCATGACTCACTGCAGCCTCCACCTCCCAGGCTCAAGTGATCCTTCCACCTCAGCCTCCTGAACAGCCGGGACCACAGGTGTGCACCACCACACCCAGCTAAGTTTTTCGTTATGTTGTCTAGGCTGGTCTCGAACTCCTGGGCTCAAGCGATCCTCCCACTTCGGACTCCCATAGTGCTGAGGTAACAGGAGTGAGCCACCATGCCCAGCCTTATAGTAATTCTTGAAATCAAGTAGTAGGAATCCTTGAACTTTGTTCCTCATTTTCAAAATTGTTTAGCCTGTTCTGGTTACTTGGCTTTCCCTTACAGAGTTTAGAATTGGCTTGTTAATTTCTACAGAAACCAAAAAGAAGTGTTTCTTTTTTTTTTTTCTTTTTTTGAGACAACATCTTGCTCTGTTGCCCAGGCTGGAGTGCAGTGGTATGATCTTGGCTCACTGTATGTAGCCTCAGTCTCTTGGGCTCAAGTGATCCTCCCCACTTCAGCCTCCCGAGTAGCTAGGACTACAGGCATACGCCACCATGCCTGGCTAGTTTTATTTATTTTTGTAGAGATGGGGTCTCACTATGTTGCCCACACTAGTCTCAAACCCCTGGCCTCAAGTGATCCTCCTGCCTTGACTCCCAAAATGCTGGGATTACAGGCATGAGCCATTGTGCCCAGCCTCACCTTGCACTTTTATGTGGTAGAAATGGCTTCTTTCCTTGAACTTCATGGGCCAACTTCTGCTAGCTTCAGATTTTTCTTCTGCAGCCTCCTCACCTCCCTCAGCCTTCGTAGAACTGAAGGGAGTTAGGGCCTCGCTCAGGCTGGGGCTCTGGCTTCGGGGAATGTGTCCGCTTTGATTTCCCATCCCGGCACTTCAGCTTTCTCTCTATCAGTACTAAGGCCGTTCAGCTGTCTTATCAGGCTTGTGTTCACTGGAGCAGCACTTTTTGTTTTTTGGAGATGAAGTCTTGCTCTGTCGCCCAGGCTGGAGTGCGGTGGCACGATCTCGGCTCGCTGCAACCTCCGCCTCCCGGGTTCAAGCGATTCTCCTGCCTCAGCCTCCCAAGTGGCTGGGACTACAGGCACCCACCACCACACCCGGCTAATTTTTTTTTTTTTTTTTGAGACAGAGTCTCCCTCTGTCACCCAGGCTGGAGTGCAGTGGCACGATCTCGGCTCACTGCAAGCTCCGCCTCCCAGGTTCACGCCATTCTCTTGCCTCAGCCTCCCGAGTAGCTGGGACTACAGGTGCCCGCCACTATGCCCGGCTAATTTTTTGTATTTTTTTAGTAGAGACGGGGTTTCACCATGTTAGCCAGGATGGCCTCAATCTCCTGACCTTGTGATCCACCTGCCTCAGCCTCCCGAAGTGCTGGGATTACAGACGTGAGCCACTGCGCCCGGCCTTTTTTTTTTTTTTTTTTTTTGGTGACCAAGTCTCGCTCTGTCATTCAGGCTGGAGTGCAGTGGTGCGATCTTGGCTCACTGCCACCTCCAGCTCTCGGGTTCAAGTGATTCTCCCACCTCAGCCTCCCGAGTAGCTGGGATTACAGGCACACACCACCATGCCTGGCTAATTTTTTTATTTTTAGTAGAGATGGGGTTTCACCATGTTGGCCAGGCTGGTCTCAAACTCCTGACCTCAAGTGATCCACCTGCTTTGGCCTCCCAAAGTGCTGGGAATACAGGTGTGAGCCACTGCGCCCGACCCACTTTTAGTTTCTTTCAGGAACTTTTCCTCTGCATTCACAACTGGGCTACCTGCTTGGCGCTGAAGACCAGGCTTTCCGTTAGGGTATCTTGGCTTTCGACAGGCCTTCCTAACTAAGCTTAGTCATTTATTTCCAGCTTTTGTTTTAAAGTGAGAGATGTGTGACCCTCAACTCTTCCCTTCACTGGACTACTTAGAGGCCATGGCAGGGTTGCTAGTTGGCCCAATTTCAGTATTGTTGTGTCTCAGGGAATAGAGAGGCCCCAGGAGAGGGAGAGAAATGGAGGAATGGCCAGTTCCTGGGGCAGTCGGAACACACACATTTATCAATTAAGTTCTTAGTTGGGGTATGGCTCATGATGCCCAAAACAATTACAATAGTAGCATCGAGGAGCAATGACCACAGATCGCCATCACAGATAGAATCATGGTTAAAAAGTTGGAAATGTTGAGAGAATTACCAAAACGTGACAGCAACACGTAGTGAGCACCTGCTGTTGGAAAAATGGCACCGATGGACTTGACTTGATGCACGTTGCCACAAACCTTCAATTTGTAAGAAACACAATACCTGCAAAGCATCATCAAGCTAAGCATGATGCCCGTGTAGATGTTTGGGAAATAATTGGCATCTAAACCAATCTTGGGTCCTCTCGTACAGGGATTGGCAAACTGGCCCGCTGCCTGTTTTTGATGACTCACGAGCTAAGAATGGGTTTTACATTTTTTAATTGTTGAGAAAAAAATCAAAGGCAGAAAACTTCATGACACATGAAGATTATATGAAATTCACATTTCAGTGCTCAGAAATAAAGTGTTATGGGAACACGGCCGCACTAATGGGAGGGATTCCAGTTATTATGTGGCTGCTTTGAGCTACCGTGGTGGGGTTGAATATTTGTGATAGGGACAGGAAAAACTTAACTTTTTCCCAGTCTCACACGTTCAACACAGAACACTTCACCTCTGGTCCCTGGAATGTGTGTGGGGTTTCTCCCTACCAGCAGCCAGTCGGTTATCCAGTGATTTAACCCAATTTTGACACTGCTTACCTGGAGAGAATATTAGGTTCTGCAGCTGAAGGGCTGAGTCCCACAAGACTGTCCTCACTTCTCCTGCCTCAGCCTCCCGAGTAGCTGGGATTACAGGCGCCCACCACCACGCACAGTTAATTTTTGTATTTTTAGTAGAGACCAGGTTTCACCATATTGGCCAGGCTGGTCTCAAACTCCTGACCTCAGGTGATCCACCCACCTTGGCCTCCCAAACTGCTGGGATTTACAGGCATGAGCCACTGTGCCCAGCCTACAAGCTGGTTATTAACAAGACCAATAAACTGAAATCTATAGCCAGACTGACAAAGAAATAGAAGCCACAAGTAACCAACATCAGGAACAACAGATGGGACATCACTACAGATCCTACTGACACGAGAAATGTGTGGCACAGAAAAGGGCTTGGTTGGACAAATTTACAAGGGTTGTTAAACATACAAAGTGCCAAAAGCCTATAGTTATTCATTCTATTACTTGTTGGCAGGTAAATATTTTGTGGAAAGTATTTGTTTATTTTTATTTTTACTTTTTGAGGTGGAGTCTCGCCCTGTTGCCCAGGCAGCAGTGCAGTGGCGCAGTCTCGGCTCACTACAACCTCTGCCTCCCGGGCCCGAGTGATTCTCCTGCTTCAGCCTCCCAAGTAGCTGGGACTAAAGGCATGCACCACCACACCTGGCTATTTTTTGTATCTTTAGTAGAGATGGGGTTTCACCATGTTGGGCAGGCTGGTCTCAAACTCCTGACCTCAGGTGATCCGCCCACCTCAGCCTCCCAAAGTGCTGGGATTACAGGCGTGAGGCACTACACCCGGCCTGTGGAAAGTATTTGAGTCTGTCATGCCTTATTGAACCAGTAGTGTCAACAGTGAACTTCATTTGACCTTGTGGACTTGATGTCATCAGTTCTGTGAATTAAAAAAAAACCTTTTTTAAAGAGATAGAGTCTTGCTTTATTGCCCAGGCTAGAGAGCAGTGGCACAGTCCTGGCCCACTGCAGCCTCAATTTCCTGGGCTCAGGTGTGAGCCCCTGTGCCTGGCCTAAAGCTGAACATCTTGACTTGCTGTCCTGTGCAGCAGCTTGATGAGTTGGCAGTGGTGAAGTTCTATTGCTTTTTTATTTTTATTTTTTATTTATTTATTTATTTTTGAGACGGAGTCTTGCTCTGTCACCCAGGCTGGAGTGCAGTGGCGTGATCTCGGCTCACCGCAACCTCTGCCTCCTGGGTTCAAGCAATTATCCTGCCTCAGCCTCCCAAGTAGCTGGGATTACAGGCACATGCCACCATGCCCGGCTAATTTTTGTATTTTTAGTGGAGATGAGGTTTCACCATGTTGGCCAGGCTGGTCTCAAACTCCTGACCTCATGATCCACCTGCCTCGGCCTCCCAAAGTGCTGGGATTACAGGCGTGAGCCACCGTGTCTGGCCTGCTTTTTGAAAAAGCGCCGAAATTGGAAAATTTCAGAATGAGAAGAACCACTGTTGACTGCCATCATCAATACACCAGATGACTTGGGAAACTAGTTTTTGCTGCATGATGTTCTCTACGTTCTTTATGAATTCATCTTAAAGTTACGAGGCACAACCACATTTATTTGCAAAATTTATACTGTGATGAAGTCACTTTGGCAACAGCTCATGTTTAAATCACAAACTGCTTTGTACAGTTTTCTTATTGTCAAGAGGTAAAATGAGAGGCAAAGTCTGCATTGCCACACAGATTTGCAGTGAGCTGCTTTTCTGGGCTCACACTGTGGTTACAGCAGAGTGTCTGCGACTTCCATGCGAGTGCAAGGGAAACGTCGACATTTCAAAATCCACTCAGCTGTGTGTTAGGGAGCTCCCGCCTGAGCTTCAGTCGAAAGCGATTGGACTGTAGCGTAACCCCGTGCTGTAATATAGGGGCCCCAAGACCACCCTCGGGTTCAGTAATTCACTAGGACTCATGGAATACAGCAGAGCATTTCTGCCAGGGGTACGGTTGATTACAGCAAAAGGACGCAGACTCAAATCAGCAAAGGGAAGCGGCACAGGGGCCGGGCTCAGGAGAGACCAGGGGTGGGCTTCCGGCGTCTCTCCCAGCAGAGACGTGGGCGGTGTGTAGGTCTAGCAGTGGTCTGTGATGACAGGCCTGGCGTATTTCCAAGCAGGGACGCTCCCGTGAGCCTTGGTGGTCCAGGTGTTTTTAGAGGTTGGTCAGGTGGGCCTGGCTGAGCACCGGTGTGGCTGCCCTCGGTCCCTCCGTCTCAGCCCCTCCAGAGGTCAGGCTGATGCCACAAGGCACCGCGGTACGTCACTGTCAGGGTAGCCTCTCTGAGGTGGCCTGAGGCCCTGGGTGAGCAGACGCTGTTGGCAGGCAGGATGCTCCAAGAGCTCCGAGGTGACCTCCTAGGAGCAGGTCAAGGGTCAGACCTCTCTGGAAGGAAGAATGCGGGCAATCCAAGCCTGCTGAGCTGGCCCTTTCCAGGAAAGGGAGTAGCGAGGCTGCTCACTTAGAGCCACGCACCTGGGGCTGACAGTGTGCCTGGCAGTACCTGTGTGGAAAGACAGTTACAGAGGAAACACATGAACTCACTATAAGCCAGCACTAATGGATGCACCTTTGTTGTTGATTTTGGTGATAAAGAACATTAAATTTGAACCCAGTGAAGCAATATGTCATCTCCCAAAACAAGTCCTCTCATGAGTGCATCTGTATTATAGAAAGCTGCACTCAGCTTTTTAAAAAAATTTTTTTAGATGGGGTCTTGCTCTGTCACCAGGCTGGAGTGCAGTGGCACAATCTCGGCTCACTGCAAGCTCCGCCTCCCAGGTTCAAGCGATTCCCCTGCCTCAGCCTCCCACGTAGCTGGGACTACAGGTGCGTGCCACCACACCTGGCTAATTTTTTGTATTTCAGTAGAGACAGGCTTTCACCATGTTGGCCAGGATGGTCTCGATCTCCTGAAGTGATCTGCCCGCCTCCTGAAGTGCTGGCATTACAGGTGTGAGCCACTGCGCCTGGCCCAGTTATTTTGATTTCATCAGTATGAAATGTGTAGAAATTGTTACATTAGTCCCTATGTAATATCCTTGGTGTGGCCTCTTGGCCTGCACAGCCTGGAGTATTGACTATCTGGACCTTTATAGGAAGCTCACCAACATGTATTTTAACCCTTGACACCTTATCTGTTACCATTTATTTAGATCTTTGCTGATTTTTCTCACCAGTGTTTTGTACTTTTCAGCATGTAGATCTTTGCACAGATCTTTTGATCTTTAAACATCTATAGATCTTTTGTAAAATTTATATTGTAAGTATTTAATTTTTCTTGGTGCTCTTGTGAATAGTACTTTTACAATTTTGATTTCCATTTGTTAGTAGTACGTAGAAAGAGGACTTTTTTTTTTTTTTTTTTTTTGAGACAGAGTTTCACTCTTGTTACCCAGGCTGGAGTGCAGTGAATGGCGTGATCTCAGCTCACCGCAACCTCCGCCTCCCGGGTTCAAGCGATTGTCCTGCCTCAGCCTCCTGAGTAGCTGGGATTACGGGCATACACCACCACACCCAGCTATTTTTTTTGTATTTTTAGTGGAGATGGGGTAGCTCCATATTGGTCAGGCTGGTCTTGAACTCCCAACCTCAGGTGATCCGCCCGCCTCAGCCTCCCAAAGTGCTGGGATTACAGGCGTGAGCCACCATGCCCAGCCCAAAAGAGGACTTATTTTTATATATTGACCTGTGACCTTGCAAAACTCTTACTCAGCAGTTTCAATAGCTTTTTTTGTAGACTCTGGGGATTTCTATATAGAAAGTCACATCATCTGCGTATAGAAAGTTTTATTTCTTCATATCCAGTCTGTGTGCCTTTCATTGATTTTTCTTCCCATTGTACTGGCTGGGACTTCCTCGATGGTCAGCAGTAGTGGTGAGAGTAGCTATACCCTTGGCACATCCCTGATCTCAGCAGAAGCAGCCCTTTTCTCACCACTGAGGATGATGCTAGCTGTAGGTTTTTTGTAAATGTATTACCAGGCTGAGGAAGTACCCTTTAGTTCCTTGTTTGCTCAGAGTTTAATAGCGTATGTGTTGGATTTTTTCAGATTATATTCTTGCATCTACGGAGATGGTCATAGGGCTTTTCTTACTTATTCTGTGAATATGATGAGCTACACTGGTTTTTGAATGTTTTTAAAAATTTAAGTTATATTTAGAGATGGCATCTCACTCTGTCACCCAGGCTTGAGTGCAGTGGTACCATCATGGCTCACTGCAGCCCCAAACTCCTGGGCTTAAGCGATCCTTCTGCCTTAGCCCCCAAGCAGCTGGGACTACAGGCACATGCTACCACACCTGCATAATTAAAAATAATTTTTTTTTAGAGATGGGGTCCTGTGATGTTGCCTAAGCTGGTCTCAAACTCCTGGACTGAAGCAATCCTCCTGATTTCTTGTGTGTCTTTGGTTTTGGTATCAGGGCAATGGCGTTCTCACTGTCAGCTGGGGAGTGTTCCCTCCTTTTCTGTTTTCTGGAAGAGTTGTGTAGAATTGGTGTTAATTTTTCCTTAAATGTTTGATAGACTTCACCAATGAAGCCATCTGGGCGCAGAGTTCTTGTTGTTGTATTTCCGTAGTATGGATAGGGTTACCTGTTTCTTCTTGAATGAGCTTTGGTGTTTATATCTTTCAAGCAATTGGTTCATTTCATTTAAGTTGTCAAGTTCTGTGGCATAAAGTCCTCCATAATACTCCTTACACCCCTTCTCGTGTCAGTAGGATCCGTAGTGATGTCCCATCTGTCGTTCCTGATGTTGGTTACTTGTGGCTTCTCTCTTTGTTTCTTTGTCAGTCTGGCTATAGATTTCAGTTTATTGATCTTGTTAATAACCAGCTTGTAGGCTGGGCATGGTGGCTCATGCCTGTAATCTCAGCACTTTGGGAGACTGAGGCAGGTGGATCACCTGAGGTCAGGAGTTTGAGACCAGCCTGGCCAACATGGTGAAACCCCGTCTCTACTAAAAATACAAAAATTAACTGGGCGTGGTGGTAGGCTCCTGTAATCCCAGCTACTCGGGAGGTTGAGGCAGAAGAATCACTTGAACCCGGGAGGCGGAGGTTGCAGTGAGCTGAGATCGCTCCATTGCACTCCATCCAGCCTGGGCAACAAGAGCGAAACTTCATCTCAAACAAGCAAACACTCAGCTTTTGGTTCCTCTGATATTTTCCCCTCTACTATTTTTGTTTCATGTTATTTTTACTCTATCATTTCCTGCCTTCTTGCTTTATTTGTCCGTTTATTAAGGCATAATTTACATTCAGTACAATTCCTTTTACGTGTACAGTTCCGTGAATTTTGGAAGTCCATAGTCATGTTGTTGTACCACAGTCATGATACAGAATAGTTCCCAAATTCCCAAATTCTCACGTCTTCCACATCTTGGTTTTCCTGCGCCAGCAGCTTGTAGGTGGCCCCACTGCACGCAGCCGTCGTGCCTGCCACCTCCCCCGAGAGGGCCTTCCGGTGCTGCAGACCCCGAGCTGCCAGGGGGCTTCACTCCTGGCCCCTGCCGAGGAGTCTTCCATCAAGTGGATGGACCCCAGCTTGTTTGTCTTTCCTCACTTAAGGGACATTTTTCCCCCATTTTTTGGCAAGTTTGATGCATTGTTTTGAATTTAATTTATTTGGTTTCTTGGAGTAAAAAGTTAGACCGTTGATTTGAGACCTTTTTTAAAAAAAAGTTTGAGATATCTACATGTGATGAAACCCACCAATTTTGAGTGTGTGATTCAGTGAATTCTAGCGTTTTCACAGCGTTGCACAAGCGTGGACACATCCTGCATTCAGAACACTCCTGTAGCCGTGACACAGACCCACAGGCCCCCTGTCACTTCTGCAGGCTTTTCTGCAGGGAACGCTCACTGCTGTGCGTGTCCCCCGGGCACCGTGGCTGTGTCCCCTCTGGGCTCTCCATGCTCCTAGCCCGTTGTCCTGTGGAGCTCTATGTGGGCGTAGCCTCATCTGATCAGCTGGTTTGCTCAGGCAGCACGGGGGGCTCAGGAGCTGCATGCACAGGTGTGACTTTGCACATGGGTGCCCAAACAGGTGCGTCCTCCCAGGTGTGCACCCACAGATGTGTCCTCACGGGCGTGTGCCTGCAGGTGTGTCCTCACGGGTGTGTCCTCATGGGCATGTGCCTGCAGGTGCGTCCTCATGGGCGTGTGCCTGCAGGTGCGTCCTCATGGGAGTGTCCTCATGGGTGTGTGGCTGCAGGTGCGTCCTCAGGGGTGTGTCCTCATGGGAGTGTCCTCATGGGCGTGTGACTGCAGGTGCATCCTCAGGGGTGTGTCCTCACGGGCATGAGCCTGCAGGTGCGTCCTCATGGGTGTGTCCTCACGGGCACGAGCCTGCAGGTGCGTCCTCACTGGCGTGTCCTCAGGGGCATGAGCCTGCAGGTGTGTGCCAGCAGCAGGAGGGAGATGCTCTCCAGGCCCCTCCACAGGGTCCTCGCGGCACGGGTTTGGCCTCCGTGTGGACAGATGGGCTGGGCTTCTTTGGTGCTGGTCTTGCTGTATTTTGCTGAATCCCAGGCCTGTGCGGGCCTCTGGGCTGATTCCAGCTGAGACAGGCCTCCTGCTCAGTCCCCCCTGCGGAGCTGATGCAGGGTGGGCTGGCGAGGGTGCTCGTGGTGCTGGTTCGTGAGGACATGGCCTCAGTGCCTCCCAAGCTGAGCCCCTGCGGTGGCCCCAGGAGGCCTGGAGCATCGGGGTGTCAGCACCACCAGCCTGGACTTCCCTGGGCCTTCCAGGGTAAGCCTCTGGGCTCCGGAAGGTTCCGTGGCTCTCTGTCTGTGGAGCTGGTGAGAAGGCTGGAGGGCCAGATGGTTTCATCGCTGAGGGAAGCGCTGTACTCACCTGATGGCCGATCTTGGGGCACTCCCAGTGCCTGCTGCCTGTTGCTGTCCCTGAGCTCTGGTGAGCTCTGGTATTCCTGTCATTCCTGGAGCAACTCTGTCCTGTTTTTGAGCCTGCCTGGGCCCAGGAAGCCCCAACTGTGTTCTCTGTGTAGTCACTGCTGTTGGTTTTGGAGGGAAAGATGGGGGCCGCTGTGGGCAGGGCTGGTGGCTGGTGGTGGCCACGTGGCTCTGGGGGTGTAGCATCCAGGCTGGCTGCTGCCAGTGGGAAGGTGTCCTGGGGCTCCCGGCAGGGTCTGGGCAGTGCTGGAGCTGGGCTTTGCCTGGGAAGCTGCCGCCTGGCCCCCACAGCTTCCCCAAGAAGGGCCTGAGCCCTTGGGGGCAGCTGGCGTCTGTGAGGATCCGGGATGGGGGCTGTCTGCTCCTGCTGGGAACGGCCCCTCCAGATGCATCTCCCTGTCCCTGACCCAGCCTGTCAGTCCATTTTGGTTGCAGCCACCCCTCCCTGATGGTGTGGGGGCTTCGCTTCCTCTGTTTATTCCTCGCCTGAGGGAGCAGAGGTGAGGGGATGACACTGCCCCGCCTGAGCCCCGAGTCCCTGGGCCACGGGAGGTGGGACTGGGTCTGGCCTTTGGTGCCACAGGTGGCACTCTCTCTGTTGCTGTTTGCAGACTACGTCTACTTTGAGAACTCCTCCAGCAACCCATACCTGATCCGGAGAATCGAGGAGCTCAACAAGGTACTGGGGGGCCCTGGTGTTGCTGCAGGGGGGTAGTGGGTGGGGGCTACGCCAGCTCCTGCCCTGTGGGTGGCCAGTGTGGGTGGCCCCCTTTCGGGGCTGATCTTGGACTGGCCACTGCACAGGCCCTTCAGTGACTCCGTCCACTGTCACCTGCACCGTGGCTCCTCCTTGGAGATACTGAGTGAGGGGCCTGGTGGCCTCATGCAGGACCCAGCGCAGCTGCCCTGAGCTGCCTGCCCACTCTACACTTGGTCTGTGGGTGCTGGGTCCCCTGAAGATGCCAGTGTCCCCTGGGGAGCCCGAGCGGAATGGTGTGATTCTGAAACCAACCAAAGGCTGCAGAAAGCCATACTCGGTGCCCCTGCCCTGCCCGAACCCTGGCAGCCAGCCCTGCAGGGCTGTGAGCTCTGCCCCCACCCCTGAGGTGTCTGCATGGCTGGAAGCACCCTCCCTGGTCACTCAGGCAGCCCTGCAGGGCTGTGAGCTCTGCCCCCAACCCTGAGGTGTCTGCGTGGCTGGAAGCGCCCTCCCTGGTCACTCAGGCAGCCCTTGCTCCCACCTGGTTTGTGTCTGCCATGAGTCCTTGGCAGTTGCTTGCTGTTTGGTCGGGGGACGTGGTTGTGCCCATGCATTGAGCCTGGCAGCACCAGATCCTTCCTGGGGGGTGGTGACACATGGGCCCCTCAGCCCCAGCCACTCCTGGCCTCCACTGCCTCGGCACAGCCTCCGTCCCATCAGCTCGGGAGACAGAGCCGTAGATGGCCATGGAGGTGTAGGGCGCCCGCACACCCTGGGAGCCTTCTCGCTGTCCTCAGGGGTGGTGGGTGGGTCCCCCAGCGTCCCTTCTCCTCCTCCTGGTTGGAGACTTTCTAAGGGTGTTGAGGGAGGGCAGGTTGTCCCCACCAGTGGACACATGGTTCCAGCAGAGAGTGGGGTGGGGTGCTGGGTGCTTCACAGACCTCTCTGTGCCTGCCTGCAGGGCTCCTGAGCCCCCGATCCCCTGGAGCCAGTGGCCCGATGGCTGCCTTCTCCTAGGAGCCCTGCCCACTCGGCAGGCCTGGGGCACTCGGGCCCTTGGTGTTCCATCTGGATGCTGCAGGCTCACCTGGGAGAAGCTGCCTTCCTGGACCTCAGGCTTGGTGGCAGCGGTGACGTGGGGTTCTTGGGATCAGAGGGGGCAGCGGGGGGAAGGTTAGCGCGCCACCTCTGACGTAGCCATGCTGGGCTCCGGGCTTCCCTGGCTGCGCTTGTCGAGGGCCATTCCCTGCGGTATCTGCCACCACCTGGGGCCGAGGAGCATGGGGTGCGACATCTGCTCCCCCGCAGCTTCCTGGGAGGTCTGAGGGCCAGGCCTGTTTGTTGGAGGCACAGGCAATGACCTGGGTGTCTTCTGAGTCTGCCTCACTGCCCCTGCTGGGCAGGGCCTGCCCGCCTGCAGAGCAAGGCCACTTGGGTACTGCCGGAATGGGGCGCCACTCCTGTGGCTGAGCCTCCTGAGTGCGGGGCAGCACTTTACGCATCCCAGCATGTGGACTGTAGGGAAACAGGTGCAGAGGGAGGTTCCTCAGCTGACGCTGAACCATGGCTGGGGGAGGTCCTGTGTCCCTCCTGGTCTGTGTAGTGGAGGGGCGGCCGGCAGATGGCACTGCTGGCCCCACACAGCCAGCTGGCAGGCAACCCGGGGCGGGAGGCTGCAGTGCCTCCGTGGGCGCCTGGCCGAGTGCCACTGCTGGGAGGTGCCACTGTCAGGAAGGTTCCCTCGTGCTGCTTCCGGCTTCCATGTGCAGACAGTAGATTGCAGGCGTGTGCAGGCAGGGGGCTGGCTTCCAGCCCTTGGGCGATGTTCAGTTACACATGTAGCATTGCACACGCTCAGAGGCGTCCCCTTCGTCCTAGGACTCCCTCCTCCTCAGGGCCAGGGCCACATGGCGTGGGCACTTGCCTGTCTCTGGGCGGGACACCAGCCTGTGAGGGGCACGACTACTCTCTTGGACTGTTCAGGCAGGGCAGCCGAGCCAGACGCTCACCATGTGGAAAAGAACCCGCAGGCCTGCGACAGAGTGCGGCCAGTGCCCTCCACGCCAAGGAGCTCCAGGCGGGGCTTCCAGGTGGGCGCAGCTGGTTGAGTACAGACCTCCCCTCTGTTCCCTGGACTGAACGCCCCCTCAAATAACAAGAAAGTGGTGCTGGGGCTCTGCACCCACAGGGCAAGGAAGGTGGGAGAGGCGGTGCCACTGGGAGGTATGGGCACAGCTTGGAAGGCAGCCAGGCAGACTGGGCAACCTGAGAGGCCCTGGCCCTGGCCTGGGTCAGGATGGGGAGAACAGGAACCATGGTGACATGTGGCTGGCAGCGCGGAAGGCCTGTCTGGGGGGTCAGGTGGTCCCACAGAGCCCTTCCCTGGGCTGGAGCAGTGGACTCAGAGGACCCAGATTTGGGGCACCAGACCCAGGCCAGCACAGTTCGTGCGGGGGCTGGAAGTGGGGATCGCCTGGCTCATGGCCTGTCCCCTGGTGGGCCCCCCCGCCCCTCTTGCCTCCTTGGCTCCCAGGACCCTAGCGGCCAGACTTCTAAAGCCCACAGACCCAGCTGCTGGCATCGGGGACCCAGCAGAATGCCCGCTACCCCAGCACCCATGGGTGCAGCCCATGCAGCGAGCTGCCCAGCACCGGGGAGGCTCCCAGGGATGAAAAGCCGCAAGGCGTATGGGGCGGGGCGGGGGGGCTTTTAACAGGAAGGTCAGCCAGCACATGTAAAAATTGAACTCAGAGGCTGGACGCAGGGGCTCACGCCTGGAATCCCAGCACTTTGAGAGGCCGAGGCGGGCGGATCACAAGATCAGGAGATCGAGACCATCCTGGCTAATACGGTGAAACTCCGTCTCTACTAAAAATACAAAAAATTAGCCGGGCGTGGTGGCGGGCGCCTGTGATCCCAGCTACTCGGGAGGCTGAGGCAGGAGAATGGCGTGAACCCGGGAGGTGGAGCTTGCAGTGAGCCGAGATCCCGCCACTACACTCCAGCCTGGGCGACAGAGCGAGACTCTGTCTCAAAAAAATAAAAAAGTAAAAAAGGAACTCAGAGGAAGGGCCAGTGCAGGGAACAGAAGGAAACTAAAGCAAAACAAAGCCCGTGAATGTTCTCTGAGAAATGGATGGGATCCATCCTGGGATGTGGTCAGATGAGAGGAAAGCTCTTGACACTTGGGTTAGGAGAAGTAGCAAATGAAATGAAAGGATCAGGTGATAAAGTTGAGGATACCGCACAGAAGATGGGGCAAAAACACAAAGAAACTAGGAGAGAAAAAAATCAGACATCAGTCCATTGGTCCAACGTCCAGTTAATAGCAGAGAAGGAGCGAGCAAAGCAATAAAGAGGGGCCCCTTCAAGGTGTATTTAAAATTTTAGAACACGGGAGAAGAAATGTGTTTAGAGAAAAAGTGGGTCACACACGAAGCACCGGAGTCAAAACCCACTTTGCCTTTCGGCAGCCGCGTTCAGGTGTGGAGGCTCCACGCCCAGCCAAGCTCCATCTCCCGGAAGGCAGATGAGTGAGGTTTCCTGACTGAGGCCTTGGAGTGCACTCCTCCGCGCCTTTCCAACACGAGGGAGGCGCAGGTTCCTCCCGCCCAGGAAGATGCGGCCCCTGGTGCAGGCAGCAAGCAGGGTGGACCCCAGCTCTGGGAGGGGCCTCGCAGGCGCCCTGATATGAGCCCTTTCTCTTTGGGAGCTCTGCTGCCGAGCACTTTAGGGAAGAATCTGTGATGATTCCATGAAAAACTAGGCAAGTGGAGAAAAAAGACGATTGTTAATCTCAGGAAGCAAAGGTGTTCGAAGGAAGAGAAGAAAGAATGGCCTAGTGTGGCCTCACCGCCTTTACCTGTGTGTGCAGGAGCGTCTCAGAACAGACCCCGAGTGTGACTGAGTCCGCTGTGTGCAGGAACACAACACAACAGAACAGACCCCGAGTGTGACTGAGTCCGCTGTGTGCAGGAACACAGCAGAACACAACAGACCCCGAGTGTGACTGAGTCCGCTGTGTGCAGGAACACAACACAACAGAACAGACCCCGAGTGTGACTGAGTCCACTGTGTGCAGGAACACAGCAGAACAGACCTTGAGCGTCATGGAATGCACACAGTGATCCTGGAGGGTGGGGTGCATGTGTGGCAATGGGAGGCCTGGCCTGAGGCGCTGAGCTGGTGGGAACCTGAATGCGGAAGAGCCTGGCCCCACGGTCCCAGCTGCCCGGGTGGGGTGGCTGCGGTCATGTGTTCTTGCAGGGTTCATGGCTCGCTGAGACATTGGATGGTCTGTGTGTGTCACTGTGATCAGATGTGGATGTAACCCCACTGCGGTGGAGCCTGTCAGGGACACAGGAGCCAACAAAGCGAGAACCCGGCGGCCAGGGTAGGGACAGCTCGACCTGCAGGAGGGTCAGGCCACATTGGATCATGACTTGAAGCAGAGCATGGTGGTCCCTGGGTTCACACCACCATAGTGAGCAGATACAGATGCGAAGGGGAGAGGAGATGCACGTCCCAAACAGAGGAATTCCACCCTCGAGAACGCCCGGCTCCCGGCAGGCTGTGCAGAGCAACTGAGCACTTTTCTCTTTATTCTTTCTTTTTTGTTGTTGCTTTTTTGAAACAAGGTCTTGCTCTTTTGCTCAGACCAGAGTGCAGTGGCACGATCTCAACTCATTGCAGCCTTGACCTCCCAGGCCCAAGTGATCCTCTCACCTCAGCCTCCCAAGTAGCTGGGACTACAGGCGCACACCACTGCATCTGGTTAATTTTTAAAACACATTTTATAGAGATGAGGTTTCACCATGTTGCCCAGGCTGGTCTTGAACTCCTGGGAGTGAGCCACTGCCCCCAACCCATTTATAACATTAAACCAAATTATCTTTAAGAAAAGTGGCCAGGTGCCTTGGCTTACTCCTGTAATCCTAGCACTCTGGGAGGCCAAGGCGGGCAGATTGCTGGAGTCCAGGAGTTCAAGATTAGCCTGAGCAATGTGGTGAAACCCCGTCTCTACAAAAAATTTAAAAATTAGCCAGGTTGGCTGGGTGCGGTGGCTCATGCCTGTAATCCCAGCACTTTGGGAGGCTGAGGCGGGTGGGTCACGAGGTCAGGAGATAGAGACCATCCTGGCCAACATGGTAAAACCCCGTCTCTACTAAAAATACAAAAATGAGCCGGTGTGGTGGTGGGTGCCTATAGTTCCAGCTACTCAGGAGGCTGAGGCAGGAGAATCGCTTGAACCCGGGAGGTGGAGGTTGCAGTGAGCTGAGATCGCACCACTGCCCTCCAGCCTGGGCGACAGAGTGAGACTCCATCTAAAAAGGCCGGGTGCGGTGGCTCACGCCTGTAACCCCAGCACTTTGAGAGACCAAGACGGGCGGATCACGAGGTCAGGAGATCGAGGCCATCCTGGCTAACACGGTGAAACCCAGTCTCTACTAAAAAATACAAAAAAATTAGCCGGGCGTGGTGGTGGGCGCCTGTAGTCCCAGCTACTCGGGAGGCTGAGGCAGGAGAATGGCGTGAACCCAGGAGGCGGAGCTTGCAGTGAGCCGAGATTGCACCACTGCACTCCAGCCTGGGCGACAGAGCAAGACTCTGTCTCAAAAAAAAAGCCAGGCATGGTGTAATTGGACTGTGGTCCTGGGAGATGGAGGCTGCAGTGACCTGACATCACACTGCTGCATTCTAGTCTGGGCAACAGAGTGAGACCCTATCTCAAAAAATTAAAAAGTTAGGTGAGGCTGGGTGCTGTTTACACCTGTAATCCCAGCACTTTGTGGGGCTGAGGCAGGCAGATTGCTTGAGGTCAGGGGTTCCAGACCAGCCTGGCCAACATGGCAAAACCCTGTCTCTACTGAAAATACAAAAATTAGCTGGTCGTGGTGGCTCACGCTTGTAATCTCAGCTACCTGGGAGGCTGAGGCAGGAGAATCACTTGAACCCAGGAGGCAGAGGTTGCAGTGAGCCAAGATCACAACACTGCACTCCAGCCTGGGCGACAGAGTGAGACCCCATCTTAAAAAAAAAAAAAAAAAGAGTTATAAATAGTATTCCATTAGGCACTTGCACTGTGATTAGAATTACAGCACAATTCTTGCAGTAGCAAAGATGTTATAAAAACTCGTTCAGAAAACATACGTGCTTCTCTGGTGGCGTTTTACAGCCGTCTTGACTTGGAGACGTTTGTCAGCCAGGCCAGGTGGGAGGGCTGGTCCCATGCGGGGGGTCCAGGCTGCGTCCGCCGCTAGGGCCGTGGCTGCTGTGCAGGTCACCCCAGAGGGGCTGGGATAGCTGGGCGTGGCCTCCCAGGAGCTGACTGAGGTCCTACCCAGTGTGGCGGGGGCCTTTTCCTCCTTGGGACCCTGCTGTTCTCAGGTGGTACACTGGGGTCTGGAAGGGAGGGAGAATGGAGACACAGGTTGAGGTTGGGTGCACACGCCCGCCTTCTCCCCTGGGATAGACGCCACGGGCGTCCAGAGCTGCAGGATTTGCTCCATTTGTGAAGTGCCCTCCTGGAGTCCCGAGGGGTGGTGTGGTTACACCTGCAGTCCCTGGACGGCAGGGTCCGGCCTTGGAGCCCCTCCTGGGAGCTGTGCAGCCCGGGTTTGGTCGCGTTTCTCAGACGCCCCTGCCTTGCTGTTACAGACGGCCAATGGGAACGTGGAGGCCAAAGTGGTGTGCTTCTACCGGAGGCGGGACATCTCCAGCACCCTCATCGCCCTGGCCGACAAGCACGCAAGTGAGTCCGGCCTTCCCTGGGGTGCCCGCCTGGCGGGAGGGTCGGCTGGGGAGGGCTGGCGGGGTCCTTCTTCCCTAGGGCCCATCGGCATCCTGGCCTCGTGGGGCCACCCTCTGCCCAACTCACTCTGGCGTCTCTTTTTCTCCCTTCCACAGTGGGCGGGGGTGTCCTGGCTCCGTTTCCTCGGGGGCTGGGTGAATGAAGTCCTCGCACGCCCCCCGGAGTGGTCTGTCTCTCACTGGCATCCTCTGCAAGCTTGTCATGGTGTGGCTGGGTGTGGGCATCATTGATCGAGGCTTCTTTTTCCCTTCTATGATGACTTCTGGAGACTTTCCAGGCTGGTGGGACCCTGCTGCCTGCACTTGCCAATGTCTCTCTCTTTTTAATTTTGCGGAGAGGCTTCTGTTGGGATTCTGAGTAGTGTTTTCAGGAAAGCAGTCCTCTCCTTATTCTTTACGATTCAAACCCAAGTTTAGTAACCTGGCTGGGAGGGGCTGCTGTGGCCAGCACAGCGTGTGGGAGGAAGCCACTGGCTGCATGGGAATGCCCTCAGCCTTGGGGACCCAGCTTCTCCCCCGGGAACAGGTGCTCGCAGGTGGTGGAGTCTCCTGTGCCGGGGGATGTTGACTTCAGAGCCAGGAGCCAGAGGCACCCCCACGCCCTCCACATGCTACTGACACAGGGCCTGCCGAGCTGGGCCCCACCTGCACCAGACACAGTGTGGTACCCCACTGAGGCCCTTCATGTGTCGGTGGGGGCAGGCATGAGGGGCATTTTTGGCTTCCACTCTGACACATCACCTGGGGTGGGATCTGAGCCCAGGCTGAGGCTGTGGTCTGTAGGGTGACATTTCCCAGTAGGTGAGGCATGTGACTGCCCGGGTACCCGTGTCGCTGGGGTGGGCCAAGGTCCCACCTGTAACCTCCCACGACCCCTAATGGGGTGAGGTCCAGGGACTGTGGGTTTGCGGTGGGTCGGGTGGGAGGACCCTCGCATCTTCTGCCCCGTCCCAGCGCTGTGGGTGAGGGGCAGGAAGTCAGCCCAGGCAACCTCCCCCTGCTCTGGGAGGGGCTTAGGGACAGGACAGACCATCCTGCCACCGATGCCTTGTTCCTGAGCCTTTGCTGGGAGTCGGCCAGGGCAGGCGCTTGTGGAAGGAAGGTGTCCCTTAACCCCACTGCCTTGCCCACCGGACAGCTGGGACCTTTCCTCAGCAACCAGTGGATGCGGACGTGAGCTGCCCTGGGTCAGTGCAGCTGGGCCGGGCCCCCGAGCCTGGGTCCACTCTGGACACTGGGCTGTGGGGCCTGTGGCTGGCCCAAAGGGAGCTGCCAGTTGACCATGGGCTTTCTCTGGCTTTGTGAGGAACTGGACCTCCTAGCTCTCTGCTCAGAGGAGGGGAGCGTTCAAGGTGGGGCATGGTGATCCTTGACCTCTGACCCCAAAGCCTGTGTACTCCACTGCTGCACTCGGCGGGCTCCAGGCACCAAGGAGGAGAGCTGGGGATGTTGAAGGTCCACAGGCTACACATTCTGGAGGGGTGTTTGGTGTGGCCCTTGGCCCTGCAGGTGCTGGGTGCCAGTCAGCAGCACGGCTGGCGGTTCTTAGTGTTGGAGGCTGGCCTATGTCGACTCTGCAGGGCTGGCCCGCTGGAGAAGCAGTGGTGGGGAGCGGCCTGGCTCGCTGGAGAAGCAGTGGTGGGGAGCGGGCTGGCCCGCTGGAGAAGCAGTGCCCAGGCTGAGCGGCCGCAGTGTGGCCCTGCCAGTCTGTGTGGCCTGGGGAGTCAGGCGCCACCGTTGAGTTGGGCATGTTTATGGCTGGCCCAGGGTGGATCCTGTCTCTGTCCTCTGGCACCTGGGGGCACAGTGTCCCTGCTCCAGAGAGCCTGTATCAGTGGTTTAGTGGTTTTTGAGGGTACTGTGGCCCCCTTGGCTGAGGTTCTGCTCTCAGACGCCCCAGAGGATGGCCTTTTGCTGGAAGAGCCCCAGAAGGGGACTCCAGACATAACGTGATTAGAGGTATCAGAGGGCAGGTTTTCCAGAAGGGCCTCGTTGGGGCTGATAGGACTGGGTGGAGAGCAGTGTCCCAGCTCGAGCACTGGCCCCCCCAGGTACACAGCACAGCCCCTTTGGACGGTGCTCCCTGGAAAGCTGCGTGGCGGCCCCTCTGCAGGGCGTTCCTATGAACTGAGAGCCCAGCTGCAGGGAGCAGGCGTCATGGGTGATGGGTCTGCCGCTGGTCCAGGGACTCAGAGCGCGGCCCCACTCTTGCCTGGCGGCTGGGCCTTGCGGTGATTCTGCAGGGCCCACACCCCCCGGGGTTGTGTCAATCTCCGTTTCTCCTGCTTCTCTGTGAGCTCATGGCAGCCAGGGTGAGGCCCCCAGCTGATCCCAGGGACAGGTGTGAGGACACTCTGGGAGGCCTCTGGCTCTCCCACGTCACTGCCTCCACCCAGCCCCTGCTGGGGCGTCCAGCCCACAGTGCAGGCCTCAGGGTGGAGGGTAGACACCCGCCAGGCTGCACTGTGGCCCCTGTGGCAGAGAAGCCCTCCCCCCGGCAGGGCTGTGAGCATGAAGCCTTTCTCAGGACAGAATGACAGGGAGAGGGGAACGTCCCTCCTCAGAGGAGGGCGTGGGGGCCCTGGAGACCACAGCCAAGAGTGGGAGTGAGGGCACAGCCTGGGCCTCACGCTTAGGGGTGTATCCAGGGTCTGAGGGAGGGTTCAGAGTGTGAGGGGTGCAGGGTACACTAGCCAGCCCCACCTCCTGCCTGGGTGTTTCTGCCTGTTGAGGGTCTTCTGAGGAGCTGTAGGCCCACCTCGCCCGCATCTCCGACAGGCTGCACCACAGAGCCCTGTTCTGCTGACCGGGACGCTGGTGAAATGGGAGTTTCGGAGCCGCTGTGGGCTCCTGTCCAGGCTGGGTCAGTGCTCGGATGGGGCCTGGCATAGGGCGGGCGTGAACAAAAGCCAGCCTCTGGTCTGGGGCTGGTGTGTGGGCCTCTGGGCCCTGGTGATGTCTGAGTTCAGGGTGCAGTTTGCTCGTGGGTCCCCAGAAGTGGGAGCGAGTGAGATGTGTTGGCCTGGGATGAGAGGACTGGGGCTGTCCTGGTCGGCCCTGCCCTGTTCTATGGACCGGGAGGAGGTGAGGCTCAGCCGCCAGACACCCCAGGCTTTTGAGGCCCAGATAGGGCCGGCCCAGAACAGGCCCAGCATGGCTGCTCCCAGCCTCAGTCTTAGCTGTTGGCGCCTGGGAGGGCCCAGAGGAGCCAGGACTTCCTGCAGGCACCACAAGGGGGCCGCAGAGAGCGAGCAGCCCGGCTGGCTGTGGTCCCATCTGGGGACCTTGGGCTCAGAGAGCCGGCAGGGCGCTGAGCGGGATGAGTGGCCCACTGGCGGCCGGTGCTGAGCGTGCGAGGGGCGGTGGGGAGCACCACTGCACGCCCCCATTTTGGGTGTTATAAGAACCCTACTTGGGTTCCTAGCACAGGGCAGGAATCCCCATGCTGCTGGCCGGTGCCCGGCCCCGGTCTCATCTGGACAGCCTGTTCTGGGAAGCCCCAGTGGAGTGGGGGCAGGGGTGGCCTCTGGACAGGGGCCCTCCACAGCCAGGCTTGTCTGGGCTCTTCCCAAAGAGGCTTGGCACTGGGTGGATGGGCAGCCAGAGTGGGGGGACGTCGAGGCCCAGATGATCTTCAACCGGGTGGTCTTCACGCCCCACCGGGAGGCCTGCGGCCCCCGTTCTGCCCTGCCCCCTGGCGGCACAGCCCTCGGTCCGGGCCCTGGGCAGGGAGCAGGCCGCCACCCTGTGCTGACCGTGCTGCCGGGTGCTGTCTGTCTGTTATATAGCCCTGTCAGTCTGCTATAAGGCCGGACCGGGGGCGGACAACGGCGAGGAAGGTAAGAGCCGGCCTCCGCAAGGAGGGCGTCCTCCTGTCTGTGTCCCTGGGCTGGGGGCGGCAGCGCCGCTGAGGGACAGAGTTTGGGCGGGCCGCCTGCATGCCTGTGCCCTGCGCCCGGCCGGCCCGGCTGAGGAGGGGCCCTCCCTTGTGTCCGGCCCACGGCCCAGGCTTGGTGCGGCCCCGGCCTGAGGGTGACCTGCTGGTGTGGGAGGTCTGTGGTGGGCTGTATGGGGCTGTCTGGCCACGAGATGGGGACGGACAGAGGGCGGCTGCCCCTCGCCCTCCTGGCCTGGGCTCTTGGCAGCCGCCGACTCCCCCGCTCCTCTTGCTCTTGCCTGCTGCTTCTGGGGCTGGCCCGGACCTTGTTCTCCCTCCTCCTTCCATCTTCATGCCCTGGGGAGTCTGGGCCTTTAGGGTGCCTGGACTTAAAGGGCACGTGGGCACCAGAGTGTCTGCAGGGGTACCTGCCAAGGAGCCGCCGGGCCGCCATAGGGTGGGGCAGTGGGACAGTGTCCGGCAGCAGGAGGAGGCACGCCTCCCAGGACTGGGCCTCCTGCGTGCTGGCGCCAGGTGGGGCTGGTGGGGTGGGCCTTGGTCTGGCAGTGTGCGTCTGCCGCGGTGCTGACAGGGGCTCCTTGTCCTTCAGGGGAAATAGAAGAGGAAATGGAGAACCCGGAAATGGTGGACCTGCCCGAGAAACTAAAGCACCAGCTGCGGCATCGGGAGCTGTTCCTCTCCCGGCAGCTGGAGTCTCTGCCCGCCACGCACATCAGGTAGCCCCCAGCAGCTCCCGCCCTGGGCCCCTCGGGCTGCCCTCGCCTTTCCAGCCTGCCCGTCCTTCTCTTCCAGGGGCAAGTGCAGCGTCACCCTGCTCAACGAGACCGAGTCGCTCAAGTCCTACCTGGAGCGGGAGGTGAGGCCCAGCCCGGCCTGGTCTGCCGCAGCCAGTCCCGGGCCACTGTTTCCTCTACCTATGACCTCTGCTGGCCTGGGCGGCGGAGACGATTTTCCCTCCTCCCTCTAGGCCCAGGCTGTTCTGGGGGGAAGCGGGGATTGCGTCCTGACTGTCACTTCCAGGTGTCCTGGTGTGTGGCCGCCCCCACCCTACGCGTCCAGAGTTGTGGGCCAGGAGCTTGGAGCTCTTTCCTCTTGCCACTGCCACCCAGACAGCCAGCGAGGGGAGGTCCCCCTGGGGAGGGTGTGGCTGAGGCAGGTGGGGGCAGGGGCCACCTGAGTCTTCGCAGGAGTCTTGGCTGGTCTCTCCTGGGCGGTGGGCAGAGTCCTGGTAGGCCCACCTTGGGGGTCACTGTGATTATACGGTGTTACCAGGTGATTCTTATCTGGGGGTCACCTGTGATTATACGGTGTTAACCTGCCGTATAGCATCCCCCAAGGCGTGACAACCAAAAAATGTGTCCCGACAATGCCATACATCCCTGGGGAGCAGTGTCGCCTGACGGAGAGCGGTGGCACTGAGGCTGCTGTGAGATCCAGCGAACGGGAGGGTTGGGTTTTCTGAGGCCACGTGGGGGCAAAAGCGTCTGGAGTGTGTTGGTTCCCTGGAGTGCCTGTCACAGTTGCGGGGCACACCTGCCAAGGGGCAGGCGCATCTCCAGGCCTAGGGCTTGGCCTCCCACGGGCTCTGCTGCCACCTGGCTGGAGTCTTGTGACCTGAACACCCCCAGCGTGTCCAGTCAGCTCAGATGCAGGTTGCTGGATGCGGCCCCCACCCTGCCCATCCCAGGGGGGCTCATCTCTGTCGTGGCCATCGGCGCTCTGGCATGGGCTCTGAAGGATCCAGGATGGCCACGGTGTGTCCCAAGCTCAGCCCTGCACTACCTCTGTGGCCCCGGTCCCCATTCCCACCACACAGCCTGGAAACAGGCGTGAAGGGCGACAGTGGCTCAGCTAGGGCTGTGGTCGTGCCTTAGCTCAGAGTCATGAGCAGGCAGAGAAGAGCAGGCAGGGCTTGGCCTGGGGTCGTAACACATGCGTGGAGCATGGGCAGGGCTCGAACCCTCTCAGGCTGCCAGACCAGCTTCCCAGAAGGCTGAGCCACAACATGCTGGGCGGGAGCAGAGGCTGTGGGGGTCGCTGTGAAGGCTTCCACTCAGGAATGAGGAGTGCCCTTATTGACAGAGCCACACAGAGAGGGTGAGACTGCAGAAATGTATCTGTGGGCACAGAAAATGTTTGTTAGCAAAAAAGGCCCGTGAGGAAGCAGCAGGTGCAGTGACAAGCCTGTCTGCACTGTGTCCGCCCAGAAACGGCCGGGTCCATGCTTGCCGGGGACAAAACAGGCTGCTCAGGCACCCTGAAACCCTCCTGCTGCACGATGCAGCCCTTCCCCCCTTTTTCTTTTTCTTTTTTTGTTTTTTTTTTTTTTTTTTTTTTTTGAGACAGAGTTTCGCTCTTGTTGCCCAGGCTGGAGTACAGTGGCGCGATCTCAGCTCACTGCAACCTCCGCCTCCCGGGTTCAAGCGATTCTCCTGTCTCAGCCTCCCGAGTAGCTGGGATTACAGACGTGTGTCACCATGTCCGGCTAATTTTTTGTATTTTTAGTAGAAATGGGGTTTCACCATGTTAGCCGGGCTGGTCTCAAACTCCTGACCTCAGGTGATCATCCCGCCTCTGCCTCCCGAACTGTTGGGATTACAGGCATGAGCCACTGCGCCCAGCCACTTCCCTCTTCTTTCTTACCTGGGGTTTCTGAACAGCCCCAATATGGGAATTTAATGTAACAGGCTCAGGGTGAGTACACTTAGCACCTGGCAGAAGCTTGTGCCACTGGCCCCTGGGCGATCGTGCCCCTGCCTCGCCTCAAATAACCCTCACTGATGAAGTCCTGATAAACACAGGCTCATGTCACAGATAAGCAAGAGTGCAGAAACAGCACACAGCAGTCACAGACACACCCAGGCCCTGACCAGTGGCGCAGTCCGGCACCAAATAGAAACCACTTGTGTTTATTAATTTAAAGAAACAGGCCGGGTACAGTGGCTCATGCCTGTAATCCCAGCACTTTGGGAGGCCAAGGCCGGGGGAATCACTTGAGCTCAGGAGTTCAAGAGCAGCCTGGGCATCATAGTGAGACCTCACCTCTACAAAAGTAAAAAACATTAGCCAGGCGTGGTGGTGCACACTTACTGTTGTCCCAGCTACTCAGGAGGCTGAGGTGGGAGGATTGCTTGAGTCAAGAGGCGGAGGCTTCACTGAAGCAAGATCGCACCACTGTACTCTATCTTGGGTGATAGAGCAAGACCCTATCTCCAAAAAAAATAAAAGATCCAGGCAGAGTAGGAGCTGAGGCTGAGGCTGGCAGCTGGCCTCTGGATAGTCGTGTCAGTTCAAGAGGACGAAGGCCCTGAAGCATGGCTCGTGGTCACACATGGAGCAGGTGTCATGCTGGACTTTAAAGGTAGCTCTTGAAAGAAAACACGCAGAGTAGCTTTCAGAATAGGAGAGACAGGGAAAGCGGGTAAGGGCTGGAAAAGACGACCCACAGGAATCAGGAGGATGACCTGGAAACGGGAGGGTGATTGGACGCCAGGCACACATGCAGAAGAAAGTGCAGCCCTGGCTGAGGCCAGGTGCTCAGGCTGGGACTCCAGGGTCAGGCCCGGACAGGCCTGCTTCAAAAATCATCAGAACCAGCCCAGTGCAGGACACACAATGCCGGACAGCAAAAGGTTGGCAAAGGCCATGTCCTGGAAATGCCATCCCAGAGGCAGCCTGGGGGCCCTGGTGTGAGGTTGCCTGAGATGGAATGCTGGCGGGAAGGGCCGCGCCTGCTGCGCGGGTGGCGGCCGGCGGTGCTGAGCCTGGAATGCTCCGTAGCGCTCCAGCGGTGGCCGCTCCTCCAAGGTTGTGCCCAGAACTCCTGATTTCTGTTGCTCTTAAACACCTTGGATAAGTTACATCTTCACATTGCTGCTGCTGATAGGGATGGCTTTGTAGCCGGGCATAGCACACGCCTGTAGTCTCAACTACTTGGAGGCTGAGGTGGGAGGATCACTTGAACCCAGGAGGCGGAGGCCACAGTGAGCTGTGATTGCACTGCTGCACTCCAGCCTGGGCGACGGAGCGAGACCATGTTTCGAAAAAGGAAAATAAGTCTGCTGGGCGCAGTGGCTGACGCCAGTAATTCCAGCACTTTGGGAGGCCGAGGCGGGTGGATCACCTGAGCTCAGGAGTTTGAGAACAGCCTGGCCAACATGGTGAAACTCTGTCTCTACTGAAAATACAAAATATTAGCTAGGTGTGGTGGTGGGCACCTGTAATCCCAGCTACTTGGAAGGCTGAGGCAGGAGAATTGCTTGAACCCGGGAAACGGAGGTTGCAGTGAGCCGAGATCACGCCATTGCACTCCAACCTGGGCGACAAGAGCGAAACTCTGCCTCAAAAAAATAAAAAGGCAAATAAGTCATGGTTTTTGGGCTGTAGCCGTATCCACCCTGCCTTGGTAAAGGCTTGTGGAGCCTGGCCCCACCCCTGCAGCTGCTCATTGGCCCTGCCTCTGCTGACCCTCGGCATGTCTCCTCCGTGCAGTGTCATGGGGCAGGTGCATCCCCCAGTGACCCTCGAGGCCCCGCTGTAGGCTCCTCCCAGGCATGGCCGGGAGCTGTGGGGGCTCCTGCGCCCTCCCTCCCTCCTGCGCCCATGTCGCCCCACAAGAGCTCTGGGCAAGACCCTCCCAGCAGCCCGGCCGTGCTGACGCCTCTCTGACCCTCCCAGCAGCCTGACTGTGCTGACGCCTCTCTGTCTCCTGTGGTGTTTTCCAGGATTTCTTCTTCTATTCTCTAGTCTACGACCCACAGCAGAAGACCCTGCTGGCAGATAAAGGAGAGATTCGAGTAGGAAACCGGTACCAGGCAGACATCACCGACTTGTTAAAAGAAGGTAGGGTGGGCCGCCCTGGGCATGGAGCCCTCTGTCCTGTCCTGTCCTGCCGGGTGACACACTGGGTGAGAGGAGGCTGGGACATGGCCGTGTCAGTGATTCATGTGTGACTGGGGGCGGCAGGTGTAGGCCTGGGCTCTGTCCACATGGGTGATGCGTGTAGGCTGGTGTCCCGGAGCCTTCCCCCACCCACTCCTGGTGGTGTTGGGGTTCTGGGGAAGCCTCAGACCCTCAGGCAGGACGTGGTGATCAGCTGTCCTTGCACAGTGACACCTGGTTTCCTTCTGGCAGTTGTTTTTCTTTTTCTTTTTTTTCAGACGGAGTCTCGCTCTGTTGCCCAGGCTGGAGTGCAGTGGGGTGATCTCGGCTCACTGCAACCTCCGCCTCCCAGGTTCAAGCGATTCTCCTGCCTCAGCCTCCCGAGTAGCTGGGATTACAGGCGCCCGCCATCACGCCCGGCTAATTTTTTTATTTTTAGTAGAGACGGGGTTTCACCGTGTTGGCCACGTTGGTCTTGAACTCTTGACCTCAGGCCTCCCAAGGTGCTGGGATTACAGGCGTGAGCCACCGAGTCTGGCCTTGGCAGTTATTTTTCATTACTTTTTCTTTTTTTTGGACAAGGTCTGGCTCTGTCGCCCAGGCTGGAATGCAGTGGTGCAATCACAGCTCACTGCAGCCTCGACCTCCCAGGCTCAGATGATCCTCCCACCTCAGCCTCCTCAGTAGCTGGAACTACAGGGGCACCACCACACCCCCCTAGTTTTTTTGTATTTTTATTAGAGACAGGGTTTCGCCATGTTGCCCAGGTTGGTCTCAAACCCCTGAACTCAAGTGATCTACCTGCTTCGACCTCCCAAACTGCTGGGATTACATGTGTGAGCCACTGCACCTGGCCTCATTTTTTAAAGTTCTTTTTGCCTCCAGAAATTTTCTTCTGTGTGAATCTGCCCACGTTTCTTGTCTTGCCTGTGGGTGCCCCACCCTTGAGGCCTGCTGGGGCCGTGGAGCTCCGACGCAGTGCTCACCCCGGATGCTGGCAGCCTCCTCCCTCCACCGGGTGCTTCGGTAGCCCTGGTGGGAGGTCCTGGGGCTCACTGTCCCCTTCTCAGCCCTGTCCCTCATCTCCCCGCTGGGCAAGGCCGCGAGGCTGCCCTCGAGACGCAGGGCTCTGCCCCCGAGGGTGGGCGGGGACTCGCCTCCCTGCTTGCAGTTGTGATCAAGGCGTTTCGTGCTTGTCCTGTTTTGGTTTGTTTTGAGAGCGGGTCTTGCTGTGTCGCCCAGGCTGGACTTGAAGTCCTAGGCCCCAGCGATCCTCAAGCCTCAGCCTCCCGAGTAGCTGGTGCTGTTTCGTGTTCTTCTTGATTGTCCGTAAGGTGCTGGTGCGTCTCACAGGTGGCTGGGTGTGCCACCTCCTCCAGGCAGCTGTGGGCTCCAGCATTGGGCTCGTGGGCCTGCTACATTGCAAGCATCTGTGCTCTGGGAGGTGCTTGGCAGTGGGGGAAGACCCCCACATCTCTCCAGGCAGACAGGGCACATTGAGGGCTGGGCCTGGGGAGGAGGCCTCTGTGCTGAGGCCTGTGGGTCGGAGCCTGGGGAGGCCGCTGTGCTGGAGCCCGGCCTGTGGGTCTAAGTGTGGGGAAGTCACTGTGCTGAGGCCTGTGGGTCTGAGTGTGGAGAGGCCGCTGTGCTGAGGCCTGTGGGTCTGAGTGTGGAGAGGCCACTGTGCTGGGGCCCGGCCTGTGGGTCTGAGCATGGGGAGGCCGCTGTGCTGGGTCTGGGCCTGTGGCCTCCAGGGTGCCCTGCTATCATGCCAGGGTCTCCCAGCCTGGGGCTGTCTTGCCTTTCTGGCCTGGCCAAAGGTGAAGGCCTGGCAGCCGCACCCAGGTGGAAAGGCAGAGTCCGTGGCTGGGAGACAGGTGAGAACACAGATCACATGAGGGCCAGAGAGTGAGGAGCTGTCTCAGGTCAGAGGCCCTCAGCTGGCGCATCTGTACCTTCAGCCTGGGGCCAGTGGGCCTGTCAGGAGAATGGGCCTTGAGGTGCCCCCATCTTACCATGCACACCTGGAGAGACCTGGCGGAGCTCTGCAGGGTCTGGGGCGATGGGACTAAGGGTCCACAAGGCCGAGCCAGCCGCAGGAGCCGGCCTCCTCTCCCCACGCTGCCTTCCCCGCTGCCCTGCCGTTCCTTGGCTTTTGGGCCGCTGGTGCAAGGACCAGGGATCCCACCAGCTGGTGTGGGGCCGGGACGTGGCGTCCAGAGCTTTCCCCACCTCCGAGAGGCTGTGTCCCTCTTGAGTGATGGAAAATTGCACACTAGTTGTGCACCTGCCTTTAGTGAGTTTGAAATGTCAAAGGGAGTGCGACCATCATGACCAGCAGTGCGCATACACGGAGGCACCATGGCTTGTGTGGGTCACACCAAGGCTCAGCTTCTTGGCCGTCAGGGAGCTAGGCCCCAGCTTCCCCAGGGTACCCCTGAGCCAGGTGAGGAGTCCACACCAGGCTGAAGACCCCCCAGCCCGCCTTGCTGGTTCACACAGCCCCAGTCCCTGGCTGACCCCGTCCTCTGAGTCTGGCCAGGCATTGTTTCCTAGAGGCCGCATGGCCTGACCCTCCCTGGACACATGGCCCAGGATGTCCGGCCCTTGGGGCAGGGTCTGGGAGCCAGTGCCCCTTAGCGAGGGATAGCATTTTCTTGGGGACTTTCTAGTCTCAAGAGCTCTCTCCATGCTGGACCTGCAGCCGGGCGCCCCAGTGGAGGGCAGCCCCGCACTCCGTGGTCCTTGGTCTGGAACCTCGGTGCTGCCCAGGGCTGGAGGGGAGCTGCTTGCAGAGTCTGAGCCTGGCACCCTGCACTGAGCTATGGAGGCGGCTGAGAGGTGGACAGAGGACAATTGTGGAGCTCTTTCTCCAAGTCCTCCCCCAGGAGTCAGGCTCAGCCATGCTCAGACACACATTCTCCTGAGGGTGTCTCCCAACACCACGGTCTTGTTTTTTGGCGAGTAAAAGGCTGTTTCGTCAGAAACCCTCCTGGCCCTGGCCGACTGCAGGCGTCAGGTGGCCTCTTCACCAGCCTTGAGTTCTCCATCGTCCCAGCTCCCAGAAGACAGGAAACAACTGGTGACTCCAGAGGCACGCCCACTCCCTGGCCCCCGGCTCTGGCTGTGCCAGGCTTAGCCGCAGCTGCCCCAGAACCCCCTGGGGTGGAAGAGGGGCCAGGAGGGAGCCTGTGCCCCCAGAAGGTCCCTGGAGGTGGTCTGCCTGCTGCTGTGACGTGGCAGGGCCCTCTTGCAACAGCATGTGAACCCAAGTATCTCAAAATAAAAAGCTTGGGCCGGGCACGGTGGCTCACGCCTATGATCCCAACACTTTGGGAGGCTAAGGCGGATGGATCACCTGAGGTCAAGAGTTCGAGACCAGCCTGGGCAACATGGTGAAACCCCGTGTCTACTGAAAATACAAAAATTAGCTGGGCATGGTGTCGGTGCCTGTGGTCCCAGCTACTCAGGAGGCTGAGGCAGGAGAATCGCTTGAACCTGGGAGGCGGAGGTTGTAGTGAGCCAAGATCGTACCACTGTATTCCAGCCTGGGCGACAGAGTGAGACTCCGTCTCAAAAAATAATAATAATAATAATAATAATATAAATAAATAAATAAAAAGGCTTGATTTAAATTTACAAACCAACCTTCCCATCTCTTGTGGCCACAGTTCTTGGAGCCCTGCATTCTGGGTGGGCTGGGAGGCCCCTTGCGTGTGCACCCCAGCCCCGGGTTGAGAGGCCACTGTGTGCCTGTGTGTGCAACAGCCTCCGTCCAGCCTTGCACCCTGGCCTCACCTATGGGGCCCTGCAGCCCTTCCCCCTCCCCGTCCCAGCAGCTCCCCGCACCCGGGGAGGAGAGGCGCGGCCCGGCGCGCCGTGGGACCCCGTCTCAGAAAGGCCACACTTCCTCCCTGTAGGCGAGGAGGATGGCCGAGACCAGTCCAGGTTGGAGACCCAGGTGTGGGAGGCGCACAACCCACTCACAGACAAGCAGATCGACCAGTTCCTGGTGGTGGCCCGGTGAGTCCTGCTCCTGGGCAAGGCCAGCAGGGGTGGTGCCTGGAGCTTCTGTTCTCCCTTCCCTGTGGTGGGTGTTGGGGACGTGACAGTCTTGGATCCCATATCCCAACAAGAAGCCCATGCGCTGCAGCCCTGAGACCCCCGGTAGCAGTTCCCAGAGAGGCTCGGGAGTGCTGGGTCCAGGCCCTTCATTAAATAGAAGGGCGGCCCTTCTGGGGGGCAGGCCTGTGTGCCTGCCCATGTGTCCCTAATGGGGCTTTCCCAGGATGGGCCAGAGGTGCTTTCCCACTCCTGGGCCACTGGGAGCAAGTGGGCTGGGCCTGGTCATGGAGCAGAGCAGCTGCAGCCCGGGCAGACCCCTGGGGCAGGGCGAAGGCCGAGGCCCAGGAGAGGACCATGCACCTTCCCTGCCAGCAGCCTGGGAGGTGGAGAAAACCCCAAAAGAAGCCCCAAGGCGGCTGCCAATCTATCGGGATGCCCTCAGTTAGACGCACACGGGTTCTGGGGTGGGTGCCGGGCCCTACTCCGCAGCCTGGGGCCCAGGACACGAGGAGTCCTCGCCACCTGCGGGCTGCTCCCTGCGATGCTCATGCAGTCTGTCCCTGGTCCCTGGCGCCTGGGGAGCTGTGTGCCTGGGGGGAGTCCGCGCTGCCCGTGGCCCCTGGTCCCTGGTCCCTGGGGAGCTGTGTGCCTGGGGGGAGTCCGTGCTGCCCATGGCCCCTGGTCCCTGGCACCTGGGGAGCTGTGTGCCTGGGGGGAGTCCGCGCTGCCCGTGGCCCCTGGTCCCTGGTCCCTAGGGAGCTGTGTGCCTGGGGGGAGTCCGTGCTGCCCATGGCCCCTGGTCCCTGGCGCCTGGGGAGCTGTGTGCCTGGGGGCAGTCCGTGCTGCCCATGGCCCCTGGTCCCTGGTCCCTGGGGAGCTGTGTGCCTGGGGGGAGTCCGTGCTGCCCGTGGCCCCTGGTCCCTGGTCCCTGGGGAGCTGTGTGCCTGGGGGGAGTCCGTGCTGCCCATGGCCCCTGGTCCCTGGCGCCTGGGGAGCTGTGTGCCTGGGGGGAGTCCGTGCTGCCCATGGCCCCTGGTCCCTGGTCCCTGGGGAGCTGTGTGCCTGGGGGGAGTCCGTGCTGCCCGTGGCCCCTGGTCCCTGGCGCCTGGGGAGCTGTGTGCCTGGGGGCAGTCCGTGCTGCCCATGGCCCCTGGTCCCTGGCACCTGGGGAGCTGTGTGCCTGGGGGGAGTCCGCGCTGCCCGTGGCCCCTGGTCCCTGGTCCCTGGGGAGCTGTGTGCCTGGGGGGAGTCCGTGCTGCCCATGGCCCCTGGTCCCTGGCGCCTGGGGAGCTGTGTGCCTGGGGGCAGTCCGTGCTGCCCATGGCCCCTGGTCCCTGGTCCCTGGGGAGCTGTGTGCCTGGGGGGAGTCCGTGCTGCCCGTGGCCCCTGGTCCCTGGTCCCTGGGGAGCTGTGTGCCTGGGGGGAGTCCGTGCTGCCCATGGCCCCTGGTCCCTGGCGCCTGGGGAGCTGTGTGCCTGGGGGGAGTCCGTGCTGCCCGTGGCCCCTGGTCCCTGGCGCCTGGGGAGCTGTGTGCCTGGGGGAAGTCCGTGCTGCCCATGGCCCCTGGTCCCTGGCACCTGGGGAGCTGTGTGCCTGGGGGAAGTCCGTGCTGCCCATGGCCCCTGGTCCCTGGCACCTGGGGAGCGGTGTGCGTGGGGGAAGTCCGTGCTGCCCATGGCCCCTGGTCCCTGGCACCTGGGGAGCTGTGTGCCTGGGGGAAGTCCGTGCTGCCCATGGCCCCTGGTCCCTGGCACCTGGGGAGTGGTGTGCCTGGGGGAAGTCCGTGCTGCCCATGGCCCCTGGTCCCTGGCACCTGGGGAGTGGTGTGCCTTGGGGGAGTCCGTGCTGCCCGTGGCCGCTGGTCCCTGGCGCCTGGGGAGCGGTGTGCCTGTGGGGAGTCCCTGCTTGGCCGACACTGTGGTCAGCGCATCTCCTTTCCCCAGCTCTGTGGGCACCTTCGCACGGGCCCTGGACTGCAGCAGCTCCGTCCGACAGCCCAGCCTGCACATGAGCGCCGCAGCTGCCTCCCGAGACATCACCCTGGTAAGTGGGCCCAGGGCGGGACAGGTGAGACCTGGGGTGGCCCATGGCCCAGAGTGGCTGCGCCCTTCTTCCTACCAGGGCCCAGCACCTGCCCCAGGTATTCAGGACCCCTGCAGAGGTGCTGTCCCACCTGGACTGGCCTTTCCTATCCACCCCAAACTCGGCCAGACTGTGCTGAGGGTGCAGGGAGGGTTGTGCTGCTGGGCCTGCAGTAGGGGATCCTTGAGGTACTGAGGGAGGGGGTACCGTGCCACAGGTGCAGGAAAAGCCACCTTGGCCCGGGTGACCCTGCTGTCTCCTGCCGCAGTTCCACGCCATGGATACTCTCCACAAGAACATCTACGACATCTCCAAGGCCATCTCGGCGCTGGTGCCGCAGGGCGGGCCCGTGCTCTGCAGGGACGAGATGGAGGAGTGGTCTGCATCAGAGGCCAACCTTTTCGAGGAAGCCCTGGAAAAATATGGGAAGGATTTCACGGACATTCAGCAAGATTTTGTGAGTACCGTGGGTGGCGATGGGGGAGTGGCTGGCCATGCCCATCTCCAGGTAGGCTGCGGGGGTGTGGGCTCCACATCCCACTCTGCCCTGAGGGAGCCTGTCCTGCACCCTGATTCCCTGTGCGGAGCTGCATGAGTTCTGTCTCAGCTGCGCTCGGCCGCCATAGTCCTTCCTGTCACACTGGTTCAGCAGACAGGCATGGGGGCGCTGGTGGGGCCTGGGCATAGAGAGCCATGCTCCTGCCACCATTGCGTGATGAGGATAAGGGTTGGCCCAGGTGACGGAGGCCAGGGTATCCTCACGGAGACTTTCCCTTCCTTGCTGCCCCCTCCAGCCCCAGGCTTGGTTTTGCTTTGTTTTTGACTAAGCTGAACCTCTTGACTCCTCATGTCCTTGTTTTCTGTCTCACGTGAGTTTAGCCCAGCAGCAGGCCTAGAGAGTCTTCATGGCGTGGGGTCTCCCTTCCCTGTACCTCCACCTCAGGACCCCCACCCTCCAACCGTCAGCCCTCCTAAAATACTTCTAAATTAATCTGTTAGAAGAGCATCCCTATGTGGGGGTGGTGGGGCCCCCAACCATCAGCCCTGGGGAGGTGGAGACTGTGGCAGGGCAGGGAGGAGCCCCAAAGGGGCCGGGACACAGCGGGGTGGCTAGTATCTGATGAAAGCACCATCCGGGCAGCAGCGCACAGGCCAGCGCAGCAGAGGCTGGAGACGCATCTGGAATTCGGAAGAAACAAACATGGGGTTGGGTAGGGTGCCTAGACCTGAAGAGGAGGAGGGACAGCAGCCAGCTGTGAGGCTCCTGAGGACGCATCTGCTGGGGGCAGGAGTGCAGCTTTGTGTGGGGGCCTCTGGCCAAGGGGAGAGCTTGGCCGGGCGGGAGGAGTCCCTGACTGTCCCTGGGGCCAGCGGCCTCTCCAAGGCGGATACGGATCTCTCCAGGCTTAAAAACAAACCAAGATGAGCAGAACATGTTCAGACAAGAGGACGAGGGCTAGAAACAAAATTCACCAACTAGGCTCAGACCAGGGCGGAATTTGAGGGAGACCCTGCTGCACATGGTTCCAGCGGAGGAGACCCCAGTGCTGAGCCCACGTGATGCCTAGCGAGGCAGCGCTCAGGGGACTGCGGCTGCGGGGCCATGCCCAGGCACGGTCTCGGGGGGCTGCGGCTGCGGGGCCCTGTCCAGGTGCGGGGATGGGAGGCTGCAGCTTCGGGGCTGTGTCGAGGGAGCAGGCCCCGCTCTCCTTCCTGCCAGATGCAGTGGACCAGACTGAGGAACTATCTGAACCCTTATTTAATAAGACAGGTTTCTTAAATCCATGCCACAGCCCGGGCGCAGTGGCTCATGCCTGTAATCCTAGCACTTTGGGAGGCCGAGGCAGGAGGATCATGAGGTCAGGAGATCAAGACCATCCTGGCCAACATGGTGAAACGCCATGTCTACTAAAAATACAAAAATTAGTCGGGCATGGTGGCAGGCTCCTGTAGTCCCAGCTACTCGGGAGACAGAGGCAGGAGAATCACTTGAACCCCCGGGGGTGGAAGTTGCTGTGAGCCGAGATCGCACCACTGCACTCCAGCCTGGGCGACAGTGCGAGACTCTGTCTCAAAAACAAAAATGGCTGAGATGGCCGGGCATGGTGGCTTATGCCTATAATCCCATTTGGGAGGCCGAAGTGGGTGGACCACTTGAGGTCAGGAGTTCGAGACCGGCCTGGCCAACATGGTGAAACCACGTCTGTACTAAAAATACAAAAATTAGCCGGGTGTGTTGAGAGGTGCCTGTAGTCCCAGCTACTCAGGAGACAGAGGCAGGAGAATTGCTTGAACCCGGGAGGCAGAGGTTGCAGCGAGCCGAGATTGTACTACTGCACTCCAGCCTGGGTGACAGAGCGAGACTCCGTCTCAAAAACAAACAAAAAAAAGGCTGAGATGGAGGCTGGGTTGTCAGTGCCACCTCGGCAAGATCTCGACCTTGACCTTGTGCCAGCTCCTCTTCCCCTGGCGTCACTGTGTTTTGGCATCTGGCGGGGGGACCTGCTTCATCAGCTGCCCTCTGCACCTGCCTGCCAGCAGGGGCCTGGCCTCCGTGCACCAAGCACACCTCGCCCTCTGGCCTCCCGCCCCCTCTGTGGCCTTCTGGCCGCAGCCCTGCCCCTGCCTGCATGGTGTGCCTGCCTCCTGCCCCTTCCTGCTTGTGTGACACGCCTCCTCCCACCCAGCTCCCGTGGAAGTCGCTGACCAGCATCATTGAGTACTACTACATGTGGAAGACCACCGACAGATACGTGCAGCAGGTGAGCCCGCCCGCCACTCAGTGCCCGGGGTGTGCCGCCTCCCCGTCCTGCGCCCCATCCTCTCCCAGCAGGTGGGCGTGCACTGCTGCAGCAGGAGGGGAAGGAAGACTCCTGAGTCCCTGGCCCGGCTGTCCTCTCCGTGGTGCTCTCCTCTCCGTAGCCTCCAGCCTGTCTGCACTGCAGCCCCAACCTGGGCCTAGCCTGCTGACCTCTGACCTTCTCTTTTGTTTTAAGAAACGCTTGAAAGCAGCTGAAGCTGAGAGCAAGTTAAAGCAAGTTTATATTCCCAACTAGTAAGTGTGCCCTCACAGCCGTCGTCCTCGTGGCCCCGGGGGCCAGGGAGGGTGGGCACAGGGTGCTGGGGCCAGGCGGGTCCCAAGGAAACTCAAGCTCAGAGGCTGGGAAAGTTGGGGCAGCCCCCGGGAGGGCGGCCCAGGGCTGGGGGGTTCTGGCTGCAGACGCAGTGGCCATGTCTCTGTCGTCCTGGCCTCCTGGTCAGTAAGGGGGCATTGGGATTCCAGCCCACACCGCCAGGGTTCAGTCCCTGAGCTGGGCTCCATGCTAGGGGGAGCACGGGGGCCTGGAGAACGGCTCAGACCTCAGCAGTGGCTCCCAGGAACTGAAAGGGGAGAAAGGAAGATCCCTGCCGAGGCCGAGGGGTGCGAGGACGTGGTTCTGGACAAGGGGTGGTCAGCCGCGGTGCCTGCTGGGCACATGGGCCCTCGAGGTTTGTGCTCCTGCAACTCCTCTCGTCTCTCCTTTCCCTCTTTAAGTAACAAGCCAAATCCGAACCAAATCAGCGTCAACAACGTCAAGGCCGGTGTGGTGAACGGCACGGGGGCGCCGGGCCAGAGCCCTGGGGCTGGCCGGGCCTGCGAGAGCTGTTACAGTAAGTGCCCTGGATGGCCGGGGGCACACCGCACGCCCGCCTGTGGGCCGTGGTGCCTGCGTTGGCCCTGAGGGCTCCAGCATGGCCCAGCCTGCAAGGGGCCCACTGACGATGGGGGCTGCGTCCCAGGGGTGTGGTTGGGAGAGCCTCGGGGAACGTGTGGGGGTGCCTGGCGGGTGGGGGCGGCCGGCGTGGGGGTGGCGGGGAATACTCTGACATCGCTGGTTCTGCTTAAGAATCCGTCTATTTCCAACTTTGTTGTCCGTAGCCACACAGTCTTACCAGTGGTATTCTTGGGGTCCCCCTAACATGCAGTGTCGTCTCTGCGCATCTTGTTGGACATATTGGAAGAAATATGGTGGCTTGAAAATGCCAACCCGGTTAGATGGAGAGAGGCCAGGACCAAACCGCAGTAACATGGTAAGGGGGGGGACACCCGCCCTGCCTGCCATGAGCCTGTCGGCCACGCGGGTCCTCGGCCCCCGGTCATGGCGCTGTGTTGGGGCGGTTGCGCCCCCTTCCGCAGAGTCCCCACGGCCTCCCAGCCCGGAGCAGCGGGAGCCCCAAGTTTGCCATGAAGACCAGGCAGGCTTTCTATCTGCACACGACGAAGCTGACGCGGATCGCCCGGCGCCTGTGCCGTGAGATCCTGCGCCCGTGGCACGCTGCGCGGCACCCCTACCTGCCCATCAACAGCGCGGCCATCAAGGCCGAGTGTGAGTCACCCCAACGCCCCGCTTACTCTGTTCCTGCGGGTGGTGGGGAGAGAGCAGCAACCTTGGGGCCCAGCCTGTAGCCCCACTGGGAGTTCTGATCTCAGGGAGCCCCACGTCCTCCTCGGTGCTGACATGGCCGAGCCCAGTGAGGGCTCCCAGGTCAAGGCGCAGGCAGGGTCCCGTGCTCCCCTGGGGGTGCCCCACCCCTCACACCGTGTGGTACCCCGCAGGCACGGCGCGGCTGCCCGAAGCCTCCCAGAGCCCGCTGGTGCTGAAGCAGGCGGTACGCAAGCCGCTGGAAGCCGTGCTTCGGTATCTTGGTGAGCAGCCAGGCGTGCTGGGGGGCTCCCAATGCTGCCTGCAGGCAGCTTCTCACCCAAGCTCATGCACTGGTGCTCCCAGCCTTCTCTAGCTGGGAGCTCCTGGACAGCCCCCCAGGGCCTGGAACTGTCCTTTTGGGGTACTCTGCACCGTGCCAGGCTCAGGCAGACCCACTGGGACCCAGGCTGCTCCCTGCTCCTGGGGTCGTGATGGGGCCCAGTGCGGAGTAGCGGCCGCCCTGTCTTCTGCGGGGCCAGCCTCCTCAAGGCACACCCGGGGGCTTCCCTGCCAGTCTCGCTACCCTGTTCCCTGTGTTCTGATCGTCCCTGGGGCCTGAGGGTCTGGGGTTTAGGTGGTGCACACCCCTGCCTGTAATACCATTAAGGCAGCGTCGTACCTGCTGCCTGCAGGGAGTATACTTCCTGAGCCACGCCCACTCCACAGGGGCAGCACTCAGGCCTCTGCACGCCCTCGGCAGGGGGAGGAGCAGCCTCAGGCGGCAGGGGGTTCCTTTGCCTTTGAGCATCTGAGGACACCCGAGAACCTCAGCCGGCTACCCTGGCCCAGCTGGAAGCAGCTTGGTGGCTGGGCCAGACATTTGTGGTGGCGGTGGGGGGCCTCCTCCATTTGCTGGGCTCGAGTGGGCTTGTGCATCTGCCCTCCCGACACAGGGTGACTGTCCTGAGAAGGACATTCCAGAGTCATGAGCCAAGTGTGCTCTGAGATTCAAGTGGCTTTGGCATTGCTCCCTGTTTGGGGTTGTGGCCCCTGTCCTGTGGGAAGAGGTGGCTGGTGTCAGGGCTGGTCCTCAGCAGCTGTGTCCCTGGCCAGGCTGGCTGGATGGTTGGTTCGCTGTCTGACGAGCAGCCAGCCCTCCACCAGCAGCTCCGGGGGCCTGGACGTGGGGGCTGTTTAATAGGCGTGCTGTGCTCACGGGCCTGTGTATGGATCCTGTTGTCCCGGGGCTGAGGGGCCTGGCCCCCGCCAGGTGGTCTCCCTGCTCTCTGGAAGCCCTGGGGTGCGGGACTGGCCCGGGCACACGCCTTGCCGAGGGCTTCTGGGCTTCTGGTTCTGTGGTGACCTCCCCACTTCCAGCCCAGTCAGGATGGGGCCTCGGGTGGGGGCCGCATGGGGCTTAGTTCCTGGGGGTATCCCGGAACCATGAGGGCTGGAGCCTGGGCCTGCCTGCCCCTCCCCTGCTGGGCAGAGGCAACTCGTTCTGCCTGTGTCATTCCCGGCAGAGACCCACCCCCGCCCCCCCAAGCCTGACCCCGTGAAAAGCGTGTCCAGCGTGCTCAGCAGCCTGACGCCCGCCAAGGTGGCCCCCGTCATCAACAACGGCTCCCCCACCATCCTGGGCAAGCGCAGCTACGAGCAGCACAACGGGGTGGACGGTGAGTGGCCCCCCCGCCCGGTGAGTGTGGCCCTCCCCGCCCGGTGAGTCCGGCCCGTCCCCGCCCGGGCACCCGCCGTGCGTGCTGACGCTGTCTTCTCTCCCTCTCTCCCACCCCGGCGCTGCCAGGCAACATGAAGAAGCGCCTCTTGATGCCCAGTAGGGGTAAGGCCTGGAGCCGCGGGCGGGCGCTGCGCCGGCCCCGCCCGTGATGCCTGTGCTGTGCTGCTCTGTGTCCCCGCGGCGGGCGGCCCAGGGCCCATGCTTGGGGCAGTCCACGTGAGCCAGGCCACAGCCCAGTTCCCCACATTCCTCCCGACATCACTGGTCCCTTGGTGAAGACCCCCCGAGCCCAGGCATCTGGCCCTCGGCCCCCTGGCCCCGCCTCCTGTCAGTGGACTGTCCTGGCACGTGTGGCCCTGGCGCCCCTGCCTGCGCTGTCTGCCATCGCGCTGTGACTGCCCGCATGCTGCCAGCCTCAGCTCGTGGGGCCGCCCGTGCTGTGCCTGCAATCCTTCCGTGCGCCTGCCAGGCGGGACAGTGGGGAGGGTGGTCGGGGGTGTCTGTGTGGGCCGTGGGCAACTGAGCTTGTACACATGGGTGCCTTCTGTCGGAGGACTGGCTCAGGTGCTCTGTGCCGGTTGCTTGGAGCAGGGGCTGCGGGACCCCAGGCCCCTTGGGGAAGAGCAGATAGGACCAAGCCTAGCATGAGGAGGCCAGGTGTGTGGGGCCCGGGTGTGCAAGTGCTGGGCCTGCCAGTGTGGATGTGCCTGGAGCCCCTTCGCCAGGCGGCTTTCACTGACGGTGCTGGCCAGGGCAGCAGGGCCGGTTTGGCGACCTGGAGGTGGATATGGGTAGTGGCTGCCCAGCCCAGCCAACCCTGTCCCCTTGGGGCATTCTCTCGAGGCTGCTGGGTGTCCTGGCAGGCACGTCCTGTGGGGTCAGCACGCCGGCTGCAGCGCAGGGTGGGCCTGAGATCGGGTGCCGGGCCCCCCATCTCCACCTGTCTGGACACGCACCCCTGGCCTGTCCTTGCAGCTTCCTCCCGACATCCCTTGGCGGTGTCTGTGTCTCGGCCCCAGCCCCAGCCCTCCTTTCCTGGGGCACCCTCCCAGCCATCTGGTATTGGGGCTGCCCCCATTGCCTAGTCCTGGGCCCAGGGCCAGCCCACTCTGGGCTGGCTTTACTTGTCTGTTCCTAATGGCAGGGCGTCCCAGGAACAGCCCCATAAGAGCTGGTAGAAACAGGAGGGAGTCCTTGTCAGCAGGCATCTTCGAGCTTTTTGTTTTGTTTTGTAAAAAGCGGTTAACCAGCAAGTTACATAAAAGCTTATTTGTTCCCACTGAATTTTCCACACCTCACACGTGAGTCCCAGCCATGCAGTGCTTGTGAGGGAGCATCACCCCTTGCCGCCTGGCTGGGCGGGGCCCTGGGCTCAGAGGGGTCAGCCACAGAGGAAGCGCCTGTCCTGACGTGTAGCGGCCAGGACCTGGGCGCTGGAGAGGGGCCAGCTGGGTGAAGACGGCTCCCGGGGGCACTGGCGCACACGAGGTGGGGTCTCTGTCCAGCCTGGGTAGGCATGAGCTGAGCTCGAGTGAGGGCCCTGCCTGCCCACAGCACGGGGCCCCAGCGCTCTAACCCGGCCATTTGCCCGTGCAGCCTGTTGCGCTGTCCCCACCTGCGGGGCCTGCAGATGGCTGCGTGTGGCTCACTAACCTAAAGCATGTGTTTCTTCCCTCTGCTGTCCACCGCTCTGGTAGGCACTTACCTGGGTAAGTAGTTTTTGTGCTACTGGCCAGCCCTGGGCGCTGGGCCTTGGCTTGTGGCAGGTGCCCTGAGGTATGGCTGTTCCTGCTTGGGAGCGCCGCAGATCAGGCACCTGGGCCCCCACCTGACCCTGCCCGGCAGAGCTAAGCAAACTGGCAGGGAAAGGCTGACCCAGGGCTCCAGGGCCCCAGTTGGCCCCCAGGGGAGTGCCCCAAGTTAGGAGGCAACTGCAGGTGGGGAGGGGCTGGACAGGCTGCTTCTGTTCCTTAAGGGATGGGCCTCAGCTAAGCAGCGTTTCTGGAGCTGGCAGGTTGCTCCGATGCCCCTGGGCCCTGGCACCTGACTGAGTTGAGTATGACATCCTGTCCTCTCTGAGCTGGTCCTGCTGGGAGCCGAGCCATCCTGGGACCAGCTCCCACATGCACACGCCCACACCTACACACAGGGCAGTGGGGAAGGGCAGTGAGTGGGGGAGGGCAGCGGCGGTCCTGGGCCCAGCTGGGGGTGACCAGGAGCATGGACCCCGCTTCTTGGCCCAACTCCCGCAGTGCCCCTTGGGCTCCTCACCCTGCACTGTGGGAAGTCAGAGGCCTCTGGCACCCCATCCCCAAGCACATGCCAGGGTGGCTGGGGCCCAGCCAGGGCAGTGGGTGGTGACCTGTTTCTGGCCGGGGCTGGCGGCTCTCTCAGAGCCTTAGGAAAAAGCCCGGCCTCCTGGTGGGGCAGTGCCGGCCACAGCGTGGCTGCCCTGCAGAGGGGCTTGTGCCGCTGCTGGACTGACAGCCTTGCGAGGCTTTGCTTGTCTCGGCACGGCAGGCAAGTGGGTGGACAGCCCCGGCCCCTGTGCAGGGAGGTGACTGTCGGGTCCAAGGCTCCTGGCCTCCTGCCTGGAGCCCAAGCCAATGTGTCTCTTGCTGGCCAGAGAGCTGTGGGGCCACCAGGCGGCCCAGGACCCGGGGATGCGAGGCCCCACGTCCCCCAGGCCCATCCTGGGTGTGGGCTGTGGCTTGGTTGGCAGATGGCCCCGGCCCATTGTCCCAAGGTGGCTGAGGCCGTGGTGGGCGGTGGGAGTGCAGGACGCGCTCTCTCGGGGCCTCATTTCTCTCCTCCATTTCTCATCAGGTCTGGCAAACCACGGACAGGCCAGGCACATGGTAAGAGGAACAACCCATGATGGGGTACGGTGCGCTCACCCATGAGCTCTCTGGGGTGTTGGGAAGAGGCCTGGCCAGCCCTGCCAGGTGCCACGTGGAAGCTTCCAGGAGGCCTGGCAAGACCAGAGGGGCTGCAGCATGTGGGGGCCATGGCCCCTGTGCCAGGCCCAGCGGTGTGCGGCCGACCAGCCCTCAGGGCTGCCCTGGGCCAGGCTGGGGGTCCGTGTAACTCACTGGGGTGGTGGGGGGTTGGCCAGGCACAGCACCTCCCAGCGGGAGCCCTGCAGGTTGAGGTGGAGCTGGCCCTTGGCTGGCTGCCCAGGAAGTGCACCCCCTCTGCAGGGACCAAGCCGGAACCTCCTGCTCAACGGGAAGTCCTACCCCACCAAAGTGCGCCTGATCCGGGGGGGCTCCCTGCCCCCAGTCAAGCGGCGGCGGATGAACTGGATCGACGCCCCGGATGACGTGTTCTACATGGCCACAGAGGAGACCAGGTGGGGCCTTCCCAGGGCAGGCGGGAGGGCTCCGCACAGCGTCCCGGCCCTCACCACCACCTCTGCCCACAGGAAGATCCGCAAGCTGCTCTCATCCTCGGAAACCAAGCGTGCTGCCCGCCGGCCCTACAAGCCCATCGCCCTGCGCCAGAGCCAGGCCCTGCCGCCGCGGCCACCGCCACCTGCGCCCGTCAACGACGAGCCCATCGTCATCGAGGACTAGGGGCCGCCCCCACCTGCGGCCGCCCCCCGCCCCTCGCCCGCCCACACGGCCCCTTCCCAGCCAGCCCGCCGCCCGCCCCTCAGTTTGGTAGTGCCCCACCTCCCGCCCTCACCTGCAGAGAAACGCGCTCCTTGGCGGACACTGGGGGAGGAGAGGAAGAAGCGCGGCTAACTTATTCCGAGAATGCCGAGGAGTTGTCGTTTTTAGCTTTGTGTTTACTTTTTGGCTGGAGCGGAGATGAGGGGCCACCCCGTGCCCCTGTGCTGCGGGGCCTTTTGCCCGGAGGCCGGGCCCTAAGGTTTTGTTGTGTTCTGTTGAAGGTGCCATTTTAAATTTTATTTTTATTACTTTTTTTGTAGATGAACTTGAGCTCTGTAACTTACACCTGGAATGTTAGGATCGTGCGGCCGCGGCCGGCCGAGCTGCCTGGCGGGGTTGGCCCTTGTCTTTTCAAGTAATTTTCATATTAAACAAAAACAAAGAAAAAAAATCTTATAAAAAGGAAAAAAACCAACCGGTCCTTCCCTGTGTCTTTTGTTCCCAGTCCCTCTCCCTGACTCAGGCCCTGGGCCCCCCACCCCCATCGGGCGGCCCTAGGCTGTGGCTCTGCCGTGGAGCTGGAGGCCCCTGGAGGCCACCTCAGCCAGGACAGCCACCCCAGCCTCTGGGCTCTGTTGCTCTCCCACCTGCCCACAGACCTTCCCCTGCTGGGGCCTGGCGCGGTGCCCTCTGCCCTCCCCAGGGGGCAGCAAGCGGTTGCAGGGCCCAACCCCCTTCCCCAGCAGAGCTGTGCTGAAACCGTCTGTGCGTCTGTGTCTGCGGCAGCGGTGGGCCGGGGACTGCCTCCCGGCAGGCAGAGCTGGCCCTGCCGAAGACCCTGTGGCTTCCCACCAGGGCAGCCAGTGCAGCTGGGCCAGCGAGGCCTTGGAGTGCTCCAGCCAGAGGCCCAACCTCCTGGCCATGTAGAGCCTGGCCCCAGCCGCCTGAGGGTTTCTGCCCAGAGCTCTGGCCCCCAAGCAGGTGTGCAGTCTCCACAGTGAGAATCTGCTTAGATTTCTGCAAGCACATTCTCAGAAATCCTGCTTGGCCCATCCTCCGGCCGGGGACAGGACTTGCAGGCCGGGGGACAGGTACAGGCCGGGCCACCAGAAGGAGGGGTCCGGTGGATAGCCTGGCTCCAGACCACCCCCCTGGCCGTGCTACCTCAGCCGGCCAGGAGGGGTCCGCCCAGGCCTCGCTCAGGGAGAGTAGCTCCTCTGTCTCTCCCCAGAGCTGTGCCTTTGCTCCCCCAGCCCACCCAGGCGCCCTGTCATGTGGAAATCTCAGCCACGGAATTAAAATAGAAACCACTTCTGCTGTCTCCCAGGAGACAAAGATAAGGGGGCGTCCTGGCCTCCGTGGGAGCCTGTGCTGGGGCCCAGCAGTGACAGGACTAGGTGTCAGGGACTCGGCTGCAGTGCACGTCCCACCCACCCTCCCTGGGCTGTGGCGCCCCCCCACCCAACCCCAGCCCCCACCAGCCAACTCTAATCTGCAGCCAGCATCCGAGTGACCCCACAGCCTGAGGACTTGCCTGTAGTGCGTCATCAGACGGCTGGGAAATCAGGCCCCTGACCTCATGAAGGACACAGCTCCCTCTGAGGCCTTTTCCAACCCTGGGGGTCTGGAGCTCAGTGAAGACCCCAGCTCCCTTGTCTCCCTTCCCCAGGCCTCGGGCTTGCCTCCCAGTGCTGGCTGCAGGGTTCTGGCCTCAGCAGCTCTTCCACCCCCCAGGGCCTGTCCTTTTCTGGAGTCAACATGTGGGCTGTGAGGTGTCCTAGGTCCTGGGCTCTATCCCAAGGGCAGGGAGGCCCTGAGGAGATGTGGGGCCCTTTCCCACCCCAGACACCCTCCCCGGCCAGACACCCAGGCTGCAGTGCCCTCACAGGGCCAAGCTCTGGCCACCGGTGCTGGGTGGGGCCTGGGCTGCTTGTGGGTCTAAACCTGGGCTTAGAAGTGAGTGGGTACCGGCTGGGGGGAGCATTGGCCTTGGTGCCCAGGCCATGAAGGGGTCTCCCAGCTTTGCTATGTCCTCGTTAGGCCCTTCCCTGCTGATGAGACAGCAGCCTGCTTTCTGCACCAGCAACCCCACAGGGGCCGCGGCTCCCCAGGGCCAGGGGCATCTCAGGGTGGCAAGGCCATCATGCTGTCATGCCTGGAGACCTGTCCTGCCAGCTCCGCTCCACCCTGCTAGGGTCCTCTGTCCACCACTCAGCCCAGCCTGGCTTCCCTGCAGTGGAGCTGAGTAGCAGGGGCCTGCTATCTGCCAGTGTCACAGGATGGCGGAAGGGACCAGACCACTGCAGCCCAGGGGTGTGACCCAGCCCCATGCCCAGCCATCAGCCCTGCCAGCTCCCTTCACACCCGCCGTGTCCTGTGCCCCCCTCTCCACTCGGGCCCGTCCCACTGTGTCACTGCCCCTGCCTGTGACCCACCGCAGCCTCAGAGGTGGAGACCAAGGCCACTGCTCTGCACCCATTGATCCTGACCCCTGCCTGCCAGGCCCAGAATAGCCCCGTCGCATTAGGGAGCTTCTGGCCGCTGCCCAGGGACTGCGGCTGGGGTGAGGGCAGTGCAGCAGCTGGCACACTCCTTGTCCCACCCCACCCTCCGTGTGTCTCCAGGGCACCTGGCCAGTGCCGAATGCCATTCCTTTGCTGCCACCCTGGGAGGGGCCTGCCTCTACCCCCATCCACTCTTCTGGCAGGGCTGGGGACCTTGGGGCAGGTGGTCTCCCTCCAGAAGAGCCCTGTGTTCAGCCAGCCCTGTCCTCCAGAGCAAGCCCCACAGGTAGCAAGCCCCACAGGTAGCAAAGTCAGGGAGGGTAATGGCTTAGCCCCAGGCTCCCAAGCTGGGCAGAACAGGGCAGGGAGCTGGAGAGGGTTTGGCAGTGGGCCCATGAATCCAGCCTGGGCAAGGCCCTGCTGTGAGGGACCCCTAGGGACCCCTGGGCCTGCCAGGGAGGAAGGGCTGCCCAGAAAAGGTACTGACTGATGCCTCCTCACCATCTTCTGCCTTGGCTGGCACAGGTCCCAAGTGCAGAGGGGGAGCTGGTCAGGCTGGTCAGTCGGGCGGGGGGGCGGGGGGCATGTTTCTGGCCTGCTGTCACCATGGAAATGGCAGTGGCTGCAGGGTGTGTGTGCAAGGGAGGAGGGTGCTGCCACAGAGAGCCCAGCCAGGACCACCATGAAAGCCAGGAGCACCGAGGGCCTCTGGTTGGCTCACAAACATGCCTGGTGCACCAGGCAGAGGGAACAGGTAGGTCTCCGTGTCCAGCCCACAGCCTCCAAGACACAGGGGGAAGGGTGTCCAGAGTCAGCTGCCCCCATAGGGCCTGATCACTGGGCTTCTGGGATCTGCCTGTCTCCCAGGCCGACGCTCAGCTGGGGCCAGAAGGCTCAGAGAAGGGCCCATGGGGACAGAGCACCAGGAAGCCCGTGGGTGCGGAGGTTCCCCACCTGGGGCCAGGCTCTACGGGGCTCTAGGGCGGAGGCACTGTGGTGAGGCGTGGTCAGGCACGCCCTGGTTGGGAGGAGGCCAGAGTGGGGGTGTGGGGGTGCGGTGACTGGCATGACCCCTCAATCTCCCGCCTGACCCCTCGAGGTCAGGCCCTGGGCCCCCAGGCACGCAGCTGGTCCTGGGCGGTGCGGGAGAAGGGACTGGAGTGTCAGCCCCAGCCCGGGGCACAGAGGGCACGCCCACTCCTTCCCCTCCTTCCCTTCCTAACTCCTCACCGCCTCCCCGGCCGCCCCCTGGGTGGAAGTGCTTGGGGTGGACGCCTTAAGCGCGGATCCCTCGGCGCTGGTGCCCGCCGCCCCTTCCCTGCCTGGGAGGCAGACGCAGACCTCCCCACACCCCCTACCAGCAGCTTCTCGAGCTGTTTCTGGAGGTGGCGGCGCCTTCCTTCCTGAGCCCTGCCCTCCACCCAAGGAGCCTTCAGCACCACAGACAGTGTTGGGGCGGGGCGCGGGCGGGGGCGGAGCGGGACATGGAGACCCGGACAGGGCTGGGGGCCGTGCCCGCCGGGAATCTGACTCCGCTCCCGCGGCGCGGCTGTTGCTATGGAAACCGAGCAACAAAGGGAAGCGGGACAGGCGCCGCGCGCGGCGGGGTGGGGGTGGGGTTCTCCCGGAGCCTGCGACCCCTTCCCGCGGCGGAGCGCAGCCTGGGCGCCCAGGGCCGGGAGTGTTGGACCCCTAGGCCCAAGTCACTAGGGCTCCCCGAGAGCCGAGGGCCAGGCTCCCCGCACCCTGCCCGCCGCCCCGGGGACGGCCCGGCCAGGCGGCCCCGACGTCGCCATGGAAACAGCCGGGGCGCGGGCGGCGCCGCGGTCGCCCGGGCGGGCCCCTGTAGACGCCACCTCCGGCGCGAGGGGCCCGGGGGCGCCAGGCCTGGCCCGGCTGCCCCGCACCCGCCACCCCCGGCAGGTGCGCCCCGCCCCCGCGGCGCCCCCAGGCGGCCCCCAGCCCGGGGGACGGGTTATCGAGGCCCCGCCCCGGCCGCGGAGCCAATGGGCGCGCGGACAGCCGGGCAGGCGGGGCTGGGCGCGGGCGGCGGCGGCCCGGAGGAGAACGGGCGGAGGGCGCGGGCCGACCGGGCGCACCGACCATGGCCTCCAAATGCCCCAAGTGCGACAAGACCGTGTACTTCGGTGAGTGCGTGCCCGCTCCCGGCCCGCTCGGTGCATCCCGCCGCCCTTCGCGGCCAGTCCCGCGCCGCAGAGCCGCGGCGTAACTCGGGGTGCGCCCGGCCCCGGCCCCGGACCGAGGATGCGCGTCCCGGAGGCTGGCTGGCCGCGCTGCCCAAGCGGCTAAAGCCAAAGGGTGGGGCTGCGCGAAAGCGGGGGCGGTCACGCCCGAACCCCGAAGCGGCTTGTGGGGGCGGGGCAGGGACCACCCGGGCGGGGCTTGTGGTGCCCCGGGATGAGGCCAGTGTTTGGGGGAGCGCTCGGGGATCCGCGGACGCATCCCGGTTCCTCGGACGGCGCCGGGCGGGGCGGGGCAGGGCGTGGCTGTACGCCCCGGGTGCGTCCCGCGCGCTCCCGTGGGCCTGGGCCCTTTCTCCTGGACCCCCTACACCCGCTTCCCCCGGGAACAAGTGGCCGGGAACAGTGACCCCCAGCTCCCACTCCGGGCTCCGCTGAGCTGGGCTGGGCCAGGTTTGGACTCTGTCGGGATTCAGTCCAAGCGGGGGCGACCTTGGCCTCTGCCTCCTGCTTGTCCCGACGCATTCCCTTGGCGCCAGTTCCCCCAGGAGTTTCACACGGGGGTAGGGTGGGGGCGGGTGTGACACGCGAGTTCCCGCGAACGTGAGAGGGACCTTGTGCTCAAGCAGCCCAGGTGTCCAGGATCCCTGCCTCCTCAAGGTCAGAACAGCCCTGGACAGGATGCAGGTGGTGGCGGGAAGAGGGATGTCTCGCAAGGCGGCCCTCGGTCTAGCCCCTCCGGCAGGCGCGCTCCCCCCGTCTGGGCTTACTCACTCTCTGGGCCTGGGTGCGCCCTTCCTACCCCCTTCCTCCTGGCTGATTCGCTGCCCAGCTTTCTCCAGGGTGGTAAGGTCCCTGCCCACCTACCCACCAGCTGCTGCACGAAGGGGGGCAGACTTAGTGAAGCAGAGAGGAGGGCCGGGACCAACAGGGCGCCTGCCCTGGTCGCCCCATACCCAGAATGCGGCCAGGCTGCAGGGAAGGCCGCCACTGGGCTTCCCCGGCTCACAGGCTGGAGGGGGTTGAGGGGAGGTTGTATTTTGCCCGTCCCAGAGGGGAGGGACCGGATTTGGCCTGGAGTGCTTCTGGCGTGGCTGGGAGCCGAGGGGCTTCCGGCTGCCTCTCCTGGAGCCCGCTCAGCCCTCAGTCTCTGTCCCAGCGAGGGCTGTCTCTGTAAGGCTTAGGGTGGGAGACGGTCCCCAGGGCCCTTCTGCAGTCCAACTGCCCATGACTTTACCCCAGGCCGGGCCAGGCCAGCCTGGGGCTCTCCAGGGTCTCGGCCAACAGTCCTGTGGACAGCCCGGAAAGGCCTGCCTGCCTGGCCCGCCCAGCCTCTCAGCGGAAAACAAAGGCGCTTCAGACCCGGCTGGCTTCTGTCCTGCCTGGGAGGCACTGTGAGGGCGAGGGTCCAGAATCCTGCCCACCCTCACACCAGGCTGCCCCCGCAGCTCATACCTGAGTAGAACCCAGGCTGGGATGTCGGAGCACATTGAGGAGGCCACCCCAGAGCCCATGCAGCCAGGGTGGGCAGCTGGTTTTCTTCTGAGCCATTAGACCCAATCGATTCTGTGTTCCCAACTCGGACCCGTAATGTGTGGCCATTGACCCACCCAGTGGGTCTGAGGGCCAGTTCCCTGCCCCCACTTGGCCCACGTCCCAGAGCTGGCCAGAGCACAGTGCTGGCAGCCCTGGGCTGCAGCTGCCACGGCCGATAGCCACCGAGACTTCCTTGCTGCTGCTGGGACACGCCTGCCCACCGTGCAGCCAGCCCCTGCCTGCCCTGGTGTGTCCCAGCTTCCTTGAGTGGAGTGGTTCTGGTCAGAGGGCTCTAAGCTGGTGCAGCCTTGTGGTTGGGCTGGTGTCCTGGAGGCTGGCCCTGGCCATGCCCAGAGGGTTGTACCAGGGCCACGGAGAGCCAGTATTCACAGCCCTCTACCTAGTAGGCCACCTGGGGGATCCCATCTCACTGCCAGGAGCAGCACCCTTGGGCCTCTCAGAGTGGGCTTCGCCCTAGCCAGATGCCCCTCCCCGATATCTGCCAGACAAAGGGGGCTGGGCCACTTGCTGAGAAAGGGAGCTGGGAGAGCCACTGGTCCTCGGCCACCTGAGGGGCTTGGCCAGATTCTGCCGGGCAGGGTGGGCCCAGCCTGCATGCTCCCTCCCCCCAGGGCCTGCAGCTTGTCCCCTTCCCTTCAGAATTCCGGCTCTGCTGGGCCCTTCCTGCCCCTCCCCACCTCTTCCTGCCTGGCTCCCTAGGGAGGCCCCTGCTTCCATCCACTGGGAAGCAGTCCAGTAGCCCCAGTGTGGGGGTGGGAGGCAGTGGCAGAGGGTCCCGGACCCTCAGCAGCTGCCCTCAGATCTTCCATGCCAGTGGCAGCCAGGGGCATTACGGCGGGGGGAGAGCTCAGGGTTTAGGACGAGGAATCCACAGACAGATGAGGGTCCCGCCTGGAGGACCCACGGGGACGGGGCCTGGCCTTCCCATGAGGGAGCTGGAGGTTCTGGGGCTGCACCTTTGACTCAGCAGCGGGGTGCTGCCAGCCCCATCAGGGCCCAGTTGGTGGGGATCAGGGGCGTGTCAGTGCGAGGCAGGTGTGAGAGGGAGAGCAGCATGTGTTGAAGCAGGTGCACTGCAGAGGCAGGTGTGTGAGTGTAAGAGAAGTGTTTGAGGGAATGACAGGTGGGGGAGATGCATATGTGTGGGGGGAGGCAGGTGTGTGGGGGGAAGCGGGTGTGTGTCTGAGGAAGCGGGTGTGTGTGGGGGGAAGCGGGTGTGTGGAGGCGGGCGTGTGGGGGAGGCGGGTGTGTGTGTGAGAGGAAGGTGTGTGGGAGGAGGCAGATTTGTGGGGGGAGGCGGGCGTGTGGGGGAGGCGGGTGTGAGGCGGGTGTCCGGGAGGCAGGTGTTGGAGCGCGGGCAGGTGTTGGAGCGCGGGCAGGTGTTGGAGCGCGGGCAGGTGTTGGAGCGCGGGCAGGTGTTGGAGCGCGGGCAGGCTCGAGCACAGGCCCCTTCACCGCAGGCACTGAGGGGACTAACAGGGCAGCCCCGGGCCCCTTCTCAAAGGCGGCTCTAGCGGGGTTCCAGGGCTGGGGGCGCTGAGACCCAGAGGGAGAACAGGGCCTGGGGGCGACGGGCTCCTCCGGGTCTCAGAAGGAGGGGCAGGGCCCGCCAGGTGGAAGGAAGGCGCCTGGGAGACCTCCTGAAAGTGGGGACCCCCGGAGCGCGTGGGGGTGGTGGCTGCCAGGTGGGGGCGGAGGGGGTGCGGGGCGCGCCCCGGCCCTGACCCCCCTGCCGCCCCTCCCGCTCAGCCGAGAAGGTGAGCTCCCTGGGGAAGGACTGGCACAAGTTCTGCCTCAAGTGCGAGCGCTGCAGCAAGACGCTGACGCCCGGGGGCCACGCCGAGGTGAGCCCCACTGCGCGGCGCGGGCGGGGGCGGGGGTCGCGACTCCCGCCACCCTCAGGCAGGGTCCTGACCCGCGCCCCTCTGCGCAGCATGACGGGAAGCCGTTCTGCCACAAGCCGTGCTACGCCACCCTGTTCGGACCCAAAGGTGAGCTCCGGCTGCCCTCGGCCTGCCCTGGGACCTGCTGGGAGGGGCGTGGCGCTGGCGCTGGGGAGGGCTGGGGGTCCCGGCCGCCGTGGATCCCCGCCCAGAGTCCCTGCCACCCTGGAAAGCCTAGTGCCCCCCAGTCCCCAGCGGGCCGTTTTCTGAGATGCCCGGTGGCCGCGGCCCCCACCCCACGTACCCCCGCCCCACGTACCCCCACCCGCAGGCGTGAACATCGGGGGCGCGGGCTCCTACATCTACGAGAAGCCCCTGGCGGAGGGGCCGCAGGTCACCGGCCCCATCGAGGTCCCCGCGGCCCGAGCAGAGGAGCGGAAGGCGAGCGGCCCCCCGAAGGGGCCCAGCAGAGGTGGGCTGGGCGCGGGCTGGGGCTGGGGGTTGTGGGCACGCGCGGGCTGGGGCTGGGGGTTGTGGGCACCCCCGGCCCCGCCCCGCCCTGACTCGTGCGCCCCACAGCCTCCAGTGTCACCACTTTCACCGGGGAGCCCAACACGTGCCCGCGCTGCAGCAAGAAGGTGTACTTCGGTGAGTGCGCGCCCGGGCCCCGGACCCCCGCCCCCGCCCCCGCCCCGGGGCTCGGCCTCACTCCTCCCCCTTTCCAGCTGAGAAGGTGACGTCTCTGGGCAAGGATTGGCACCGGCCCTGCCTGCGCTGCGAGCGCTGCGGGAAGACACTGACCCCCGGCGGGCACGCGGAGGTGAGGGGAGTGCAACGGGGCTTGGGGGCCGGGCAGGGGCGCGGGGTCGGGGGGATGAGGGTGAGAGGCGCGCCTAGAGGGGATGGGGGGTGGTGCTTCTGGGAGCTGCGCTGCCCTCTCCCCCACGGCGAGCCGGCCTGCACGTTCTGGAAGCCTCCAGGTGATGGGTCGGGGGAGTCTGTGGACTCCTCCCTCAGCACCCACCTTCTGCCCCAGCACGACGGCCAGCCCTACTGCCACAAGCCCTGCTATGGAATCCTCTTCGGACCCAAGGGTGAGTGTAGCCAGGGTGGTCCACGATGTCTTCCCTGCCCTCCCCTTCCCTCCACTGTTCCCCCGACCCACCCCAGCGGCCTCCCTCCACAGGAGTGAACACCGGTGCGGTGGGCAGCTACATCTATGACCGGGACCCCGAAGGCAAGGTCCAGCCCTAGGCTACAGCGGCTCTCATGATGTGGGCTCACCTGCGCCCCAGACCCTGCAGGGGCCCCCCTGCTTGGCTCTGCTGGGAGAGTGCTCAGCCGCCCAGTCCTGCCTGCAAGCCCAGGGCGAGTATTGGAGGAGGGGCAGCCACGGGCAGAGCACCATGCCCATCCCCGAGTCTCTGGTGTGTCTGCCCCCTCTGGCATCCTCTGGGCGTCCCATGATCCCTTCTGTGTCTGCGTGTCCGAATCCCCGTGTGACCCTGTCCCAGCATTTTCCCGCCGACCCTGCGTGTCCCCGTGGCGCTGTCCGCTCTCCCTCTCCTGCTGCCCACCCACCTGCCAGTGTTATTTATGCTCCCTTCGTGGGTGATGGCCACGCCCTCACCATGTCCCTGGCAGAGGGCTTCCCTCCGGGATCCCCTGCCTGGTGCCCACACTGCCTCGCAAGCGCTCGCCACCCTCACGTGGCTCACCTGCTGTTGAGCCTTGTGCTGTCAATAAACGGTTTGAGGATTGCAGGATTGTCTCTGCTTGTGGGATGGATGCAAATCCCAGACCAGGGTCCCTTTCTCCGGTCCATGCGTGCTCCCAGCCAACACCCCTGGGCCTGGCTGCTAGTGGGGGTGGGCTCTTCTCCTGGGGGTCATAGTGGGAGGTGGGGCCCTGGGATGTTTCTGAGCAGGAGGGAGGGATGGGGGCGGGGAGCGTGGTCTCCGGTTTGGGTGGTGGTGCCCACCCAGATGGGGAGGCAGTAAGAACGCCAGGCTGTGGGGAGGTAAGGAAGGTGGGAGGCATTCCGGGGCCAGGGTCCTGGCCAGGGTCAGGTGAGGGTGGGGTCCATGGAGGACAGAGCCTTGGAGAAAAGTTGAACCTAGAACCCTGAAAATACCAACAGCAGGCCTGAGAACCCGGAGCTGCCTGGGTGTGTGGACCCTGGCAAGCGCAGGAGGGGTCCGCCCTGAGAGCAGAGTGTGGCTGAGGAGGGAAGGGGGCCGGGGACCAGAGGAGGGGTCCTGGGCAGAGAATGGGGAAGCCGGCGAAGGTCGGGTGGGACAGAGGTCTCTGGCAGCCCCAGACTGGACTGGGATGCGCAGGAGGGTTTGGGGGCTCTGGTCAGAGCAAGGACTGGAGAGGCTCAGCGTGGCTGTTTCCAGCTTTTGTCCATAGGGTGATGGACAGGCTTTTGTGGACAGGCCTGCCTTGGGTGTGGCCCAGGGACAGAATCCCTGCCCAAGTGTTCTGGTGAAGGTTTTAGTGATGACCGACTCGCCCCTGGCGTCTTCATGGTCCAGGCTCTGCCCTTTCAGCCAGGGGCGCTGGCGGCTCCAAGGAGCTCTCCCCTCCCCCGCGCCCCGCCTTTGCTGTGCGCCACTCCTCGGGTGCCCACTAGAGGGCGCACTGTCCCATTCTGGCAGCACAGAGCAGAAACGTGGAGACCTTCCCCAGTGGCTGAGCCCTGTCCTGGCGCCATCTGGACTTCCCACCTTGGTTTATGCTCCTCTGCTCCTGGCACCACACCGAAGTTGCCTTGGCCCTTCCTTCAGTGAGGGGCACTCAGACCTGGCCACCTCCAGGCCCCTGTCCCCAGTGCTACAGGGTGGCCGGGGCTTTACGCCTCTTCCCTGCTCCCAGCCGTTGGCACAGCTCCCTGCCTGGCCACCCTCCAGCCCATGGGCTCAGACGGAGCTGAGCCTGGATGCTGAGCCCATTGTCCCGAGAGCAGCCATCCATGTCCTGGCGGGGCCTGGGCTGGCTCCGGGGTCCAGCCGTACCACAGCTGCCCTCCAGCCAGGCACCCAGTGCGGTCTCCTCCCACCTGGAATTCAGCCAAAACCCCCGGGGCCTGACGTTGCGGAAGGGACGGCCAGTCCCCAACCCCAGGCAGAGGGGAGGATCAGGCAGGTTCCAGACCCCTGCTCACAGGAGAGGCTGGGATGGTTCCCCTTCTCATCCCCTCCTGCCAGGCCCAGGCTTCCTTGTGTGTGTTGGGGGGTTGTTTCGGGAGAACTGAGAATTTCCGGAGTGCCCGTCTCCGCCCTTGCTGCGGGCTCCCAGGGTTGCATGGGAAATTCCTGCTTTCAGCTTGGCGGGGCGGGGGGCGGGGGGGGGACTGGAGGGCTCAGCTGGACCCCCCTCCCTTGGGAGCCTCCAGTGGAAACTATGTCGTGAGGAGAGTGGTGGGTGGTGTGCCCTTCTCTAAAACCTGGGCGGCGGTGGGGGATTTGTGTGCCAGAAGACCTTCCAGGGTCGGTTGCGGGGATGATGTGGGTAAGGGGTCTCCTCCAGAGATCAGCCCCTGACCCCGCCAGGGACAGCAGCACCCCCGACCCCAGGTCTGGCTGGGGCAGGACCATTTCCTGCGGGGCCGGTTTGAGGATGACGCCTGCCTGCCGTGTTTGTTTCCAAGTCATTGTCATGGAAACCGGGGCGGTTGTTGCTACTGTTTGTCTGGACTGCGTCGCTAGGCGGTGTTGCTGGGGTTGGCTGGGTGCCCACGGCACTAACAGGGCTCGCTTGGTGTCTCCAGCTCCAGGAAGCTATGCCCTCCCAGCCGCCTGCCAGCCAGGTGCTCCCTTGGGTGCCCACAGACCCAGATATCCCCTAAAAGGGAGGGGAATCTGGAATGGGCTCTTCTGCCTTTGGGCGTGCCTGCTTCTCTGTCCCTGCCTTGGGGGCTGCTCTGCCCTCAACCTTCACTCTCTTCTACTTGGACCTATGCCTGGCCAGTGAGGCGGCTCTGAAATGCTATCTGCTCCATCCCTCCCCTTCAGAACCCCTGGGAACCAAGTCCAGGGATCCACAAGGCCCTGGTGCCCCATGGGGCTAAGCTCACACCCCGGCGCTCTGTTGAACCGAGCTGTGCCGCTCCCCGTCTGTACCCCCACTGTCCAGTCTTCCCGTGTCTCCTGGCCAGGTCCCTCCAAGGTATCCCCCACTCCAACCTGGGCTGGTGGGGCCCTCACTGGTGCCCCCAGCCAGGCATCTTTGTGGGGCCAGCTCAGCCTGCAGCTACCCCTGTCTCCACTTCTTCTGGCCCCTGCCCGGGACCCCCAGCACCCTTCCTCCAGGCCCTGCCCAGCCAGTGACCGCAGCATCGGCCCTGGGTACCCCTGCTCCCAGGGTCTTCCCTAATTCCTGGACCCCTTCGGACTCCACACAGCTGGGACTAGCGCCCCTGACCCTGACCCTCCACAGGACTTGGTGGGGCACACCTCCCTCCCGGCCCTGGGTCCAGCTTATTGGGGGCCGGCGGTAGCCTGAGAGGTGGATGTGAGGAAATCACCCAGTGCCGTGGGCCCCTAGCTCTGGACCGTGGAGGGCTGGGCACAGGCAAGGGCAGGCTGGAGGACCAGGACGGCCAGGTATGGGCAGCACTTTTCCCAGCGCCTGATGGGCTTCCGGTGGGGATGTGGGGTCCAGCTGCCAGGCGGGGAGGCTGGAATTCCAGCCTCTGGAATTCCTGGGCTATGGCTGTAGGATGCTGGGTACTAGGCCCAGCCTCAAGAGAGGGGAGGGAGGTCAGGGGCACCCCATCTGGCCAGTCTGTGGAAGCCAGGCAGGGGTGCAGCCCCGCTGGGGGCAGGGCTGGCTGAGGGAGCCCCCTTCTTCCCTCTTTCCACACCTTGCCACGTCTGCTCTGGGAGAGGAGGAACTGCGCAGCCTTCCCACCTGCTCGGGGCTGGAGGTGAGGCCTGGAGGACAGGAGGTGCCTGTCTGGTAAGCCTGTCCCATGCCAGCCCCATGCCAGGTCTGCCCAGGGCAGGAATGGCCACTGAGCCCAGCACGGCCAACCGGGGCCAGACCACAGGCCAGACAGGGGGTCCCGGGAGACAAGCAGCTGAAAATAGACCCTGGGAACTTGGGAGTGTCTGAGACTCAGCTGGGCCGAGAGGGAGGGGCAGGGAGGTGGGCCCTGGGGAGGCCTGAGCTGGGCGTGGCCGGCTCCGCGCTGTCCTGGCATGCATGTTGGCAGTGCAGGGCACCTGGTTGCAGAGCATCCAGGACAGGCCTGGCTGGCCTGCAGCCCCGGGAGGGCACCTCACACCTGCCCACACTCTCAGCCTGGGCATGGGGCAAGGGGAGGTGGTGGGGAGGGCTCCAAGGACAAGGAGGGGCATCTCAAGGCAAGTCCCCAAGCTGAGTCTGCAGAGGAAGGGGCTGTGGGCCCAGAGGAGCAAAATGTTCCTAGAGGGGTGGACGGTGGGATTCCTCAGGGACAGTGGGGCCCAGCCCTGCCTCCTGGGTTACCCTGGTTCCTGGAGCCCAGGCCTGGCTGCAGGCTGCCGCACCCCAGCCCCTGTGGGCTTCAGCCAGAGGGCCAGCAGGAGCAGGCCAGGGCGCAGGGATGTGTGCAGAGGGCGGGCTGAGCAGACAGAGGCGGCCTCCAAGATGCACCCGGAACACTGCAGCAGCCCCCGCCACCCCCGGGTCTAGGGCCCTCTTGCTGTCCAGGTGCAGGGTGGAATGTTCTGGGCATAGAGGCAGCCTGGGGCGAGCAGCTGCGGAGCTCCGAGTCCCTGCCCCGACCACTCTGTCCTCTGTTTGTTCCTGAAACAAATGCCACCAGCACCCTGCAGAGTGGGCTGAGAGGTACAGGGGCTGGGGTTTCCAGCCAGCCCAGTGGGCCTGAGTCAGGCTGGCCCCATGGACGAGGTCAGTGCCCTGTCCTAGGTGCATCCCCGGCCAGGTGAGAGCTGACAAAGCCTGAGGCCTAGTGACTGGGCTGGGGCTGGTCGGGGGCAGTGTGTCCCGGAAGCCGGCAGGACCCTGACCTGCTCAGATGGAGGTGGGCGTTGGGGGTGGGATGGCCTGAACACGGAGTGTGGGTGGAGAAAGGAGCTGGAAGCTGGGGTCCTGCAGCTGATGAGGGGTCCCCACCCCCAGAGCACAGGGTAGATGGGGAGCACAGGAGAAAGGGGGTCTGAGGGGCATGTCAGTCTGTGGCTGAAGTTTAGGAAGGGTTCCAGGGATCGTGTGTATGTGACTGTGTGTGTGTCTCTGTGTTATGTCTGTGTCAGTGAGGGTGTGCGTGTGTATCTGTGCATGTGTCTGTGTGTATCTGTGAGTGTGGGTGTCTGAGTTGAGTGGAAAAACTGCTGTGAGCCAACACAGAAGGCGTGGCCCCACGGCGAGGGCATCCTGCCCCCCACCCCACCCGTGACCATGGTGACAGGAAGCAACAGCAGGGAAGGCCAGGAATGGACTCATCACCCTGGTTTTCAAGGAGGGGCTCCTCCATGGGCAGGGTGGGTTGGAGTCCAGAGTGTGGGGGAAGGGACCATCCCTGGGGGCGGGTAGAGGGGAGGACAAGGACTGGGTCATTGTCCCTATCTGCCCTGGCTAATGTCCGTACATGAGCTGCAAGGTACCGGGCCAGGAGCTGGGATGGGCTGGGGAGGAGGCTTGACAGAAATATGGGCGGACAACTGCGAGAGGGACCACACACATGCTCGCGGGGACCCCAGAGACCCCTGATGGACACACCCATACGGGTATGTCCACGGGCACCAGGCACACACGTGTGCATCAGGCACTTGCCCTGCACCTCTGCACCCGGAGCACGTCATCCTGGTGGGGGTGTGGACAGCGGTGCTGGGCACCCTGGGGCTTGGGGGCAGCGCACGCCCCAGGGAAAGTGCAGTGACAGAGCCCCCGGCCTCCCCAATACTGTCCGGGCTCCCCTGGCCTCTCCCCCTTCTTGGTGCCTCTGCCTCTCCCTCTGCTTGTCTGCAGGTTTGTCCCACGATGCCCCACACTCAGTGGAGATGGCAGGTGGGCCCAGACCTCAGAGTGGGTTTCAAGGCTCATGGGCTGGAGAGTGGGGGTTCCAAGTTTGCAGGACAGGAGCGCACCCCTACTCTGGAAACCTTATCTCTGAGGTCTCAGAATGGGGGATGAGGAGGGCTCCAATGGGCCCCTGTGGAATGTCCTATCAGACCCCAGGACTTAGCCCCAGTCGGGGGACAGAACTGTGGCCTTAGAGGGGCGCCAGGAGGAGGGCAAGCAGGATGTGGCCTTGGGCTGGGTGTGCTGGTGTGGGGCTCTCTGGAGTGTGGCCTCTGTGCCAGACGCCTGTGCCTTGGCCGTCCTACAGCCCTGCTGCCCCTGCCCTCTCCCCAAGCTGGGGACTGGTGGCAGACAGGGCAGGGCAGGCGGCTTCTCTTCCTCTAAGTGCAGGCCTCGAGGTGCCGACAGGGGTGCGGTAGGATTCAGGGAAAGTGAGGTTGGGATCACAGGTGCAGTTAGGGCTCAGGGCCCGACAGCGGTAGGCCAGCGGCTCCTGGGGCCCAGGAGGATGGTCTCCAGCGCCCCCAGCGGGGACAGGGCCAGCACAGGCCCAGTGGAGATCGAGGGGAGATAAGGACGCTGGTTAACATGGCTGACAGGAGGGATGGTGGGTGGGGAGGAAGGGCAGCACCGCCCTTGTGCTGTGGGAGCTCCCAGGGAGCTCCATGCAGCATGGAGGTGAAGGGCCTGCAGAGAGAGGGCTCCCCTGCTCAGTGACAGGAGAGGGGGCTGACAGTGACCTGGGCTCCCTTCCTGAGGCTGGCCAGTCAGCTAGAGGGCTGACCCCAAAGCCCGAGGCCAGCGCAGCCCCCTTGGCCCTCCTGAATCTGGGGGGCGGGTGAGGCGGGACAGACTCCGCCTGGCACCGGGACCATCCTCCGCCTCAACTTTGCAGCGTACTTGGACCGCTCTGGCCGCCCTGGGCGCTACCCGCAGAGATAAGGGCCCCTCCCTGCGCCCGGTCCGGGCATCTCCGAGCCGGCCTGGGGGTGGCTGAACTCTCTTTTGCCGGCCGAAACCCCAGCCCCCGCAGCCCCCGCAGCCGATCGGTCCTCAAGCTACAGCTCCCCTCTCTGGGAGTCCCCGCTTTTGAATTCCCCGGGGATGTTCCCGCTGCGGTCCGATGGACCTCCCAGAGCAGCGGAGGTCAGGGGAGCTAGCAGAGGCGGGGACGTCCCTTGGGAGTGAGGGGACTGACAGGGGCGGCCTCGTAACCCTGCGTGGGATGGAAGGTCAGAGTGGGTTCCTCGGTGGGGGGCAACAGCGGGGGCTCTCCGGCAATTGTCCCCGACCCTCCGTCCTGGGGAGGGCAGGATCAGCGCGCGGGCTGCTTTGCATCTCTTTGCATTTTAGTGATGTTTGGTCCAGTCCTGGCCCGGGCAGATCTGGGGTTCGGGCGGGTGCCGGTGGGGTAGGGCTGGGGGTGGGAGCGGCGTTTCCTGCTGCGGGTGAGCCTTTTGCCTCGGAACTGGACCCGGGAGACATCACAGCGCTGGGCTAGGGGCGCGGCTTGAACTCGCCTAAAGAGCTGCGCCCTCTCAGTAAGTCCCCATGGCCCCCTGCCCCCCCGCGCTCCGTCCTCAGTCAGGCCCGGGTCCTGCCTGAAGGCGGGGGTGGACCAGATGATCTTTCTTGGGCCCTGGGCCTAGATTCGAGGTCCCCAGGGTCCAAGTCCTGGGTTCAGAGGGCGGGGCGCGAGGGGCGGGGTCTCCAAGGGGCGGGGTCCCGGGGTCCCTGAAAGGCGCGGACCAGGCCGGATCCACCCAGTCTCGCGCCTGCAGCCCGTGCCGCCCCAGCCGCTGCCGCCTGCACCGGACCCGGAGCCGTCATGCCCAAGTGTCCCAAGTGCAACAAGGAGGTGTACTTCGGTGAGCGCGCCCACACCGGCCCCGCGAGGAGGCGCCGCCGACGGGGCGACGAGGCTGGGGACCGCTCAGGAGGACCGGGGGCGCTGGGTCCCTGGGGCGGCGCCCCAGCCTGAAAACGCCTCAGCCTGGCCCGCCGCCTGCCCCGGGATGAGGGTGGAGGCCCCTGCGTCCGAGGGCCCTGGCGATCTCTGCCTGCTAGTGGTCTTGCTGTGCTCGGCGGGCTACCTCTGGCTCTGAGCCTCCCCGTCTCTGGGTCCTACGGTCTCTGCCGTTTCCTCTCAGGCGCGCCCTGAGTGGGGGACCCGCAGGGCTGGAAGGAACGCGGGGCTGGGGCCGCGCCCCCCAGCGCTAAGTGGAAACAGACGCGGAAACCGACGCCCGGGGCGCGATCCCGGGCGCCCGCCTCCCTGCCCCGCGCCCGCGCGCCCCGAGGGGAGGGAGGAAGTGGGAAGTCACCCCTGTCCCCGCCGAGAAGGGCTGTCGCAGGCTCCACCCTTGCCACCGCAGAGGCCCGGGGCTGAAAGCAGGCAGCCAGGCCCAGGCCCTGCTGACCTAAGCCGCGACCCCTGACCCTCGGCCTCGCCCTCTAGCCCCACCCAGCCTTCAGGAGCAAGATTCCCGGCCGCACCCGAAAGTGCCCCGGGGACCAGCGACCCCGCGCTTTGTTTAGTTGTATTGGCTCTGGGGATTGGAGATGTTCCCCTCATGGAGGGTGCTGAGACCTTAGGGTGGGCTGCCAGGCTGGGCGGATGCGGGCTAAGTGCACAGGGCCTTGGGCAGAGCTGGCTGCAAGAGGCGGGTACGCCAGTGGTGGGTAGGCGCCGCGTCCTGCAGCGTCTCACCGGGGCCTGTCTGTGCCTCTGCAGCCGAGAGGGTGACCTCTCTGGGCAAGGACTGGCATCGGCCCTGCCTGAAGTGCGAGAAATGTGGGAAGACGCTGACCTCTGGGGGCCACGCTGAGGTAGGTGGGACCCACCCTGGTGGCAGGGGCCAGGGGTGATGGCACCCCCTCACGGCCCTTCTCTTTGCAGCACGAAGGCAAACCCTACTGCAACCACCCCTGCTACGCAGCCATGTTTGGGCCTAAAGGTATGCTCCCGTCATCCCCACCCCACCCCACCCCACAGCCTCCTCCACCCCAGCCTGTTGACTTTTTCCACCTTCTCTGCAGGCTTTGGGCGGGGCGGAGCCGAGAGCCACACTTTCAAGTAAACCAGGTAGGTAGGACCCCACCCCCTATCCTGCCTCCTGGTTCCACCCTCGGGATGGGGATGCCCCCTCCCAGGGAGGCCTGACCACTCGTGGGCCCCAAAGGAGGCCGTGGACGCTGCACTCACGTCTGTGCCTGTCTCTCTCTGCACAGGTGGTGGAGACCCCATCCTTGGCTGCTTGCAGGGCCACTGTCCAGGCAAATGCCAGGCCTTGTCCCCAGATGCCCAGGGCTCCCTTGTTGCCCCTAATGCTCTCAGTAAACCTGAACACTTGGAAAACCTGTGTGTGTACATGCGCGTGTGTGCTGGGGAGTGCCAAGGGAGCTGCAGTGGGGTCCTGGCAGCAGGCTCTGCCACCGGCGCCTGCTCTTCTGCTGCCCATTGCCCTCCCCAGGGGGCCGTTCCAGGGTCTCATAGGCGAGGGCTCCCTGTGCAGGGTGAGTCCAGGCCACCCTAGACAGCCCGCACCCAGCCCTGGCACTCTGAGTCCGCCTCGACAACTCCCAGATCCTCAGAAGTGCCTCTGAGCCCTCCTGGCCTTCTGGGAGTGGGGAAGGGGGGCTTTGCAGGCCACCAGCCAAAGGCTCAGCAGGCCGAGAGGCCTGGGGGCGGGCGAGGCTGGCCTCGGGTCAGAGGGTGAATCAGCTCATGCTGGCTCCCTTTCTGAGAGGCTCTGGGGGAGTTATGGGAACTCCTGGCCTTCCTCCTTTCCACCCCCCAACCCTGTCCTCATTCCCCACCCCTCCAGGCCAGGCCCAGCTTCTGCAAGGGCCTGATGAGGCTGCTCTGCCCCTGACCCAGGCACCACTGCCCCATGTGCGTCCTCATCTGCCATCTACCCTGTGCCCAGGGACTTACCCAGTGGCCCGGCGTCCAGTGGGGAACTTGAGTACCGGCCGTGCACAGGGGCTGGGGGGCCTTCTGGAAACTCCCTTGTCAACTCAGCCAGCCGCTGCTGACTGGCCACCTTCAGAGACCCTCTTCCCCACACTGGCTACTTAGATACCGGCCTTGGCAGAAGGCCACCCCTCCGGACACCCACTGGTTTAAAAGAGCCCAGGGGTCTGGCCCTGCCTTAGGGCTGTGGTGGGTGTGCTGCAGGCTCAGCTCGACAGGTGCTGTGGGGGCAGTCTAGGGTGGCCCGCAGGGTGGGGTGTGTGGGGGTGATTGGGGGATTCCTGGAATTCCAAGAGCTGGGAGCCACAGCACTTTTGATGGGATGGGGGCAGGGGGTGCTGAGGTGAGGCTGGTTTCTGGCTGGACGGTGGTGGGTGGAGCTGAGGGAACTGAGATCTTTGAGACAGCGACACCTGGTGCAGAGAAAAATCCGCAAGCTCGGGGGTTGGGAGAGCGCTGAACAAGGCCGCAGAGCTGCTCCGCCATCTCCCCCACGCCTCCTGCCAAGTTCTGTGGCGCCGCGGTTCCCCACCTCCTGCTCCCATCCCCCTGGCTCCCGCCGCCCTGTAGCTCGGCAGGTGCAGTAGGCGCTCCGAGGAGGAGGCCCCTTAGCTTCAAGAAACCCGCGTGGGCGGGGTGAGGAGCGCAGTCCTCCTACTGGCGCCGTGAAGGAGATCGCGATGCGCCGGAGGGAAGGAGGCTGCGGGCGGGGAAGGACGGAGGGCGTGCGGGGAGGGAGAGGAGGGGCTTGCTGGGGGGGGGGCCCCGAGGCGGGGCCGGGAGGGCCGCCTGGAAGAGGAGGTCGGGGGCGAAGGAGGCCGAGAAGAAAGGTGGGGCCGGGACCCCTCGGGCTGCGCCTCTCGTGGGCGTGTCCAGCCAGGGCTGGGGGTCCAGGGAGGACTGAGTTTCCCTCTCCCGCCGTCCTCGCAGCCCCGGGAGGTGCAGGGGCATCGCGGGAACAGCCCCGGTGACACGCTGCCCGGGGTCTTCACGAATGCCCGGAGGCGCCGCTGGCCAGAAGCCAGCCCGACCTTCCATCCCCGCAGACAGCCCCACGTTCCTCCCGGCCCGCGTCTTTCGGGGCCGCCCGTGCAGGCGGGCCCGGCTCAGCGGCGCCCGGGCAGCAGCTGCTTCCATGCGCCGGCTTCCTCCGGGGCTGCTCCGTGGCGGCGGCAGAGGGAAGCGCTGCCGCGGGCGGGCGAGGATCGGGAGCGCCTGAGGAGGCTGCCGCGGGCTCCGGCTGCGCGTTCGGGGCGGGGGAGCTGCCCGGGACTTCGCGCCAGGGGCCAGGGGCCGGCCGCGCTGGGGTCTGCGCTGTGCGGCGCGGCGGGCTCTGGGCGCCTCCTGGCGGCCCAGCCTGGAAGGCGGCGCGATGGGGCGAGGCTCGTCCGCTCCGACTGCGTAAGCGGCCCCACAGGGCGCCTTCCGGAGTCTGCGCGCTCCCGCCCGGCGGTTGCTAGGTTGCCAAGGGGCGTGAGGCGCTGATGGGTGGGGTCTGAGCGAGGCGGGGTGTCGGGTGTCGTGACGATTGAGCCTGCAAGGGCGGACTCTGCGGTGTTCTCCATATCAACAGCCCTGCCAGGAGCCCGGAAGTGGGTCCGCACGAGACAGAATAGACTACACTCAAACTCCAGGGGAACCGTTCATTGGGCTTGGACACGAAGGCGGGACCCTGCCGACGCAGTGATTGGATGCATGTCCGGCCAGCGCGGTGATTGGGTACAGGTCTCGGGAGCGCGGTGATTGGGTACAGGTCTCGGCCAGCGCGGTGATTGGGCGCAGGTCCCAGCCGGCGCGGTGATTGGGCGCTGGACCCGGCCCGTGCCATGATTGGGCTCAGGTTCCAGCCGGAGCGGTAACTGGGCGCAGGTCCCAGCCGCCGCACTAAACCCGGCCCGTGCGGTGATTGGACGCAGGCCCCGGGCCGCGGCGGAGGCGGGCGATCCGAAAGAGGCTGGTGCTGGCTGCATGGGGAGGCGGCGGCAGCGGGTGGACCCCGCGGCTGGGGCCCGGGCCGGGGCCCTGCCTGAGGCCATCGCCGCGTTGAGTCGGTCGCTGCCCTCGGGACCCAGCCCCGAGATCTTCCGCCGCGCCAAGTTCGACCGTCCGGAGGCGGTGACGCTCTCGCGGAGGGCAGGCGGGCCGGGTGGGGTCCCGGGCCCTCGCAGGGAGTTGGGCCGGCTCCGCTGACCGCCCGCTTTTTATTTTCCGCAGACCTCCGCGCTCTGGCAGCTCCTCTTCCGTGTGCTCTCGCCACTCCCTGCGGGCAACGCCTTGGCATCGCTCGCCCTGGGTAAGCCCCGCTCCTGGCCCCGCCCACCCGGTAGCACTGGCCCCGCCTACTCCTGTAAAGCCCCGCCTTCCCCAGTAAGCCCCGCCCCGGCAGGCTCTAGCCCCCACCCAACACTGACCCCGCTTGCTCCTCAAAACTCCGCCTTCCCCGGTAAGCCACGCCCCCTGATGGGCCCTAGCTCCACCCCCTTGGGTAGCACTGGCTTCTGCTCCTACAAAGCCCTGGGGACGTCCCTGTTGGCCCCTGGTCTCCTCATCCTGGTCTGAGTTCTAGCTCTCCCACTATCATCTCTTCTGAACTAGGCCTTGAGCTTCTGCTCAAGTGACCTGTGGGGGTCTCTGGAGGGATCCAGGTGGTGTCACCTCCAGGTGGGTGGTCCCCCTAAGGTGGTGGTCTTCTGTCCTAGAGGTCCAAGCCCGCTTGGTGAAGTCAGCACTATGCTCCCAGGGCTACCCGAGGCTGGCACTGGCACAACTACCTGAGGATGGCTCGCAGGGCAGTCGGGAGCTGCTGCTGGCTCTGTCCTGGCTCTTGGCCCGAGGACCTGTGCCCGAGCAGATGCTGGCCCAGGCCCGAGTGCCTCTGGGTGACGAGATGACTGTGTGCCAGGTGCGTGTGGGTGAGGGTGAGCTGAGCCAGCCCTGGTCTCAACTCCTGGGGCCAGAGCAAGGGCAGGCCTGGGTCAGCCCCCTCTGTCTGCTTTGCTCCTCAGGGCAGTCCCATGAAGGGTTACCCAGCTGCCCAGCTGAAAGCACGGAGGCTCCCTGTGCAGGGAGCACCCGTTGTTTTTGGCTGTGCCTCCACTACCGTCTCCATCCTGGCCTTTTCTGGGGGGCAGGGTGGGGTGGGAGCAGGGCCTGACCCTTGCCCCTCTCCAGTGTGAGGCCCTGGCCAGCCCTGGCCCACCTGCACCCCACATGGAAGCAGAGGGTCCTGTGGATGTCCGCCATGTGCAGTGGCTGATGGGAAAGCTGCGGTTCCGGTGGCGCCAGCTGGTGTCCAGTCAGCAGGAGCAGTGCGCCCTCCTGAGCAAGGTAGAGCTGGCACAGGGCTTCCACTCAGGGGCTGTGTCCCGTGCTGCAGGCCGCCAGCTGCCAGTCCCTGCAGCCCGTCCCGTGAGGCCTGGCACAGGCTTTTGGCTGGATGTGGGCCTTCCTGCCCTGGCTTACCCAAAGCCTGAGCCCGTGGTTCCCGGTGGTCCTTGTAGGGGGCAGGGCTGGGCAGGGAGCCCAGTGGGGTGGGCAATGGTGGGCAGAAACGGGTGTCAGAGAGCTCACAGAATTTGCCTTTCTGTTCCCAAAAGTTACCAGTGGACTTCCAGCTCTGTGAACAGTGGGATGGGGTCTGTGCCATGAAAGCCACTCCCTCCTGGGCACTGGAGGGGGAGGAAGACAGCTCCTGTTGCCACCACATCCTGGTGGGGGCTGACTTGCGGGGTGGACAGCTCCTGTGGGGTCCTGAAGGTGGCAGGGGCTGGCTCAGGGGCACAGGTACCCAGTGGTGTGTCCACTGTGAGGCCAGCGCTGACAGGTGGGTCTGTGGCAGCGGCGGGCTCCCACCAGCGCGGGACTCCTTGGAGACCCCCCCATCCCACCCTTGCAGAGGGTCTGTTGCTCAGCTGGCCTTTCCAGGGACCTCTCACCCCGTCGGGCCTGGCCTTGGCACCAGCTGCTCCGCTTACTTATGTGCCTACCTGTGACCCTCTGTGCCACCTTCCAGCCTCCCTTTTTTGGGGAGCCTTCCCCATTTCCCTAGATCCAAGCAGTCGTTCATGTCCCCACTGTGAGCCTGGCTGAACTGCTGTGCCTGTCCAGAGGCTGTTCCTCCCCCGATGCTGCTGGGGAAGCCAGGGCACCCCACTCCAATCTTGCTGCTGCTTGGAAGCTGGGCGGGGTGGGGAGGCCATCAGTGAAATTGCCTGGCGCCCCCTTGCAGGAGACCCCAGCGGTGCTGATGGTTGTTCTGCACCCAGCCCAGCCCCGCCAACCTCAGGCAAGGAGTGGCTTTCTCTGAGCCCTCTTTCCTCATCTGGGAGGTGGGCTCTGATGGCCGACCTCCCTGGACTCATGGAGACTCAGCGTTGGGGGAGGTGCTTGACTGCCACTCAGCCTGGGGTCTGCACTACCTGTTTTAGATCCACCTGTACACACGCGGCTGCCACAGCGACCAGAGCCTTAGCCATCTGTCTGTCACTGAAGCAGAGATGCTCAGGGACCCAGAGGGAGGCCAGCAGGTGAGGGCGGGCAAGCTGCTGCGGGGGGGTGGGGGTGGGCTGGGGGGCACAGCAGGGGGACTGCCCAGGGTGGGAGGGGCCTGGGGGCGGGGCAGCTCTTGGGCCTCCAGCGGTGGGTGTCTCTGCATGTCTGCCACTGATCATTGCCAGCCTGGGTGACAGACAGCTTCTCTGGGCCTCTCCTAGCCTCATGGGCCACTCACCCTTCCCTTCCACAAATCAAGACGTGGCACGGGTGGGGGCCCAGGACGCAGGAGCCTGGGCTGGGCAGGCAGCTGGCTAAGGGCAGGCTGTTGGAATAAAGGAACACAGATCTCAGGTGTGAGCTGGTGGTGTTGGCATCTCAAGCAGGTCTCACTTGGTGTGTCAGGGGGCACCTAGGGGTGTGGGGGGCCAGCCCACACTGGGTGAAGGGTTGGGCACAGGGCTGACTGTGGGAGGGGACAACTGCCCTTCAGAACCCAAGGCCAGGCCCACATGGGGTGTGCTGGACCGAGCCTCCCAAGCTGGAGCCAGCTCCATAGGCCCTGGAGACTTGCAGTCCCGTTCTGCTTGCTACACCCGGACCACCCGGGGGCACGGCGCTTTCTAGGCAGGCCTGCCCCCGGCGACCGGGGCTCTGTGGTCCCAGGCAGATCCTGAGCCCTGGATAGCATAGACCTGGAGGAAAACCTGCCTCTGAGCCCCAGGTGGCTGTGTGACCTTGGGGAGACAGCATCCTCCTCTGACTGGGGCTGCTGGAGCACTGACCCAAGTGTTAGGGTTGACCTAGCCCCAGGCATCTTCCCCAGGGATGGCCGCTTCCTCGCACCCTGCTGCTGGCCTTCCATCCTCATCCTTCTTTCTGGGGGTCTGCCCGCCCGTCATCACTGGCTTCTTCCTCTTGGCTGGCTTGGTTTCAGGGGATAGGGCAGGGCTGGCTGCCACTCTTTTAATTTATTTTATTTATTTATTTGAGACAGAGTCTCGCTGTGTCGCCCAGGCTGGCATGCAGTGGCACAGTCTTGGCTCACTGCAACCTCCGTCTCCTGGGTTCAAGCGATTTTCCTATCTCAACCTCCTGAGTAGCTGGGACTACAGGCACCTGTCACCACGTCCGGCTAATTTTTTTGTATTTTTAGTAGAGACGGGGTTTTGCCACGTTGGCCAGGCTGGTCTCGAACTCCTGACCTCTGGTGATCCACCTGCCTCGACCTCCCAGAGTGCTGGGATTACAGGCGTGAGCCAACCACTTGGGCTGGGCTCTGTACTGTCCTGAGTGACGGGCTGGCACTGTCCTGCTCCAGGTGCATATGGCCGGGCAGGAGGGCAGAGGCTCAGGGCTGGTGTGACCTCTTCTTCCAGACCCAGTCCCCCTTCTCTGCCTCTTCCCTCTCCAATCCCAGAGACTTGGCCCCTGTACCTCATCCCAGGCCTGCCCAGGGGGACCTAGGGGTCAGAGGCGGATGGCCTGGCTCCTGGCCCCTAGTCTTGTGTCTGCTGGGGCTTCCTGCTCGTAGCAAGGGCCTGTGGGTTCCAGCTCTGCAGCCCAAGCCTGGGGGATTGCATGCCTCACTCATGGGCTTACAGGGCCCAACCCCTGACGCCTGCCTGGCCCCTGGTGCCAGCTGGACCTGTGTCCCTGGCTGAAGCCGGGCTGGCGCCCACCCAGTCAGCCTGCACTGGCGTTGGCAGTGCTGAGGCAGCATCCGGGCGTCCTGGTCTGCCCTTGTCCCTACCTGCCTTGTAGAGGCGGCTCAGCGAAGCCCAGGCTTCTGGCCCCTGGGACCCCTGGGTTGGGGCAGAGGAGAGGCTGCCCTGGCCCCAGGCTGCTCCTGCCCAGTGCCTCTGTGGGACCACCCTCTGTGGTGGGCTGGGGGGGCCTGGAAGTGAGGCCCCGCCCTCTCCCCGAAGCTGTGTGCGGCACTGGCCAGGTGGACTGGGGCCATGGCTGGCTTCCTTCCAAGGTTTCTGGAGCGGGAGCTGCCCAAAACCTGGACCTGGCCTACCCAAAGTGCCTGCACTCCTTCTGCACTCCTGGGATGGGTCCCAGAACCTTCTGGAATGATCTGTGGCTGGTATGTGAGCAGCCAGGTCTGCTGCCGGGTGACTGGGCAGCACCCTTGGATCCTGGTGGGGCCTCAGCCTGCAGCCTGCTCTCCCCTTTTAGGGCGGTAAGTCGGGGAGGCTGGCAGGGAAGTGGAGACCGCAGGACTTGGGGGTGGGTGGGAGGGGGTGGCGAGGGGGTGTGTTTGCTCCTCCTCTCCTGCCTGCTCCCACCCCTGGCCCTTACCTTCTTGGGAACTGTGGTGATTGCCTTCTGTCAGGTGTGTTGAAGCGGCCGTACCCATGGTGGAGGCCTTTGCTCTTCTTGTGGCGTGCTGGGGTGGGCAGGTGGGCTGCAGCCCCGGCACCAGCCTGCTCCAGCTCCCACACCGCCCACAGACCTCCCTGTCCTCATATTCTCTGACCGCAGGCCTGCCTGCCTCTGCTCTGCTCCGCCCCAGAGGGGCTGGGTTGGACCTGGTGTTCAAGGCCATTCCTATCTGCCCCCCAGCCCACTGCTGGAGCCCCAGGCCCCTGCAGCCTGCTCCACACTCTGGGTTCCCGGGGGAAGCAGGGGTAGAGTGGGGCAGGATTCAGGTGTAGAGGGCCTGTCCCCAGCAGGGGTCCCCTTGCCCCGGGCCCAGGGTCACTGGTACAGATAGCCCATGAGCGAACCTGGGAGGCCTTCCGTGTGTGGGCAGAGCAGCTGCTGTGTCCTGGCCATTCTCCAGCCGCCTGTCTGTGGGCACTGTGGGCAGGTACCTTTGTGCAGGGCCATGGGGCAGGCAGGGCGGGGTCTCCTGGCCCTGCCTGACCCTTCACTTGGGAATGTCAAGTGTGGCTCAGCTCTGCCTTCTCTGCCACCTGGGTCACTAGGCAGACTCCTCACTGCCTTAGGGGGTCCCTGAAGTTACAGGGGATGGGTTTTCCCTCCCCCAGAGCCTGGCTTGCTCCTTCGTTTGGGGCCTCCCCGTCCGCCTGCAGTCCCCGGATACAGCCCGCATTCAGTGAGGGCTGTGGGGCAGAGGTCTAGGCTTGAGAGGCACCTGGACCTGTCCCTGACCTTGTTGGACTGGCAGTGGGGCTGGTGTGGGGGACAGCGGATGTCCTCAGAGCCGGGGGGCAGCTCTTGCCTGGCAGGCAGGGCCTGGCCGTGCACTGGTTGGGGGCTGCCCTGCACTGCAGAAAGGACAGGTGGGCTGTGGCGTCCGCACCACACCAGGGTGCCCTGCTCATCGCTCTGGCCAGAGAACCTGGGCGCAGGCAGGGGAGGGCTGCAGGGGCGGGGCGTGAGCTAGGCGTTGGGCCGGGTGTCGGCGCTGGGTCCAGCTGTCCATCCGACTGTCTGTCCATGGGGTCCCGTGTGAGGTTCTAGGCCAGCTGCCGTTTGCCTTCCAGCTGCTGCGGACTCTGGAGCGTGAGAACCAGCGCCTGGAGGCTGTCCTGGCGTGGCGGCGCTCTGAGCTGGTCTTCTGGCGGTGGATGGTGAGGAAGCCCGCGCATCCCTCTCCCGGCATCCCTTCCCACAGCAGCCCCCAGGTGGGGCATTCGGGATCTTCCTGTTTTCCAGACAGGAAGAGGGGCTTTTAGGGAGGCCACAGACCTAGTGTAGGCTCTTTCTAGGACTTCCACTCGCCTTCTGGGGAGGCTCACTGCTGCCCCCGCCCTCAGCTCCATGGCCTTCTAGAGTGTGGCCTTTGTGCCTCCCTGGACGTCACAGTTGCTGAGATGGTGGCATCCAGCCCGCTGTGGGACCTGGGGGACTACCACTGCCCTCTTTGCCCTCTGTCCCTCTGTCCCCTTGGCTTGGTGCACGCTGTCTCACTTGGGTCTCTGTAGGACACGGTCCTGGGCACCTGTGCCCCGGAGGTGCCTGCTGCAGCCTCACAGCCCACCTTCCTGCCCTGGGTCCCCGAGCGCGGGGGTGGCGAGTTGGACCTGGTAGTGCGGGAGCTGCAGGCACTGGAGGAGGAGCTGCGGGAGGCTGCGGAGCGCAGGCGGGCGGCCTGGGAGGCCAAGGTGAGTGCCAGCCTCGCTCTGGGCACCAGCCCAGCCCCACCTTCGGGGGATGGCTGACCTGAGGGCACTTTGGACTTGCTGAATCCTACAGTTGCATTTGTCAAGCATGGCAGGGGACACACTTAGAGGCACGTACCCTGAGGGAGCGGGAGGGCACCTGGTGAGGAGCCGCAGCTGCTGCGAGACAGCCCCCGCCCCTCCTGCGGGAGGTCTGTTGTCTGATTCTTTGCATGAGGGAGGGAAGCCCGTGCTGTGTGGGCCCTGCTGCTCCCATGCGTCCGCCACACATGCATCACACGGTAGTAGTCACTCCTCCACACCTGCCTGGGACCCGTCTAACCTCCTGGTGGCCACCTGGGCCTCCACCCTAGACTCAGAGCTGCCCGCTTAACCTGCGCAGGTTCATGGCTGTGAACACGGGGCTGTGTTGGCTCCATCTATTTTCTTTTTCTGAAGAGTTTTAACTTAAATTGCAGGCATGATTTTCCCCTTAAAATTTTCAGTAAGCCTCTCTGAAGAGCATGGGCGTTTCCCGCATGCCTGCAGCGCCTGCACCTGAGTCTGGGCTCAGGGAATGCTCAGGGAGCCTGAGGCCAGTGTCCTGGGGGGACAGAGCCATTGCCATTGTGTCCCACGCAGGCTGGAGGCTGTGGACGGGGGCCAGAGTGGAGTGCCGCGCGGCGGGCCTCTCGGGAGGCTGTGGAAAAGGAGCTGGGAGCTCTACAGCAGTGCTGGGAGCGAGACGGTGGCCCGGCCCAGCCCCATGGGCCACACCGGCTGGTGAGACGAGAGGATGGGGCAGCAGGGGACCGGGACCTGCGGGCAGCTGTGGTGATCAGGACGCTGAGGAGCCAGGAGGCCTGCCTGGAGGCGGTGCTACGTCGACTACAGGGACAGTGTCGGCAGGAACTGGCCAGGCTGGTGGGAGCCCGCCCTGGTCTCATCTGGATCCCGCCACCTGGACGCTGAGGGCCTGTCGACGGGCCCTCGTGTGGGAAGCCTGCCCTGGCCCAGCCTGGCTGGGTCTTGGAGGAGCAGATTCCAAGGCCAGGTGGCCGCAGGGACGATGCAGATGCAGAGCCCACGTCACATGCTCGCTCCAGGGGTGGGGCTGGGCTGACTCTGGCCGGATCCCAGGCCTGTGGCTAGCAGCACTGGGGACAGGAATGGCTGGTCCCTTGAGGAGGTCGTGACAGGCTCAGCCTGGTGGTCTGGAGGGGACTCGGAAATAAATTGTAGCAGCTTTCCTGCCGCTGGCCCTCCCCCTGCCACCCTGTCGGGTTTCCCTGTTTGGGGGTGGGAGCGTGGAGGAGCCCCTGGGCAGTGGTGGCCAGTGTAGGGCTGGCCAGGTGCTGGAGGACATGCATACCCCAGCACTGGTGAGTGGCAGGACCACGGGGAGGTGGCACAGGCCTCCCTGGAGCGGGATTATCTCGGCCCCGCCCCCCTTCATTTGGGCTCCCGCTGTGGGCCTGGCCCTGGGCTGTGAGCACAGCTGCCCCCACCTCCGGCCAAGGCTGTGCCTGGTGGGTGCGCCGGATGGGAGCCCGGGGCTCTGCTCCTTCCCGGGAGGTGGTGCTCCGGGTGGGGAGGCACAGCATGGACAGAGGGGCTTTGTTCCAGAGGCTGCTCAGCAAGCTCAGCTCATCCCTGACAAAGAGCCATCTGTGTCCGGGGGACGTGCCTCAGCCTGGCGGAAGGAGGGTCGGCCTCATGGCACCCCCCCCGCCCCCCACCAGCAGACACAGGTGGCCCTGAGGCCTCCAGCCCTGCCTGCCTTGCCGGGCTCCCCTCTCTTCTGGGGCTGTCGGACTCTGACCTGAGGTGGGCAGACGATGGGGCTTGTGGGGCCACCTCCAGGCTCCTGCCGGCCCTGCCCCGAGGCCACGTCCATTCCCCCTGCCAGAACATGCTCTCACTGGGGCATGTGCCTGAGTGACAGCACACACCTGGGGCTCCAGCTCCAGTCTCAGCCTGTCTGGGCCTCCTTGGTCCCAGGGGTGGACACGCCTAGACCGCCTGCCTTCCCATTCCGGTGCATGGGACCCAGGAGCACCGGCAAGACCTGGCCGTGGCCAGCAAGGCCTCCCTTTCAGGAGCACCTCTCTGACCCTCTCATGCAGCTGGGCCTCCTGTGGGCCACCAGGATTTGTGCAAATGCTCCCTGGCCTGCGCCACCCTCCGGCCCCTCCGCCAGCTCCTCCTAAGGGCTCCTGCCACCTCCACCTGCTGGTTCCAGCTCTGTTCCAGGCCCTCAGACCTCAACCCTCCTCCACCTGCAGCCTCTGAAAGTCCCCCGTGCTCTCAGCAACCCTCGACTGCCGGACAGGGCTCTTCTTGGGCTGGGAGCAAGTCCACTTGAAGCCCTGCTTTTTATAAACTGCCACAGAACCAGGACTCTCACGGGCCTGGGGGACTTGATTTTTACGAGCACAAAAGCAGGCTTATTGTCATGGAGTTGTCACCTCTCGATGTGATGCGTGAATTCAGGGCAGTCCAAGTCCTGGGTGCGCGTGTGCCCCCATGATGCTGGCGGTGGAGAGGGCCTGAGAGGCCAGGGCCTGCGGGAGGGAAGCCGGCAGGGTGCCCTAGTGCTGCCCGTCATGATGGAGCAGGGATGGGACCCTGGCCTTCAGCTCTAGTTGTTATCACACATGCAGTGGCTCGAGTCGCCTGAAGTCACGCCCTCTTGTTCTGTGGGTCGGGGGTTGCCAGTCCACAGGGTTAAAGCTGGATGGGCAGGCAGGGCTGTGTGGCCCCCAGCTCAGAGCAGGCATGGAGGTCCTCACAACACTGCCTCTCTGACACTCTCCTGCCTCCCTCCCCTGCCTTCAGGAGCCCGAGTCATCCTCAAGACCCCCATCCCCTCTGTCCCCATAGACTTCCTGTCTTAAGGCCAGCTGCAGCTTTTCCCTTCTGTCTTGCGACCTGCCCCAGACCCACGGAACAGCCTGGAGGCCCACGGTGTCGGCCTGGCTGGGGCAGTAGGGCCCTGCACCCTGGACGAGCCAGCATCTGTGTAAGGACAGTGCAGTTTGCTTCCCAGGAAGACAGAGGCGAAGATGGCCTCACAGGAAACAGCAGAGGTCACCTGGCGCGTGAGACCAAGTGCGCTTACTGGAAGGTGCAATAAACTTCAACAAAACTAGAAATTTTTTTTTTTTTAAGACAGAGTCTTGCTCTTGTCACCCAGGCTGGAGTACAGTGGCGCAGTTTCGGCTCACTGCAACCTCCGCCTCCCGGGTTCAAGCGATTCTCCTGCCTCAGCCTTCTGAGTAGCTGGGATTACAGCAGTGCGCCACCATGCCCGGCCAATTTTTGTATTTTTAGTAGAGATGGGGTTTCATCGTATTGGTCAGGCTGGTCTTGAACTCCTGACCTCAGGTGATCCACCCGCCTCGGCCTCCCAAAGTGCTGGGATTACAGGCATGAACCACTGTGCCCGGCCAAAACTAATGTTTATTAAGAGGTGGTGCAGCTGGATGCAGTGGCTCATGCCTGTAATCCCAGCGCTTTGGGAGGCCTGGATGGGAGGATTGCATGAGCCTGGGAGATCAAGACCAGCCTGGGCAACATAGGGAGGCCCCACCACTACAAAAAATAAAAAAAGCAGCTGGGTGTAGTGGCATGTGCCTGTAGTCCCAGCTACATAGAAGGGAGGCCGAGACAGGAGGATCGCTTGAGCCTGGAGACCAAGGCTATGAGGCCAAGTGAGCTATGATCTTGTTACTGCACTCCAGCCTGGGCAACAGAGTGAGACCCTATATGAAAAAGAAAAAACGATTAATGAGATGGAAGTGCAGTGTCTCATACGCTTGCCTATTCTGTTCCGGCTGGCTCAGCCTTCCTGGCCTCTGCTTCCCTTTCTGCACTACTTCAGGGCTCCTTCACCTGGTCCTGGCTGACCCTGCCTTGAGGGATGAGGCTGGTTGGGACTCCGGCCAGGTCAGGATCACAACCTCTGGGGCCTGTGGTGGTCGCACCTCCCCCTGGAGCCCAGGGAATGTGTCCTACGGCCTCTGAAGTCCCGCCTTGGTTGGACAGGAGGGTTTCTCTTTTTTTTTTTTTTTTTTTTGAGACAAGATGTTGCTCTGTCACTCAGTGGCACAGTCAGCTCACTGCAGCCTCCATCTTCCAGGATCAAGTCATCCTCCCACCTCAGCCTCCTGAGTGGCTGGGACTGCAGCCTTGATCTTCCGGGATCAAGTCATCCTCCCACCTCAGCCTCCTGAGTGGCTGGGACTGCAGCCTCGATCTTCCGGGATCAACTAATCCTCCCATCTCAGCCTCCTGAGTGGCTGAGACTACAGGCGCGTGCCACCATGCCCAGCTAATTTTTGTATTTTCATTTTTAGTAGACGCAGGGTTTCACCATGCCGCCCAGGCTGGTCCCAAACTCCTGGGCTCAAGTGATCTGCCTGCCTCTACCTCCCAAAGTGCCGGGATTACAGGCGTAGGCCACCGCTCCTGGCAGGAGAGAAGTGTTTCTGAGTGGTTCCTGTTTATCTCATGGGGACCCTGACCGCTCAGTCCACACTGCCCTTGTCTACCCCATGGCCTTGGGTGTGGTTGTGGCTGGTGGCTCTGAAGTCCTGCGCCTGGGCTCAGCCTCCAGCTGTCTGTCCCTGCGTGTGAGCCTGCATTGGCTCTGCAGCCATCCCTGTCCTCAGAGTGGTCGGAGGGTGTCCTGCCCGGCCTCTCGCTGCCCTGCCTGGCTGTGCTGGGCTGGTCCCTCAGTCATTCTACCTGAAGTCACGTGGTGCCCAATATGTGCCATTCTGAGGGGCCCCATGGCCATGTCCCAGAGGGAAGAGCAAACACCATAGAGGAAAGTGCTCACAGCTGGAGGACATGGGTGCCCGCCGGGGCTCAGCCCCAAGGGGGGCACAAGCTGAGAGTAGGCAGGGCCCAGGCTTCTGCCCCCATCCGCTGGTGGGGAGGTTCTGTGGCTCAGAGGAGGTGGGTTTGGAGGACAGCTGGACTAGGTGGGTTCTGGCCCACTGGGGCACAGGATTGGCCGCTGTCTTGGTTGCGGGTGTGATGTAGGGAGCTGTGGTGGCTGGGCCCATGGTGGTTTGAGAACTGGGCAGGCTGGGGTGGGCACTGCTGCTTGGTAGCCCGGCTCTGACCTGCTCACAATCTTGGCATCTTAGTGGGTGTCAGGTGGGCAGTTGGCTGCGTGAACCTGGAATTTGGGGCTGGAGAATGGAATGTGAGAATGCAGGGTGTGGGTGGGCTCAGCCGGGGTGGGAGGCAGGGCAGGGCAGGGCAGGGCCCCAGGGTGCGGTGGGCCCGGGGCTGGTGAGGGGCCCGGGGCTGGTGAGGGGCCTGGGGCTGGTGAGGGGCCTGGGTCTGAGGCCTGAGCCTGGGCCTGCACAGTGGTAGGAAGCACAGGCAGGGCAGAGGGGATGGCTGGCAAGTGGGGGTGCGGTCAAGTTGGGGGTCTTGGTGGCCAAGTAAAGACAGTGCTTCCGGACGGAGGGGCTTATCACCTGTGCTGCTGAGGGACAGGGCCGGGGGCTGAAGATCACGCTTGGAGTGGGGGCTACACACCTGACAGAGGGGGATGAGGGGGGCCACGGAGGAGGACACCAGGGCTGTGCTCTCACCAGGTCTCCAGGGTCTTGCCATAAACTGCAGCGAAGACATAGGATGCTGGCTGCAGAGGTTTGGGCTGCAGCCTCCTAAATGTGGGGCCTGTATCTTTTTAAAATGAGCCTAGGATTTGTTGTAATCAGGGAGGGTAACACACAGACGCAGGAATGACCGTCTTGTAGGAAGAAAGTTCTTTTATCCACAGAGAGTGGGGGCTGCTCCACGCAGCTGGGTGGTCGGGGCACAGGAATGGGCAAGACGTCAGCATCAAAACTACAGAAAAAGACGCGCTTAGTGAGGTGGTACAACAGCTACCACGACCTCAGCTAATAAAAAAATGTGGGCCTTGAAGTGGGGGACCCATGGCTTGTCACGCTGGTGGGAGGCACCGGGCTTGGGGAGGCACTGGGCTGGAGGGGGCGCCGGGCTGGTGGGGGCGCCAGGCTGGAGAGGACACCCAGCTGGCGGGGGTGCCGGGCTGGTGGGGGATGTTGGGCGGGCAGAGCCCTGGGCTGGTGGGGGCGCTGGGCCGGTTGGGGTATCGGAGGGGACCGCCAGGCTGGAGGGGGGGGCGCCAGGCTGGAGGGGGCACTGGGCTGGTGGGGTGCTGGGGTGGAGGAGCTCTGGGCTGGTGGGGGCGCCTGGCTAGAGGGGACGCTGGGCTGGTGATGCCCCGGGCTGGTGGAGCCCTGGGAGGTGGGGGTGCCTGGCTGGAGGGGATGCCAGGCTGGTGGGGCCCTGGCATGAAGCTGGCATTGTGATCAGAGTGTGCTCCAGTGACTTGGAAAGCAGACACACCACTGCCAGCCCTGTAGTTTCAGGGAAGAGGGAGGAAAAGGCCTGGATGTTACTGGCGAGGGCCGTGTGCACCTGGCCCCACGTCGCCCCTAGGAGATGGGCTGGGGCGAGGCCTTGCCGGCATGAGAGCAGAACCAAAGGGCAGTAGAGAGGGAGGGAGTTCGGGGCCTTGCCTGTGGGAAAAACCTGCTGCTCCTGAGCCCAGAGTACAGGAAGTTCAAGAGCCGTTTAGCCACGAAGTCCTATTAATTTAACATCCCTCCGTTAACTGAAGGGCCAGGACCTTGCTGTGAACGTCCTCCTAGGGCGTGGCTGTCGACAGTGAGGGACAGAACTGCTAGATGAGCAGCTAGGTGGGAGGCTGCGGGGCACTGGCGAGATGCCTACTTTTTTTTTTGTTTTTTTTTGAGACAGAGTCTCGCTCTGTCGCCCAGGCTGGAGTGCAGTGGCGTGATCTCGGCTCACTGCAACCTCCACCTCCTGGGTTCAAAGGATTCTCCTGCCTCAGCCTCTTGAGTAGCTGGGACTACAGATGCGTGCCACCATGCCCGGCTGCTTTTTGTATTTTTAACAGAGACGGGATTTCACCGTGTTAGCCAGGCTGGTCTCAATCTCCTGACCTCGTGATCCGCCCGCCTCGACCTCCCAAAGTGCTGGGATTACGGGCGTGAGCCACTGTGCCTGGCCCCACTGCTGGTTTTTGATAGAATCAAGTTGCTAAAGAGACGTGAGCCTGGCTGCAGAAGGCCTGGGCCCCAGGACTGCACCAGCAGGAAGAGACTTTGGGAAAAGCCAGCCCAGGAGGGCGGACACCCTAACGCTTATCCCGAAGGAGAGGGACCAGCAGGCCCATCCCGGGAAGTAAAGCCAGCACCCTGGGCCCGTGGACGAGGGGTCTTAGCTGAGAGCGCAACGCGTGTGGGCCAGGGTCTCCTCCGAGGACGGCCTCACTGGTGCCCTTTATGGATGGGGCCTTCTACTGAGCGGCCCTGCCAGGCGTCACCCTTGTACCCGGGGGCCAGGTGGGCAGGCGGCTCTTGTCCGGCATGTAATGGAGAAACTGCAGCCCTTGCAGATCCTGGAGTGTGCAGGAACTAGTGGAATGTGGCAGCCACTGCCAGCCCCTCCCTCCAGTCACTTCTTGGGGTCTGTTTGTGACAGCAGCTGGCATTGTCCTAACTCAGGGATTCCTGCACTTTCTCAGTTCATGGCACTCTTAGTGTCCCAGTGATTCTTTACAGCACCCCTTGGGCGAAAGAAAAACCCAACAGTTCTGTTTGTTAGGGCCAAATGCCTTAGTATTTATGTCCTAACAACTTAGTAGCAGTTTTGGGGAAAAAAAAGTCATATAAATTGAAAAAAAAACCCTTAACTTAAATATTAAAAGAATTGTAATTACTTACTTATAGCATGTCTGGGTCTGTTAAGGTCTGCATGTTTTTGCAAACCTTAATTAGATTGGACATCATCATCTGGATTTCTGATCCACATTAATTTTTGCCTGGTATTTGCTTTTGCTCACAGCAACTGCTGTGAAACCAGCTTTGCAAAGAGACACCAACGCAAGGAAGGTGCAACCCACTGCTGAAACTCTGGGCTCTTTTTTTTGAGACGGAGTCTTTTTTTGAGACAGAGTCTTGCTCAGTCGCCCAGGCTGGACTGCAGTGGCGCAATCTTGGCTCACTGCAAGCTCTGCCTCCCGGGTTCACACCATTCTCCTGCCTCAGCCTCCCGAGTAGCTGGGACTACAGGCGCCCGCCACCACGCCCGGCTAATTTTTTTTTTGTATTTTTAGTAAAGTCAGGGTTTCACCATGTTAGCCAGGGTGGTCTCGATCTCGTGACCTCATGATCCGCCCGCCTCGGCCTCCTAAAGTGCTGGGATTACAGGCATGAGCCACTGCGCCTGGCTGAGACGGAGTCCTTGCTCTTGTCCCCCAAGCTGGAGTGCAGTGGCGCGATCTCAGCTCACTGCAACCTCTACCTCCCGGGTTCAAAGGATTCTCTTGCCTCAGCCTCCCAAGTAGCTGGGACTACAGGCGTGGGCCACCATGCCCGGCTAATTTTTGTGTGTGTGTGATTTTAGTAGAGACGGGGTTTCACCATGTTGGCCAGGCTGGTGTCGAACTCCTGACCTTAGGTGATCTGCCTGCCTCGGCCTCTCAAAGTGCTGGGATTACAGGCGTGAGCCACTGCGCCCGGCCTGGGCTCTCTTGAATTTTTCATGAGGTAACGGATGTGTTGTGTATCCCTGCATTTCCCTCAGAACCTTAAAATACTTTGTAGTGGCCCCGAAAACTTTTGATGGCACCCTGGGGTGACTCAGTTTGGGAACTCTCGTCCTAACTTTCCTGTGATTTCTTTTTTTTGAGACAGAGTCTCACTCTGTTGCCCAGGCTGAACTGCAATGGCACGATCTTGGCTCACTGCAACCTCCGACTTCTGGGTTCAAGTGATTCTCCTGCCTCAGCCTCCCCAGTAGCTGGGATTACAGGCACCCGCCATCATGCCTGGCTAATTTTTGTATTTTTGTAGAGATGGGGTTTCACCATGTTGGCCAGGCTGACCTCAAGTGATCCACCCGCCTCTGCCTCCCAAAATGTTGGGATTACAAGCATGAGCCACCGCACCTGGCTTCATAATTTCTTTCCACTTAGTGTTGTTGTGTTTTTTGTTTGTTTGTTTGTTTTTTTGAGACGGAGTCTCGCTCTGTCACCCAGGCTGGAGTGCAGTGTCGCGATCTCGGCTCACTGTGAGCTCCAACTGCCGGGGTCACGCCATTCTCCTGCCTCAGGCTCCCGAGTAGCTGGGACTACAGGCGCCCACCACCACGCCCGGCTAATTTTTTGTATTTTTAGTAGAGACGGGGTTTCACCGTGTTAGCCAGGATGGAATGTTGTTGTGTTTTAAGCTCCATCCTCTAAGGTGCGCCTGCAGCGACTCACTGCTTCCAACTCCCGCACACGTCCAGTGGGGAGCATTTAGGCAACTACCCACCCACTCTCCACAGACAGGTACCTGGCTGCCCCCCGCTCCCTGCCACACAAAAGACGCAGCTCTCAGGTGGGCCCAAGGGATCAGGCCACAGAAAAGGAGGGCTTGTGGTCCTTCCCTTGGTCGGGGACGTGCCGTGACTCCCCGAGTGGCCTTTCTGGCCCGTACTCCTGTCTGGCTCCTACCTCCTGGGTCCCGGCCCTCCCTCCCTCAGCGTTTTCTAGCGTTTGCGGGTTTGCCAGCAGAGCGTCAGGTGGTCTCTGCGTCTAATTTCCATCTCTCTGAGTATTGACCGTGAGCATCTTTCACACACTTGCTTCGTTTCTGGGTTTCCTCTTCTGTGAGCTGCCTGGTCATACCCTTTGATCGTTTTTCTTTTGGGACCTGCTGTCTTTTACAAATTGAGTGGCAGGAACTCCTTGAAAATTCAAGATAGGGATCTCTCAGTGGTTTTACACACTATAAATAGCTTCTCCCATTCTGTCGTCTGGTTAAAGATTTGCCTATGGTTACCCAGAAAATTTTAACTTTGCTATAATCAAATTCGTCTTTTTTTTTTTTTGACTCTTGGTTTCACCTTAGCATTTTGTGAAAACGAGCTTCCCTCTCCCAGTCCTCCTTCTCCCAGTTTCCTTCTGTCACTTCTCCCTGTAGCACTTAGGTCTTCCGTTCGTCCACAGCCCACCTCCGCAGGTGCTCTCATGTCGAAACCAGTTTTTCTCCATAGGGTGAGCCGCTTCCCAAGACCATCTCCTGGGAGCTCTGCCCTCCTCACAGTCCACGCTGTCGCTGTCATCCACATCGGCTCCTGTCCGTGCAGGGGTCTTGCCCCGACCTCCCTTCTGATCCAGCAGGCTGTTCCTCACCAATACCACATGGCGTGATTACCCTGCATGTCATCAGGGTTCAAGCAGAGTAGCCGAGCCGGTGGGGGCTGTGATACATAGGAAGGGTGGGGTGCGTGTGAGGCTGGCATGGGGGAGGCTGCGATTGTCGGGGTTTACCTTTGCCGTCTTGCTGACGCACACTCAGCAGCCCTGGTGACAGTGGGCGTCCTTGTTCTCAGTCTCAGAGGGCAGGTGTCTAAAGTTTGTCCATGAAGTATGACACTTGCTGGGTGCTTTGGCCACATAACTTTTTTTTTTATTTTATTTTGAGATAAGGTCTCCTGTTGCCTAGGCTGGAGTGCAGTGGCCCAATCACAGCCCACTGCAGCCTCTGCCTCCCAGGCTCAAGGGATCTTCCCAACTCAGCCTCCTGAGTAGCTGGGACTACAGGTGTGCACCACCTCACCCAGCTAATTTTTGTATTTTTTTGTAGAGACTGGGGAGGCGGGTCTCACCACGTTGCCCAGGCTGGTCTCGAACTCCTGGGCTCAACTGGTCCTCTTGCCTCGGCGTCCCAAAGTGCTGGGATTGTAGGCATGAGCCACTGTGCCCAGCCAATGAGTTTTGACTCTCTTTTTTTTCCACGTGAAAAGGGTCCGAGTACCACTTGTGGAAAAGACCCTGCTCTCCTGCCACCCTGTGTGCCGCTTGGTACCGCCCTGGTGTCCATCTTCGTCTTGGGTCTTCCTTCTTTCCCTTTGGGAAGCCCACATGGTGTTCATGACTCCAGCCGTCTCTCGGGCTCCATGTAGGGCAGGGAGGGTGTGTTGTCCACTCTCGCCTATGTCGGGAGCCCTGGGACTCTTCTCGACGCCTCATATTTCATAGACATTGTAGAATCCGTTTGTCGAATATTAGGCAAAGAACTATTGGGATTTTACTTGGGATGACGTGGAATCCATAGATCAGTTTGAGAACTGATGTCTTTAGAATGTTAATGCTGGCTCTTCTGCCTTACAAACACACTTCTCCGTGGGTTAGGTGTTCATTAATGTTTTATAGTTTCCTGGATATAGGTATTATACTTCTTTTGTTAGATTTGTTTCTCAGTATTTGGTCTTTTTGAAATATTGTAAGATATATATATATATCTTATATATAGATATCTCATATATATACACACACACACACCCACACCCATTTCATATTTACATTTCATTTTCTAACTCTGTTGAAAATTGTAGAAACCCGAAACTGATTTCTGCATTTTGACCTGGTTTAGCGAGTCTTGCTAAACTCACTTATTAATACTAAAAAATTTATCTCTGGATTTTTTTTTTTTTTTATGAGACAGGGTCTCACTCCGTCACCCAGGCTGGAGTGCAGTGGTGTGATCTCAGCTGACTGTAACCTCTGCCTCCGCTTCCCAGGTTCAAGCGATTCTCATGCCTCAGCCTCCTGAGAAGCTGGGACTATAGGCACCCACCACCACGCCCAGCTAATTTTTGTAAATTTTGTATTTTTTGCTAGAGATGGGGTTTCACCATGTTGTCCAGGTTGGTCTCAAACTCTTGACCTCAAGTGATCTGCCCGCCTCGGCCTCCCAAAGAGCCACCGTGCCCAGCCTAGATTTTAAAAGACTTTTCTAAGTACACAATTATATCACTTGCAAAAACTAATCGTAGGTTAGGCTGGGCATAGTGGCTCATGCCTGTAATCCCAGCACTTTGGGAAGCCAAGGTGGGAGGATCACTTGAGGCCAGGAGTTTGAGACCAGCCCAGACAACACTGTTACACACCGTATCTACAAAAAATTTAAAAATTAACAGGATGTGGTGGTGTGCACCTGTATTCCCAGCTACTCTGGAGGCTGAGGCAGGAGGATTGTCAGAGCCTGTAAGGTTGAGACTGCAGTGAGCCATGATCATGCCACTGCACTCCACCTTGCACAGAGCAAGACCCTCTCTTTAAAAACAAACAAAAAAGACCAGTCACGATGGCTCACACCTGTAATCCCAGCACTTTGCGAGGCTGAGGCAGGTGGCTCACGTGAGGTCAGGAGTTTGAGACCAGCCTGGCCAACATGGTGAAACTCCATCTCTACTAAAAATACAAAAAAAAAAAAAAATTAGCTGGGTGTGGTGGCGGGTGCCTGTAATCTCACCTACTAGGGAGGCTGAGGCAGGAGAATCACTGGAACCCGGGAGGCAGAGGTTGCAGTGAGCCAAGATCGCGCCACTGTACTCCAGTCTGGGCAACAGTGCGAGACTCTGTCTCAAAAAACCAAACCAAACCAAAACAAAACAAAACAGACAAACAAACTAATGATAGTTTCATTTTAAACATCTCCAAATCTTTTTTTTTTTTTTTTTTTTTGAGACAGAGTCTTGCTCTGTTGCCCAGGCTGGAGTGCAGTGGCGTGATCTCGGCTTACTGCAACCTCCGCCTCCCAGGTTCAAACCATTCTCCTGCCTCAGCCTCCTGAGCAGCTGGGACTACAGGCACGCTCCACCACACCCACCTAATTTTTGTATTTTTAAAAGACACGGGGTTTCTCTGTGTTAGCCAGGATGGTCTCGATCTCCTGACCTCGTGATCTGCCCGCCTCGACCTCCCAAAGTGTTGGGATTACAGGCGTGAGCCACCATGCCCAGCTTAAAATCCCCCATTCTTATTTCTTTTTCTTGCTTCCTGAAAGAAGCACCCTGTTTTCCTGGTGTTTCTAGTAGGGGCTGAGCAGCCCAGGCGGCTGCAGCGTCTCTGTCTGCTTCTGGCTGGAAGAGAGTGTTCTAGTTCTGCACTACGAAGATTGCTGTTTGCAAAGCAGATTCCTGTAGATGTACTTAATTAGATTAAGGAGAGCTCCCTTCCATTCTCCGTCTACTGAGAGCTGTTTTAGGAAGTCATGAACAGCTATTGAATCTACTAAATGCCTTTTTTGCACCTACTGATATGGTCATTTTTTTCTTTAATCTGTTAATGTGAAGACTTACATTTATTGATTTTAGAAAACCTTTTATTAAAAAATCATTTCAAATAAAAAAATTACAGTAGTGGCTGGGCGCCGTGGCTCACGCCTGTAATCTCAGCAGTTTGGGAGGCCGAGGCAGGTGGATCATCTGAGGTCAGGAGTTCGAGACCAGCCTGACCAACATGGTGAAACCCTGCCTCTTCTAAAAATACAAAAATTAGCTGAACATGGTGAATCCCTGCCTCTTCTAAAAATACAAAAATTAGCTGGACATGGTGGTGGGTGCCTGTAATCCCATTTACTCGGGAGCTGGAGGCTGAGGCAAGAGAATTGCTTCAACCTGGGAGGCGAAGATTGCAGTGAGCCAAGATTGCACCACTGCACTCTGGGTCTGGGCGACAGAGTGACACCCTGTCACAAAAACAAACAAACAAAACAAAAAGAAAAAACAAACAACAAAAATACTACAGTGGTACCATAGCTCCTATATGTCTTCACACAGATTCCTCAATTGTTAACATTTCACCTGACCATTCTCTACACACACACACACACACACACACACACACACACACGCGTGTGATGGACGTATGGGAATGGAGCTGTGTCAGCCTCAGGGCATTCGCTCAGGAGGGTGTGGCTCTCTGGGCCCTGCTGCGGGTGCCACCCACCTCTCTCCCTTAGTCAGAGTGGCAACCGCTCGCTCCTCCACCGTGAGGTTAATGTGAAATGTGTTGCTAACTACGGCATAATTCCTGAGTATTGTATGAGGGTGATGCTCCAATGCGATGTCAGTGTCCTGGTCCAATTCCCACGGGCGCCCTCCGCGGGGCGCCCCGAGACTCCCACCCGACCGGGTGTCCTGGTCCTAATCCCATGCTCACCCTCTGAGGGGCACCCTGAGACTCTGGCCCAACTAGGTGAGGACTGTGATGTGGCTGAAGGGCGGAGTCCACTTCCCTTCTGGATGCCTCAGTGAGCCTGCTGCCAGCTGCAGCTTTCCCTCCCTCTGCTTATTCACATCAGCTTGGACTTGTGTGTGCCTATTTTACTCAGAGGGTTATGATGCATTATTCTCATTATTTATGTGATGCTCACATAGTCCCGGAGGCAGCCAGTGCAGCCCTACAGCTGGGTCTGGTGACTTTGTAGTGTGTCCTGCCATTCTATCTTTAAAGATTTTTTGGAGACAGGGTCTCACTCTGTCACCCAGGCTGGAGTGAAGTGGTGCAATCATGGCTCACTGCAGCCTCGACCTCCCTGGGCTCAAGCGATCCTCCCACCTCAGCCTCTCGAGTAGCTGAGACTACAGGTGTGTGCCACCATGCCCAGCTAATTTTTTTCTATTTTTTTTGGAGATGGGGGGGAGGTCTCGTTATGTTGCCCAGGCTGGGCTCCAGTAATCCCAAAATGTTGGGATTACAGGCATGAGCCACCACACCTGGCCATGTCTCTGTCTTATAAGGACAGTTGTCATTGGATATAGGGTCCACTCGATAATGCAGGATGATCTCCTGCTCTCGAGATCCTTAATCACATCTGCCAAGACTCTTATTCCAAATAAGGGTGCATTCCCGGGCTCTGGGGGTTAGGATGTGGACGCGTATTTAGGGGTCACCTTCAGCCAAGGGCCAGCAGTCTGTCTGCTGTGTCCAAGGCACAGCTTTCCAGCTGGCTTTTTCCTCGTGTTGCCCAAGCCCTCCCCTTTTCCTTTCTTTGGGGCTGAGCTTTCAATAGCACACCTAGCATGGGCAGAGGAGGCATTCGGAATGGAACAATAAATAGGGAGATTGAGGATGAGGGAGCGAGACTCTGACTGTAAGTGGTGGTTACACATCAGGAAAGTGGGGATTTAGGAATAAGCCCTGTGGACTGGCATGAACTTGTGGTTAAATCATTGACGGCCTGGGAGAGGGATGGGTGTGGAAACACAGGTGTGCGCATGCCTGCAAAGACAGCCTGAGCGGCGGCAGCCGGGCAGCAGTGAGCACGTCCAGCACCCAGGGTCAGCTGGTCTCAAACTCCTGACCTCAAGTGTTCCCCCTGCCTCGGCCTCCCAAAGTGCTGGGATTACAGGCGTGAGCCACCGTGCCTGGCCTGTTCTCTTATTTTCAACCTTTCTGTATATGTATTGTAAATGTAAGTTGCAGAAACAGAATATATTTGTCTTATGATGGACTCTTCTAATTGATTTATAATCACTAATCTATTTGGGTTTAAATCTACCATCTTACTAGGAACCTCCACATAACCCATAACCTCACACAACTATCAACTCCTAGCCATCTAATAGGTGTGCACGGGAACCTCATCACTGTTTAAATCTGCATGGAACTCCTCATGTGCCGATTTGCATCCATGTATCCTGTTTGGTGAAATGTCTGTTCAAGTCCTTTGCCGATTTTTAGATTATTGTATTTACTGCAGATTTTTTTTTTATTTTTTATTTTTAGAGACAGGGTTTTGTTCTGTCTCCCAGGGTGGAATGCAGTGGCATCAACATAGCTCACTGCAGCCTCGAACTCCTGGCCTCAAGTGATCCTCCTGACTCGGCCTTCCAAAGCACTGAGATTACAGGCATGAGCCACTGTGCTTGGCCTTATTGCCGATGTTAAGAGTTAAAAAAATATGTAGGCTGGGCATGGTGGTTCACACCGTAATCCCAGCACTTCGGAAGGCTAAGGCGGGCAGATCACGAGGTCAGGAGTTTGAGACCAGCTTGGCCAACATGGAGAAATCCCATCTCTACAAAAGATACAAAAAATTAGCCAGGCGTGGTGGCGTGCTTCTGTAATCCCAGCTACTCGTGAAGCAGAGGCAGGAGAATTGCTTGAACTGGGGAGGTGGAGGTTGCTGTGAGCCAAGATTGCGCCGTTGCACTCTCTCCTGGGTGACAGGGTGAGACTCTGTCTCTAAAAAAAAAAAAAAAAAAAAGTAAAAAACTAACAGGTGCTGGTGAAGTTGTGGAGAAAAAGGAACACTTATATACTGTTGGTGGGAGTGTAAATTAGTTCAACCATTGTGGAAAACAATGTGGTGATTCCTCCAAGACCTAAAAACAGAACTCCCATTCTATCCAGAAAATCCCGTTACTAGATATATACCCAAAGGAATATAAATTGTAATATCATAAAGACACATGCACCGCTATTCACGATAGCAAACTCATAGAATCAACCTGAATGCCCATCAATGATAGACTGGATGGAAAATGTGATACATATACACTATGGAATACTATGAAGCCATAAAAAAGAATGAGATCATGTCCTTTGCAGGAACGTGGATGGAGCTGAGGGCCATTATCCTTAGCAAGCTAATGCAGGAACAGAAACCCAAATTCATGTTCTCACCTGTAAGTGGGAGCTAAATGATGAGAACATATGGACACATAGAGGGGAACAACTGACACTGGCCTATTGGAGGGTGGAGAGTTGGAGGAGGGAGAGGATCAGGTAAAATAACTAATGAGTACAAAGGCTTAGTACCTGGGTGATGAAATAATCTGTACAACAACCCCCTATGACACAAGTTAACCTATATAACAAACCTGCACATGTACTCCTGAACATAAAATAAAAGTTAAATATATAAATATGTACATTAGATGTTAATATACATTACACATTATATATATATATATTCTGCAAACAAGTCTTTTGTTTGATACATGATTTATAAGTTGATATGGTTTGGCAGTGTCCCCACCCAAATCTCATCTTGAATTGTAGTTCCCATAATCCCCACCTGTTGTGGGAGGGACCCAGTGTGAGGTAACTGAATCATGGGGGTGGTTACCCCCATGCTACTCTTCTCTTGGTAGTGAGTGAGTTCTCACGAGATCTGATGGTTTTACAAAGGGCTTTTCACCCTTTGTTCAGCACTTTTTTCTCCTGATGCCATGTGAAGAAGGACGTGTTGCTTCCCCTTCCGCCATGATTCTAAGTCTCCTGACGCCTCCCCAGGCATGTGGAACTGTGAGTCAATTAAACCTTTTTCTTTTATAAATTACCCAGTCTTGGTTACTTCTTTTTTTTTTTTTTTGAGATGGAGTTTCGCTCTTATTGCCCAGGCTGGAGTGCAATGGCATGATCTTGGCTCACCGCAATCTCTGCCTCCCTGGTTCAAGTGATTCCTCTGCCTCAGTCTCCTGAGTAGCTGGGATTACAGGCCCCTGCCACCATGCCCAGCTTATTTTTGTATTTTTTAGTAGAGACAGGGTCTCACCATGTTGGCCAGGCTGGTCTTGAACTCCTGACCTCGGGTGATTCACCCACTTCAGCCTCCCAAAGTCCTGGGGATTACAGGCGTGAGCCACTGCACCTGGGCTCAGTCTTGGGTATTTCTTCATAGCAGCATGAGTACGGACTAATACACAAATACTTTCTCCCAGTATATAATTTGTCTTTTCATCCTCTTAACAGTGACTTTTACATAGAAAAAAAGGTTTAAATTTTGATGAAATCCAATTTATCAATTTATCTTTTATGGATTGAGCTTTTGTTGTTGTGTCTAAGAATATTTTTAGCCTTGGCCCAGGTTGTGAAAATTTTTTCTGTTTTTTTCTTCTAAAGGTTTTGTAGCTTTACACTTGACATTTAGACCTGTGATCATCTTGAGTTAATTTTTGCATAAGGAATGAAGGTCTAGGTTGAGGATCCTTTCTTTTTTCCCACACACGTGTCTAATTTGGTGAAAATACTATCTTTCCAATGTCGAATCACTTTTGCACTTTAGTTAAAAATTAATTACCACTTTCGAAAAGCTAGGAATAGAAGGGAACTTCCTTAATCTGATGAAAGAGATCTGCTAGGCCCCACAGCTAACATTCTCCTTAATGGTAAAAGGCAGGATGCTCTTCCCCTGGGATCAAAAACAAGACAAGGATATCTACTGTCACCACTTTTATTCAACATTGTACTGGAGGCTCTAGTCAAGGCAATTTGGCAAGATAAAGAAATAAAAGACATCTAGATCAGAAAGGAAGAAGTAAAACTTCTCTGTCTGGGGATGATATAATACTATATATAGGAAATCCTCAGAAATGAACTAAAAATATTAGCACTAATAAAGAAATTCAGCAAGGTTGCAGAATCTTGTGATCGATGTGCAGAAAATCCACTTATTTCTATGCACTAGCCACAAGCAACTGAAATAAAGTAAAAAAATCCATTTATAGCAGAGTCGAAAAGAATTAAACGCTTAGAAATAAATTTTACAAAAGAAGTGTAAAACGTTGGCAACGCGTGGTGTATTTTTCTATGCAAAAAAAAAAAAAAACAAACAAAAAACCAGACTGTAAAACACGTGTTTTGAAGACGACAAAACATTGTTGAAAGAAATTAAAGAAGACCGAACTAAAGTAAATGTAAAGACATCCTATGTTAATCACAAACTGACCTGCAGACTCAGTGCAATCCCTAGTATCAAAACCGCACACGGCTTCTTTGTTTGTTGTTGCAGAAATTGACAAGCTGATTCTGAAATTCATAGGGAAATGCAAGGGATCCAGGGCGGACTAAACAGTCTTTTGTTTTGTTTTGTTTTGAGATGGAGTCTGGCTCTGTCACCCAGGCTGGAGTGCAGTGGCGAGATCTCAGCTCACCTCAACCTCTGCCTCCTGGGTTCAAGCTATTCTCATGCCTCAGCCTCCCAAGTAGCTGGGATTACAGGACCCACCACCACACTCAACTCATTTTTCTATTTTTAGTAGAGATGGGGTTTCACCATGTTGGCCAGGCTGGTCTCGAACTCCTGGCCTCAAGTGATCCACCCGCCTCGGCCTCCCAAAGTGCTGAGATTACAGGCGTGAGCTACCACGCCTGGCCCCAAAACAGTCTTGAAGAAAACAGTTGGAGTATCCACACTTCCCAATGTCAACACTTATTACAAAGCCGCAGAAATCAAGATAATGAGGGGCTCACAGAAGGACAGACTTACAGATTACTGGAACAGAGTGGAGAATCCAGAAATAAACCTTTACGTTTTTATGGCCAGTCAATTTTTGAAAAGGATGTCAAGACCATTAAATGGGAAAGAATCGTCTTTTTAACAAATGGTGCTGGGAGCACTGGATATGCCTAAGCAGGAAGCTAGACCCTGTGTCTGTGCCCCAGGGCTGCCCTAACAAAGCACTGCAAACGGGACAGCGTCAACCACAGGAATTCCTTCTCCCACGCTCTGGAAGCTAGAAGCCCAAGATCAAGGTGTCTGCAGGACTGGTGTTGCTGAAACTGACCCAATAGTCCTACAGACTGTTCTTTTTGAAAACACAGAAATGGACCCTTCTGGTCTTAAAGCTTGAAACTTTTGTTTTATCTGAATTTCTTCCTCAGCAAAGGACCTTCAGGCCTCTCAGAAAAGTATCAAAGAACTGAAACTACCCAGACCAAGGCACAGATGCTGGACCCCTCATTCATCATGATTGCTTCCTTGCCTGACATGGTTTGGCTGTGTCCTCACCCAAATCTCAACTTGAATTGTATCTCCCAGAATTCCCACGTGTTGTGGGAGGGAACCAGGGGGAGATAATTGAATCATGGGGGCCAGTCTTTCCCGTGCTATTCTCTTGATAGTGAATAAGTCTCATGAGATCTGATGGTTTATTAGGGGTTTCTGCTTTTGCTTCTCTCTCATTTTCTCTTGCCGCTGCCATGTAAGAAGTGCCTCTCACCTCCTGCCATGATTCTGAGAACTCCCCAGCCATGTGGAACTGTAAGTCCAATGAAATCTTTTTTTGTTCCCAGTTTGGGGTAGATCTTTATCAGCAGCATGAAAACGAGTAATACATTGCACCTCTCTAGTTCTTGTTTTCTTACACGTTGTTACATTTCTTCCCCTGCTATATAAACCCCTGGTTTTAGTGAGTCAGGAGATGGATTTGGGACTGAGCTCCCATCTCCTCTGCTCAGCACCCAATTAAAGCCTTCTTCCTTGGCCATACTTGGCATCTCAGTGATTGGCTTTCTTTGCAGCAAGCAGCAGGACCTGGAATGAAACCCTGGTGTTTCAGTAACCTTGCCAGCAACTCTCAGCTTGCAGCTGCCTCCCTCCAACCTCTGTCCCTGTCCTCATACAGTCTTCTTTCCTCTCTCCTTATAAGGACACAGACATTGGATGTAGGCCCACCCTAATCCAGTGTGATCTCAACTTAACTAGATGATACCTACAAAGATCCTATTTCCAAATAAGGTCACGTTGGCAGGTATCAGGGTAGGACTGAAACATATCTTTCTGGGAGCCATGATTTAGCCCATAGCAGATCCCTTCCTTAAAACAGACATAAAATGTAACTAAAAATGCATCATACACCTAAATGTAAAACCTAAAACTATAACACTTCTAGAAGAAAACAGAGGAGAAAATCTTTGTGACCTTGGATTATGCAAAAGCTTCTTAGGACACAGAAAAGCACAAGCAACAAAATAAAAGATAGATAAATCGGGTTTAATTAAAATTAGAGGTTTCTGGCCGGGCACAGTGGCTCGTGCCTGTAATCCCAGCACTTTGGGAGACTGAGGTGGGCAGATCACGAAGTCAGGAGTTCGAGACCAGACTCGCCAACATGGTGAAGCCATATCTCTACTAAAAATAGGAAAAGTTAGCCGAGTGTGGTGGTGTGCACCTGTAATCCCAGCTATTCGGGAAGCTGAGGCAGGATAATTGCTTGAACTTGGGAAGTGGAGGTTGCAGTGAGCTGAGATCACACCACTGTACTCCAGCCTGGGCAATAAAGCGAGACTGTCTCAAAAAAAAAAAAAAGTTTCTGTGCTTTGGGACTCCATAAAAAACGTTGGGTGGGTAAGGATCACGCCTGTAATACCAGCACTTTGCGAGGTCAAGGTGGGAGGATCAATTGAGCCCACGCGTTCAAGGCCAGCCTGGGAAACGAGAGTAGCAAGACCATGTCTCTACAAAAAATTAAAAAATTAGCCAGCCATGGTGGTGCGCACCTGTAGTTCCAGCTACTCAGGAGGTTGAGGTGGGAAGGTCACTTGAGCCTGGGAGATCAAGGCCCTGGTGAGCTGTCATTGTGCCACTGCACTCCAGCCTGAGCGACAGAGAGAGACCCTGTCTCAAAAAAAAAGTTGAGGCTGGGCGTGGTGGCTCACGCCTGTAATCCCAGCACTTTCGGGGGCTTTGGCACATGGATCACTTTGGGGGGCTTAGGCACATGGATCGTCTGAGGTCAGGAGTTTGAGACCAGCCTGGCCAACATGGTGAAACTCCGTCTCTACTAAAATTACAAAAATTAGCTGGGCGTGGTGGCACGTGACTGTAATTCCAGCTACTCAGGAGGCCGAGGCAGGAGAATCACTTGAATACAGGAGGCGGAGGTTGCAGTAAGCCGAGATCTCACCACTGCACTCCAGCCTGGGTGACAGAGCAAGACTCTGTCTCAAAAAAAAAAAAAAAAAAGAAAAGAAAACAAAATGGCCAAGCACAGTGGCTCATGCCTGTAATCCTAGCACTTTGGGAGGCTGAGGTGGGCAGATTGCTTGAGCTCAGGCGTTCAAGACCAGCCTGGGCAACATGGTGAAACCCCATCTCTACTAAAAACACAAAAAATTAGCTGGGTGTGGTGGCGTGTGACTGTATTCCCAGCTACTTGGGAGGCTGAGGCACGAGAATTGCTTGAACCTCGGAAGCAGAGGTTGTAGTGAGCTGAGATTGTGCTACAGCACTCCAGCCTGGGTGACAGAGCACGACTCTGTCTCAAAAAAAAAAAAAAAAAAAAAAAGTTGAAAAGACAACTCAGAAAATGGGAGAAAGTATTTGCAAATCACATATCTGATAAGAGAATTGTATCCAGAATATATAAGGAACTCTTAGAGTGGAACAGTAAAAGGATAAATAACCCAATGGAAAAACGTGCGAAGGATTTGAACAGACATTTCTCCAAAGGAGATATGCAAATGGCCACTAAACACACGACCAGTGCCTGGTGTCCTTAGCCATCAGGGACATGCAAATCAGAGGCACAGTGAGGCAACATTTCACACCTGCCACGATGGCTATGATTAAACATGTTGATAATAACAAGTGCTGGCAAGGGTGTGAAGAAATTGGAATCCTCACATATTGCTGATGGAAACGTAAAATGATCTGAAAAAGAGTCGACGCTTCCCCAAAATGTTAAACACAGAGTTACCGTATGACCCGGCCATTCCACCCCTCGACGGACACCTAAGAGAAATAAACACAGGTCCACATAAGAGTTTGTACTGAAGTGTTCATAGCCACATCCATAATGGCCAAAAGGTGGAAACAAAGCCAAAAGATGTCCATCAACTGATAAAGAGATAATAAGAGCATGGAATATTATTTGGCAATAAAAAGGAAGGAAGTAGTGATGCATGCTGCAACATGAATGCGCCTTGAACACATTTAGCAAAATAAGCCAGTCACAGATGACCGCATATGGTATGGTCCCATTTATATGAAACGTCCAGAAAAGGCAAATCTGTGGAGACAGAAAGTAGATTATTGGTTGCCAGGGGCTGGGAAAACTGGGGAGAAATTGGGTGTGAAAGGGGGGCGAATGCTACTGGCTCTGGGTGGGTGTGAAAGGGGGGCGAATGCTACTGGCTCTGGGTGGGTGTGAAAGGGGGGCGAATGCTACTGGCTCTGGGTGGGTGTGAAAGGGGGCGAATGCTACTGGCTCTGGGTGGGTGTGAAAGGGGGGCGAATGCTACTGGCTCTGGGTGGGTGTGAAAGGGGGCGAATGCTACTGGCTCTGGGTGGGTGTGAAAGGGGGGCGAATGCTACTGGCTCTGGGTGGGTGTGAAAGGGGGCGAATGCTACTGGCTCTGGGTGGGTGTGAAAGGGGGCGAATGCTACTGGCTCTGGGTGGGTGTGAAAGGGGGGCGAATGCTACTGGCTCTGGGTGGGTGTGAAAGGGGGGCGAATGCTACTGGGTCTGGGTGGGTGTGAAAGGGGGCGAATGCTACTGGGTCTGGGTGGGTGTGAAAGGGGGGCGAATGCTACTGGGTCTGGGTGGGTGTGAAAGGGGGGCGAATGCTACTGGGTCTGGGTGGGTGTGAAAGGGGGCGAATGCTACTGGCTCTGGGTGGGTGTGAAAGGGGGCGAATGCTACTGGGTCTGGGTGGGTGTGAAAGGGGGCGAATGCTACTGGCTCTGGGTGGGTGTGAAAGGGGGGCGAATGCTACTGGCTCTGGGTGGGTGTGAAAGGGGGGCGAATGCTACTGGCTCTGGGTGGGTGTGAAAGGGGGGCGAATGCTACTGGCTCTGGGTGGGTGTGAAAGGGGGGCGAATGCTACTGGCTCTGGGGATGATGAAAATCTTTTAAAATTGATTATGACATGTGTAAAATTTTCCTTCCTTCCTTCCTCCCTTCCTCTCTCTTTCCTTTCCTTCCTCTTTCTTTCTTTCTTTCTTTCTTTCTTTCTTTCTTTCTTTCTTTCTTTCTTTCTTTCTTTCTCTCTCTCCCTCTCTCTCCCTCCCTCCCTCCCTCTCCCTCTCCCTCTCTCTCCCTCCCTCCCTCCCTGCCTCCCTCTCTCTCTCTCTCTCTGTCTCTCTCCTTCTTATCTTGCTCTGTCACCCAGGCTGGAGTGCAGTGGTGCCATCTCGGCTCACTACAACCTCCGCCTCCTGGGTTCAAGCTAGGCTCCTTCTGCCTCAGCCTCCCAAGCAGCTGGGATTACAAGTGTGCGCCACCACGCCCAGCTAATTTTTGTATTTTAGTAGAGACGAGGTTTCACCATGCTGGCCAGGCTGATCTCGAACTCCTGACCTCAAGTCATCTGCCCTCCTTGGACTCCCAAAGTGCTGGGATCACAGGCGTGAGCCACTGTGCCCAGACTGTACACTTTTGCTTTTGGAGACAGAGTCTCACTCTGTTGCCCCAGCTCCCACGGCTCACTGTAGCCTCAACCTCCCAGGTTCAAGCGATCCTCCCACCTCAGCCCCCCAAATAGCTGTGACTACAGGCATGCGCCACCATGCCCACCTACCCTTTGTGTTTTTTGTAGAGACGAGGTATTGCTATGTTACCTAGGTTGGCATCGAACTCTTGGGATCAAGCAGTTCTCCTGCCTGGCCTCCCAAAGCGCTGGGATTACAGGAGTGAGCCACTGTGCCTGGCTGAATTGTACACTTTATTTATTTATTTATTTATTTTGAGACAGAGTCTTGCTCTGTTGCCCAGGCTGGCGTGCAGTGGCATGATCTCGGCTCACTGCAACCTCCGTCTCCTGGGTTCAAGCGATTCTCTTGCCTTAGCCTCCCAAGTAGCTGGGACTACAGGCGTGGGTCATCACGCCTGGCTAATTTTTGTGTGTGTGTGTGTGTGTGTTTTTAGTAGAGGTGAGGTTTCACCGTGTTGGCCAGGCTGGTCTTGAACTCCTGACCTCAGGTGATCACCTGCCTCGGCCTCCCAAGGTGCTGGGATTACAAGTGTGAGCCACTGCGCCTGGCCTGAATTGTACCCTTTAAATGGATGAATTTTATGGTATTTGAATTATATTTCAATAAATCTGTTAAAGAATCAATGGCCATGCTTGTGTGGGTGCACTTGTTCCATTGATCTGTCGGCTGACCCTCTGCCAATTCAGCCTGTCTCAATTGCTTTAGCTTTATGGTGAGTTAACATCCATTAGTGATGGCTGGGCACGGTGGCTCACACCTGTAATCCCAGCACTTTGGGAGGCTGAGGTGGGTGGATCACGAGGTCAGGAGATCGAGATCATCTTGGCTAACACAGTGAAACTCCGTCTCTACTAAAAATACAAAAAATTAGCCGGGCGTGGTGGCGGCCGCCTGTAGTCCCAGCTACTCGGGAGGCTGAGGCAGGAGAATGGCATGAACCCAGGAGGCAGAGCTTCCAGTGAGCCAAGATCATGCCACTGCACTCCAGCCTGGGCTACAGAGCGAGACTCAGTCTCAAAAAAAAAAAAAACCCAAAAAAACAAAAACAACAACAACAAAAACATCCATTCGTGAGAACCCTCCAACTTTTTCCCTTCTTTTTCAGAATTATTTTGGCAACTAGTTGCTTTTCATTTCTATATACATTTCAGAACAAGGTTTTCTATACCTATAAAATTTCCGACAGGAATTTTAATTGAAATTGCATTAAATCCGTAGTCGTTTTGGAGAGAATTGGTATCTTAACTATATTTGTTCTAATTCAGGAACACAGCATGCCTCTCACATATTTAGGCCTTCTTTGATTTCTTTTATCAGCATTTGGTAGTTTTCAGTATACAAATCCTGTACCAGTCTTGTTAGATTAATACCAAACGAATAAATTTACTGGGGGACCATTTTAAATAGCATTGCTTTTAAAAATTTTGGTTTTCAATTGTTCATTGCTAATATATAGAAACAGGACTGAGTTCTGTGTTTTCATCCTGCAACCTTGCAAAACTCACTTATTAGTATTCTGACTTTTTTGTTGGTAAAATTCTTGGGATTTTCGACATAGACTTTTATGTTATTTATGGATAGGGACATCTTTATTTCTTCCTTTCTAATCTGTATGCCTTTTATTTTTCTGGTTTTATTGCATGGGTTAGGACTGCCAGTACACTGTGGAACAGGAGTGAATAGAGTGGACATCTTTACCTTGTTCCTGATCTTAGGGCTCAGCATTTAGTCCTTCATTATTAAGTATCACATTAGATGCAGAGGTTTTTTTTTTTTTTTTTTTTCTTTTTTGGACAGGGTCTTCCTCTGTTGCCCACACTGGAGTGCAGTGGTGCGATCTTAGTTCACTGCAACCTCTGCCTCCCAAGTTCAAGCGATTCTCATGCCTCAGCCTCCTGAGTAGCTGGGATTACAGGTGTGTGTCACTGTACCCTGCTAATGTGTGTGTGTGTGTGTGTGTGTTTTAAGTAGAGATGGTGTTTCGCCATGTTGCCCAGGCTGGCATAGAACTCCTGAGCTCAGGTGATCTGCCTGCCTTGGCCTCCCAAAGTGCTGGGATTACAGGCGTGAGCCACCACATCCGGCCAGATTGTTTTGTATTTTTTGTAGAGACAGGGTTTCACCATGTTTCCCAGGCTGGTCTTGAACTCAAGCTCAAGCAATCCGCCCACTTTGGCCTCCCAAAATGCTGGTATTAGAGGCATGAGCCACAGTGCCTGGCCTAATTTTTTTTTTAATTAAAAATAACAGATATGGAATCTCTCCATGTTGCCCGGGCTGGTCTTGAACTCCTGGCCTCCCAAAATGTTGAGATTGCAGGGGTGAGCCACCATGCCTGGCCTGTTGTTTTTGTTGTTGCTTTTTGTAGATTCCTTTTATGAGATTAAGCATGTTCCCTTTGCTTTCTAGTTTGCTGAGAGTGTTTATCAGGGATGAGTGTTGAATTCCGTCAAATACTTTCTTTGAATTGATTGAGATGATCACATGGTTTTCTTCTTGAGACTAATATGGTGGATCACATCGATTTATTTTCACATGTTGAACCAGCCTTGCCTTTCTGGGATAGCCTCCATTTGGTTGGGGTATTTGTGTGTGTGTGTTTTTAATGCTGCTTGATTCTATTTGCTGATAATTAGTTGAGGGTTTTTGTGTCATGTTGGCATTGGCGGCTGTTGATTGTCTTTTCTCTTGCAGGTTGGATTTCCTGATTCTTCACATGCAGAGTAATTTTAGATTGTCTCCTGCACATTTAGACATTATGTTATGAGACTGGTCTTATTTAAATCCCATTGAGAATGTTGGCATTTTGTTTTATCATGCAATCAACCTAGTTGGTTTCAGGCCACAAGTTCAAATAGGCTCCTGTGGGTCCTGCCTTCCATGTCGGTTTTGTTTTCAAAGCCTTTGCAGTGGGACTCAGATCTGTCCTTCGTATGCACTGCCCAGTGGCCAGTGTGGGACGTGGGCAGTGGGCTGTCCTTTTGTTCAGTTCTCAGCCTTTGGGATGTGAATGAGGGTTTAGACTTGTACATCATGTATGGCTTGCACAACTTCCTGGGGTTGCTTTTTTTTTTTTTTTTTTTTTGAGACAGAGTCTCACTCTGTTGCCCAGGCTGGAGTGCAGTGGCAAGATCTCGGCTCACTGCAACCTCCATCTCCCGGACTCAAGCAATTCTCCTGCTTCAGCCTCCCGAGTAGCTGGGATTACAGGTGTGTGCCACCACGCCCGGCTAATTTTTATATTTTTAGTAGAGATGGGGGTTTCACCATGTTGGCCAGGCTGGTCTCGAACTCCCGACCTCAGGTAATCCGCCCACATCGGCCTCCCAAAGTGCTGGAATTACAGGTGTGAGCCACCACGCCCAGCCCATGGATTGCTTTCTACTGCTTCTCCCTGCCCACCATCTCTCCAGCGACAGGGGACCACATCTCCTGGGGCTGGAAAGGAAGGCTCTTCTGCCTCAGCGTTTTAGGTGCTTGTAAACCCTATGCCTTGGTCATGGCTTTGGTGGGATACCTAGGGGCTGGGGCATCAGAGAATGGAGAAGAGTAAAAAAACAACCACTACCAAAAAACCCCATCCTCCCAAACCCTAACATCCCCCCGGGCATTCTCCTGCACCCTGGGAGCATTAGGCGACCTTTTTCTTTCCTCCCCTTGTGCCAGGACTAGAGAACTTCTGGAGCTCTCTGTCCTCTTCTGGCTTTCAGGCCGTGTTGAGTCCAGGCCCGGGGATACGGGAAGAGAATCTGGAAGTTCACTACCAGTTGGGTGGTGCCTCAAATTCTGGTCTTTCCACCAAATCTGGTGTCCCTTTACCTCTCTGACCCTCAGTCTCCTCCTATGTCAGAGGGAAGTCACAGCAGTTCTGGGAAGGAGGGCAGGCAGGCAGAAGGTGCCCTCGGGTTCTTCTCTGGCTCACACGGGATGGACAGGATGTGGGGGGAGGGGCTTAGTGCCACCTCAGTGACAAAATGAAGCCCAAGTCCCCAAACCCTAGCTTGCCTCCTGGACGGGCTGGAGAAGAAGGTGGGGGCCGCTCATCATTCCTTTCCTCTGCCCTGAGAAGAAACCTGGGAAGGCTGGGTTTCTCCCCAAAGAGGACAGAGGGTGGCGCGGAGGGCCCCGGCGGCCAGGCCAGCCCCGCGCCTACATCCCTGTCAGCTCCTGGGCCGGTGGGCGCCTGTCCGGCTGAGTGGGGTCGCTCTAGGGGGCGGCAGCGGAGTTTCAGGGCGCGGGGGGCACTGGGCGGGACCCTGGGATTCTGGGCGGTGGGTGAGGAGGGTGGAGACGGGACTCCGCGCCTGGGGGTGCGCGAGGGCGCCCCGCTCCCCAGAGCCACCAGTCCTGCGCGCCGCCGCGCGGTGCTGTCGCCGTGGCAACCGGCGCTGCGGAGGGGGCGGGGCACCGGCACCCCCGCGCTCCCAGGTCCCCAGGTCCGGCGGGGCTCGCGGGCCGAGGGGCGCGGGGCGGGGCCTCTGGGTCGGGGGCGGTGCCGCGCGGGCGGGGGAGGGGCGCGGCGGGAGGAGCCGGCGCGGCCCCGGCAGTGGCGGCAGAGGCTGGGCGGGCGGGCCCGGGAGCGGCGCAGCATCTGCGGGCGGCGGGGTAGGCGCGGGCGCGGGCGGGACTGGCTGGGTGCGCGGCTGCGTCCGCGGAGGGGGCGGCGGGCCTGGGCGACCCTGCACCTCTGGGCCGTGGGGACTGTGGGGTGGGGCGGGGGCCGATGCGGCAGGGGTGAGGCCTGGGGCCGGCGGGGTGACGGGGACCCGGCCCTGCGTGGGGAAGCCTCGGGGGGACAAGCAGAGACGCAGCCTGCTGGGAGCGGCCCAAGCTCTGCACCGGCCCGCGGCGGGAGCACAGCAGCCCCCTCCCGCCCCTCCTCCCGGGGGCTCCGAGGGGTGGTTATGGGGCGAGGGTCCTTGCGGGGCCCGGGCAGTGAAGGGCCTGGAGGCCCCAGAGTCTGTGCCAGGTCTGAGCCGCGGGGCGTGGGGGGAGGAGGGGCCTCGGCCGGGGCCCAGGAGACCCAGGACAGGTGGGCCTGGGGCCAGGTCCCTACGGAGAGGTGGCCGGGCCGGGCTCTGGCTTGCCGGGGTAGGGGCTCCGCTAGGGGCTGGAGTCCGTCCCTTCGCCAGCGCAGAGCCCCTCGGCCCGCATCTGCCAAGTGACTGAGGATCGAGCGACAGCGTAGTGGGGCGGAGGGGCTGGAGGCACGGCCGGAAAGGGTGAGCGGCGCCGTGGCTCCCCCGCTATTTATTTGGCCCCGCCACGCGCGGAGAGGGAGGAAATTCTCAGGCTGCGGCTGCAGCTAGGGGAGGCCCAGGTGGGCCTGGAATGGGCCCAGAGAGGGCTTCCTGGGTCAGACGTGTAGATCCAGTGGACGTGAAAACCGGGTGAGTGTCCCGGTGGGACCCAGAGCGCGGGGAGGCTTGGAGGCAGGGGCATGGGCTGAGGACCCTCAAGGCACCCTCCTCGCGACCTGTCAGAGCTCCGAGGGGTGGGGGTGTCCTGTGTGTGGCTGTGGGGATCCTGGGCGGCGGGTGCTGGGTGGGGGCAGGGGTGGGAGTGCAGAGTTCAACGCTTTCCCGGATCGGTGGGGCCTGCGGTGTCACCAGGGCAGTCCGAGCGCCCGACTGTCACGGGGACATTAAATTTTATGCCTTTGTCTAGACACGGCAGTAAACGGAGCCCCAGGCCTGGGGCTGTGGAGGGGGTGAGGGGCTGGCTGGGAGTAAGCCTGTCAGTGACTTTGGGGTGGGTGCGGGTGTGCGGGCCTCCATTGTCACCCAGGTGTGCACAGGCCCAGGTGCGGGGACTCCGACAGCACGGCCATGAGGACCAGTGCCAGGTGTGTGACAGAGGTGCAGGGGCCTGTGGAAGCCCGACGGGCCTTGGTGGACGGGCTTCCCGAGATTCGAGGGCAGCCACAGGCATCGCCCTGGCGCAGAGGAGCAAAGCAGGGTGGCTCTGCCGGGGCAGAGGGTGGGGGACAACACCTCGCCAAGGCAATGCGGAGCCATGGGGAGCAGGGCAGGCAGTGGCCACGCGCCCAGGATGGTGGACAGGAGGGGAGACCGAGCCTGCCCGTGCAGGGAGGAGGGGCGTGGGGGCTGCCGGGCAGGGGCGGGGAGGCTCGGAGAGGCTTGTGGGACGGATGCATCGGGACCTGGGTGGCTCTCGGTCCGGGATCAGAAAGCCTGGGAGGGCCGAGGCCTCCTTGGGTACTCCAAGAGCGGAGGGGCAGGCCCGCCTCCCTGCCCAGTGCGGCGGCGGGGAGAGGGTATTCCCGGAACTCCGCGGAAACGGCCTGAGGCCAGCAGCGCGGGCGTGGGGTCCGGGCCGCCGGAGCCAGGAGGGAGGGCGGCGCGGGCCCAGCAGTGACAAACCCCCCCGGGCTCCGGGAACGAGCTCGGCGGGCAGAAAACGCGTCCGTTCCGTTTCCTTCCTGGCGGCGGGAACGAGGCCCGGGTGCTCTGGCGAGGCAGCAGCGCCCTCTGGAGGCCTCGCTGTGGTTCGCGGCCGCCGGTTCGCGCATGGGCGCAGGCGTGCGCGATGCCTCGGGGCCCCGGCGCGGAGACCGCGCCTGGTGGGAAGCACGCGGGGTGCGGGGGGCGGGGGGTGTTGGGGGAGGCCGCTCCAGCCCGCACCCTGATCTTGTCTCCTCCGGTCTCCCCAGGTTTCGAGCTCGCCGGGCCGTGTCGCGCCATGCCCGCTGGCTGAGCGCCGCAGGGCCTCGTCCCGCCAGGCGTGGGGGCCGCGCGCGCCCAGGCCGGGGCCCGGCGGCCGACCATGGTGCTGCCGCCCCCGGACCGGCGCCACGTGTGCCTGACCACGCTGGTGATCATGGGCAGCATGGCCGTCATGGACGCGTACCTGGTGGAGCAGAACCAGGGCCCGCGCAAGATCGGCGTGTGCATCATCGTGCTGGTGGGCGACGTGTGCTTCCTGCTGGTGCTGCGCTACGTGGCCGTGTGGGTGGGCGCCGAGGTGCGCACGGCCAAGCGCGGCTACGCCATGATCCTGTGGTTCCTTTACATCTTCGTGCTGGAGATCAAGCTCTACTTCATCTTCCAGAACTACAAGGCGGCGCGGCGCGGCGCGGCGGACCCCGTGGCGCGCAAGGCGCTGACGCTGCTGCTGTCTGTGTGTGTGCCCGGCCTGTTCCTGCTGCTCGTGGCGCTGGACCGCATGGAGTACGTGCGCACCTTCCGCAAGCGCGAGGACCTGCGCGGCCGCCTGTTTTGGGTGGCGCTGGACCTGCTGGACCTGCTGGACATGCAGGCCAGCCTGTGGGAGCCGCCGCGCTCCGGGCTGCCGCTGTGGGCCGAGGGCCTCACCTTCTTCTACTGCTACATGCTGCTGCTGGTGCTGCCGTGCGTGGCGCTCAGCGAGGTCAGCATGCAGGGCGAGCACATAGCGCCGCAGAAGATGATGCTGTACCCGGTGCTCAGCCTCGCCACCGTCAATGTGGTGGCCGTGCTGGCGCGCGCCGCCAACATGGCGCTGTTCCGGGACAGCCGTGTCTCGGCCATCTTCGTCGGCAAAAACGTGGTGGCGCTCGCCACCAAGGCCTGCACCTTCCTGGAGTACCGCCGCCAGGTGCGCGACTTCCCGCCGCCTGCGCTATCACTGGAGCTGCAGCCGCCACCCCCGCAGCGCAACTCGGTGCCGCCGCCGCCGCCGCCGCTGCACGGCCCGCCTGGGCGCCCCCACATGTCCTCGCCCACGCGTGACCCCCTGGACACGTGACAGGGCCCGCGCGGCCCCCGACACGCCCCTGGGGCGCAGAGACACCGGGTTGGCTTGGGGCGCGCGGTTTGCATGGGATGGGGTGGGGGCGGGCTCCCCTAGGGACAGGTGCCTCGAGTGCCCGTGCCTGGGGTCCCGCGGCCGCTTCTTCATCTCAGGAATCTCTCGGACCGCGGATCCTCAGCCCCCGCTCCACCAGCCCGCCCCAGCGCGTGGGTCTGTTTGGGAGGCCTGGGCCGGAGCAGAGCAGAGGTGATCCGGCCCCTGCCTGCTGGGCCGCCCGGGTTGGAAGGGAGGGCAGTGTGGGCGGAGATCTGCTCCTTCGGTGGGGGCCTCTGGCTCAGATTTGGGGCCAAGGAGGCCTCTGTCATTTTAAAGACTCGTGTTTACAGTTTTGTATCCAAGGCCGCACTGCTTTGCCTGTTCCTGTGTCCCTGTGTTTACCAGCCAGGCTGGGAGGCGGGGAGCCAGGAGGGGTGTGTGGAGGGCGGGGGAGATGGTGGCGTCCAAGTGCCGGATGCTGGTGAGGCTGGGCCGCTCCACTTCCTCCGGGGCTCTCAGGAGCTCCTGGGGGCCACTGCCGCTCTGTCCCAGGGACAGCTCCTCCACTCCAGCTTCGGTGTTCCCAATTATCTTCCTGGGATACCTTGACCCCCATCTTCCCCCAGCACCGTAGGTGTCCTGGCCCCTGCTCCCCTCAACCTCAGGCATGACAGTGTCTCCCACATCCCTGGTTTCCTTCTCCCCCACCGTGGAACCTACCTTCCCTGTGGGCTCCTCCAGCCCAGGACAGCCACAGCCAGATGGAATCAGGGTGTTCCCAAGTTGATGTGGCAGCCCCAGGTCGCAGCCCCAGGAGCAGCACGGAGCCTGGCCCCACCTTACCATCCTGGCCTTGCCCCAGCACGGGAGCTGGCAGCCCCTGGCACAGGCAGCACCCGCCCTGAAGCCCATCTGCAAGGGGTCTCTCACCTGCCTTCCACCTGGGACCCTGTACCTGTGATGTGGCCCTGGGTATCCACCTGGCCTGGGAAGGTCCGTAGCATCTGGGGAGGGGCCCTTTATGAGGCTGCTAAAAGAATTGTTTGAGGATGCCCGCTCCATGAGCGGGTGATGGTCACACACATCTCATGTGGCACAGTTCACTGCCTGGGCCTTCGCTTCCCGCATTTCCACGGCCCAAAGGTGGCAAGGTTTAGCCAGCCAGGGCTAAAACCATCGAGGGGAGTGGAGCTGGCTGCTCAAGTGGGGTCCTCCCCAAGTGCATTTCCCAACAACTGCAGCAGTTAAGGGCGTGGCTGGTGGCAGCCCCAGCCGCACCCCGACCCCACACAGTCCTCATACCCCAGCTCCAGGCCACCTGGGGTCTGGCCTTTGAAAGTCGCCTGCCTTCCAGGCAGCTGGCCTCGGGACCACTGTCCTCAGGGTCCCGGGCAGGGGGACTACCTCGCTGTCCAGGTCAGACGTGGCCGGCGCTCTGCCCACCTCTAAAACCGTGCCTTGGCCCCGGCCTCCGATCATATCCCCAGCAGCCCCTCCAAGCGCCGAGCGCCGTGGGTGGGCACGGGGCGCTGGCCTGGGTAGGAGGTCAGAGGCGCCCTGCTCTGGGCTGTGCCCAGGCCACTAATGATCGTGTTGGGAAGTGGAAGGTCTGCAGGATCAAGGGGGCTGGGGGGCCGGGGAGGGGCGGTGATGAGCAGCCGTGGAAAGGCCCCAGGCCTGGCATGGAGAGAGAAGAGGGGCTGTGGGAGTTGCGTGGGCCAGTGGGAGGACCTGGGCCTTCTTGGGAGGGAGTGGTCTGGAGTGGGGGGTAGTGGGTGAGGGGCGAGCTTCATTCTGCCTGTCTGGGCTGGAGCCTGTTTCCTCCCCTGGCTGAAGCCAGTGCCGGCCCCATCCTGCCTTAAGGGTCTCCTGGGTGAAGACGAGCCCACAATCATCTTGGCTCTGGCACCTGCAGCAAATCCCATGGGAACAGACAGGCAGCGTGGCCATGGGTGAATGGAGCTGAGGGGCTCTGGGCTCCTGACATCCTGCTCTGACCCTTCCTGAAAGCCCATGGTCTCTTCCATGCTGGCTGCAGTCTGGGAGGCGTTGGGCCCAGCTTGGCCTGTGAAAGCTGAAAGCCCACACCCCCTAGTCAGAGGCTGGTTTAGCTACTCCCCTAGTTTAGCTACTCTTGGGGCAGTGAAGGCCCTGGGGCTCGAAGACCTCCCCAGGCAACCTTACCCTGCACACACCCCACTCCTCCTGGCCTGTTCAGGGGTGGTCCCTGGTCTCCGTGCTCCTTGGCACAGGCCAGTGCCCTCTACCTCTGCCACCACATCCCTGGCAGTGGAGGTCCAAGTCCTGGCTGTCCCCCCTCTCACCAGTGGGGCCAGGGATCCTGGCTCTACCCGCTATGACTTGGTTCAATGGCCCATCGCCTCTGCAACTGACTCTGAGGGCATTGGAGCAGACATCAAGCCCCACCCTGCCCAGGCCCATGCCTGGCACCTGGTTTCCACGACGAGGCGCAGCTGTGGCTCCGACTGTGGCAGGGCTGGGAAGCAGGGGGCCTTTGTCAGGCTCACGGCCTGAGGTTTCTGGCCTCTGTGATCTCCCCTGGGAACAGGACGGGGACCGGGCCGCACTCCAGCCTGCCCTTCGTGAGTTTCCTGAGGTGTCCTGCAATGGCCAGATTCGACGGAGAAGCCAGTCAGCTCCCTTGTCCCCTCACTGATTCCTGGTGAGTACGTGAGTCCTGATGCGTGTCCACTACCCGCTGGCCCTGTGCTGGGGCCTGGTGCCCAACCCAGGCAGAGACGTCTGGGGACAGCCACACTTTGGGGAGTTAGGGCCTGGGAGGAGCAGGGAGGCCTCCTCAGATGGGCTTGGGTTGGACTTGGGAGCTGGCCTCGAGGGAGGCCCGCAGGTGCAGCAGCCTGGAGGCAGAGAGCTGGGTGTGTCAGTGCCTGAGAGGGCCGTGGTGGGCAGCTCACCAGCAAAGGGAGCAGAAAGGGCCCGGGGGAGAAGTGGGCAGCTCAGAGGGAAGAGGCGGGGCTGGGATGCTGAGCAGGGTGTGGACGGAGATGCAGCTGGGTGCACCAGTGTGGTTTGGCTGGGAAGGGAGGCGTGTGTGTGGGGGAGAGAAATTGGGCAGTGGAGGTCCTGTCCTGAGAAAGGGGCTGTCTGCAGGCACTCTGCTCCCTCTCGTGGCCTAGTCTGCCTCTACACCAGCAGAGACCTCCCTGCCCTGCGGCCACCAGGAATCCATGCAGCGTGCATGCCCCACCATAGCTCCACCGCCACCAGGAATTCAGGTGCTGCTGAAGCTGCATCAAGAAAGCCCCAGCCCAGTCGCCTCCCCTAGATGAATGAGAGTGAGCTCTTTTCTAATTGTGAAGGACATGGCAGATTGTAGCTGTGAAGACACTGTCAGGTCACTCTGTGGAAGTTTGAGGTGAGCCCTTCCAGGGTCACCTGGCCATGGAGGACCCAGGCTCAGCCCATCTTTCTTCACCATCTGGGGGGGTTGGTGATGGAGCCACAACAGCAGCGAGCATCACATTGTCTCAAAATGTCATCCGCGTGAGGGAAGGAGGGACGGCTCCTCCTTGGGTGCCTCCCTCTCCTTGGGAGGAAAACCCTTCTCAGAAGCCCCCAGAATGTGTCTGCTGAGGTCCTGTGGTCCAGAGCTTGTTCCAGGACAATGTGTACACTTCCGCTGGCAGGGGACATGGGTGTCATGACTGGCTGCCTGCCCACAGGTGAGCCCGTGGTATCATGGATGCCCCAGAAGACACGAGACTCGTGGGTCTGAGACAAAGGGCCCTGTTTCTCAGCATGAGCTTCAGCTGTGGCTCCTCTTGCCTACAATCCCGTGGGGGCGACGGGAGTGCCTGGCGATGCAGCACACACAGCTGGCAGGAGCCCACCCTCCCTCTGCCATTACCCAGGAGGCCGCAGTGTGACATCAAAAATACTCTGCAACTTGGCCCAGGTTCACATTCTGCAAAAGCTGTGAGCTTGCAAATTGCCTTTGATCCTATAAGAGCCATCATGGTGATCAATTTCTTTCTACACAACGCCAGCACATATTTAACCCCCCACACGGAGCAACGTCCAGTTTAACCCGCACAGCAGCAACCCAGCCTCCAGCTCTGTCTCACCAAGCACGTGTCAACAATTCTCTTCCTAGGTGATTCCAGCAGCACAGCCTGGCAGCTCCTGAGCCCTTGGGAAGTTCTGCAGCTCGGCTTACCCAGGGCTGCCCTGGCCAAAGCCCCAGCCACTCTCCTTTACTGCAGAGAGCGGGACCGTGTCCCCCTTCATCCCCCTAGAACGGTAGGGCTGGGAGCTGCGTCAGACCTGCCTCCACGTGCCTGTGGGAAGAGACGTCGGAGTCTGATCGCAGACACAAGAAGATCAGTCACCCAAAAAGATAAAATATACTCGAACTTCCGACCCTTCATCTTCCTTTCAGAACACACTCACATTTTCTATAGGAAAACAGCCTCATAATAATAAAAACTCAATTTAGCGAAAGTGAACTCACTTATCTTAAGCAATAAGAAAGCCAAACATTATTGGATTCGTTTTATGCAGTAAAATAACGGAGATGCACTAAGTGGCAACCCCCGAGGGAAAAGCCATCAGAGTCACTGCCAGCGCAGAATGGTGGCAGAGGCTGCAAAGCCACATTCCCACCCTGGCTGAAACATGGGTGGCTTCATTTGTTGCAAAAACAAGGTAACTGCCATTTAACCAGGGAAAGATGAAGGGAAAAAACACCCCCCAATCAGAGGCTGTCAGGGAGGGCCTCTGTCCTCGGGGCTTGACCTGCAGGCAGGCCCCAGCAGCAGGGCTAGGGCCGCACTGGGCGTGAGGACCAAGCGTGCAGAGGGTCAAGAGGTGGGTGAGGAGAGGGTAGAAAAGGCAGTGGGCAGGTGGGGGGAACACCAGAGGGAGGCAGACGGGGGCAGGAGGAGGAAGGGGCCTGGGTGCCAGAGGGAGGTCAAGACAGGGGGAGGTGGGCAGGAGTGTTGCCAGACACACGGCAGCCCCCGGCCCATGCCCACCCCCGCCACCCTGCATTGGCACGAGGTCCCAGATTTCCCTGGGACAGTGCCGCCTCTCCTCACTCCGTGGCTGATGTGGAATGGACTCCGTCCTCTGAGGGCTGGGGCAGCTGCCAAGGAAGGGGCGCTAACATCACACTGTCCCCCGAGAAAGGAAACCCATGGTGACCGCTGTGCTTTGAACATTTGCGTCCCCTCCAAAACTTATGTGGAAACATAATCCCCAATGCAACAGGCTGTCCATTTTGTGTGGCTATAATAATACCACAGGCTGGGAACTAATTTACAAAGAAAAGACATTTATTTCTCACAGTTCTGGAGGCTGGAAGTCCAAGATTGAGGTGCCAGCTCTGGCGAGGGCCTTTGTGCTGCATCGGCTCACCGTGGAAGGTGCAGGGGCAGGAAAGGGTGAGAGAGAGAGGGCCCAGCTTGCTGTCGTAACCACCCACAGTGCAGATAGTAAACACGCCCCAAGATAATGGCGTTAACCCCTCCACGAGGGTGGAACCCGCCTGGCCTCATCACCTCTTAACGGCCCCACCTTTTTTTTTTTTTTTTGAGACGGAGTCTCGCTCTGTCACCCAGGCTGGAGTGCAGTGGCGCGATCTTGGCTCACTGGAAGCTCCGCCTCCCAGGTTCACGCATTCTCCTGCCTCAGCCTCCCGAGTAGCTGGGACTACAGGTGCCCGCCACCACGCCCGGCTAATTTTTTTTTTTTTGTATTTTTAATAGAGATGGGGTTTTCACCGTGTTAGCCAGGATGGTCTCGATCTCCTGACCTCGTGATCCACTCGCCTCGGCCTCCCAAAGTGCTGGGATTACAGACATGAGCCACCACGCCTGGCCTGAGATGGAGTCTTGCTCTGTCGCCAGGCTGGAGTGCAGTGGCGCGATCTTGACTCACTGCAATCTCTGCCTCCCGGGTTCAAGCAATTCTCCTGCCTCAGCCTCCCAAGTAGCTGGGATTACAGGCGCCTGCCATCACCTGGCTAATTTTTTGTATTTTTTTTAGTAGAGACAGGGTTTTGCCATGTTGGCCAGGCTGGTCCTGAGCTCCTGACCTCAAGTGATCTGCCCGCCTTGGCCTCCCAAAGTGCTGGGATTACAGGTGTGAGCCACCGCGCCCAGCTCCCCACCTCTTAATATTGCCATAGTGGCAATTACATTTCCATATGAATTTTGGAGGGGACACTCAAGCCATAGCCCAGGCTCGGATGATGGTGGTGTTTGTCAACGTACACATTCATTTCCCTCCTGGGTGAGTCTGGGCAGTGGTCCAGGCTGCCAGGACACAGATCCCTCCTACTCGTGGCCCCTGGGTCCTGGGTGTGGATCTTGCTCTCACAGGTCAGGCTGCACCATCAGGGCTCGGCGGCAGCACAGCCAGGGTGGAGGAGGTTGACGAGGCATGCTTTTGGGGTCTCTTTGGGATGGGGCTCAGGAGCTGGCATGAGGCACCTGCCCACACTCTGCTGCCCAGAACTTAGACATGCCAGTGCCCTGAGCTGCCAGGGAGCCAGGAATAGGGACCTGCCTTTGGGTGCCGCATGCCCAGGTGAGGAAGAAGGGGAGCCCTCCTGTGTTGCTGCACCTTGGTAACTTTACTGGACTTTTCAGTGTTTTCCTCCCAAGCGTTGCCCAAACCTGCATCCTGCCCAGCAGTGAGAGAGCCCAGGGACCACCTCCTCACTCACACCTGCTGCTGGCAAATCCTCTGGACAAAGTGCAATGCTGCAACATTTTACAAAACAGAGTCGCCCTTGATGGTCATAATGGCCGAGAAGGAAAACTCACGACGACGGAAGCCATCGACTGGCGAAATTTGATATGGATGAGCACCGGCCCGTGGTTCAGGTTTTCGTAGTAAAATTTATGTGGGGGAGAATTTTTTTTTGAGAGAAACGTGTGTTTAATGGTAAAAATTAGCATACCCCATCACCAGGAATGGCGTGGAGTAGGGACGGGCAGCAGGGACAGGCAGGTGACCCCTGTGGAGCCTCACGTGGCGAGGATGAGGAAGACGACCACCAAACAGAACAGCCCCATGGCCTCAGACACAGCAAAGCCCAGAATGGCATCGGAGATGAGCTGCTGCTTGAGAAACAGATTCCCGGCATAGCCAACAAGCTGCCAGACACCGTTCCAATGCCAGGCCCGAAGCCAGCCACACCGACAGGGGCTGCCCCAACACCAATCAACGTGGCTGCTGTGTCAACATCCCGGGAGACAGCTCTGGTCTGGAACTCCCACCTGGCCACCTGGTGTGGGGAGCGGCTGTAGGAAGGCTGTTCAGATGAATTTTCTGGGCTGTTCAAGAAGGAGACAGACACAGCCTGATTAGACCCGTGGTACAACAGCGGACCAGAGCTGGAGAGGTGAGTAATGCCCGGGGGTCTGCATTTTCTGTCTGCACTCCCACTGCCCTGCAGCACCTGCGGGCCCACAGCACTCGCCCGGCTGAAGGTGACCTAAGGTGACCGACTCACTTTTACTCATTGCTTATGAAATAAGCTGAATGTGGAGATCATCGGAAACATGTTTCAAAGTGCGTGAGCCTTGAGGAAAGCTTTCTCCCGCCCTCATGAGTATCCGCCCCAGGGGGTGCTTTCCTCGAGAGCTGGTCCGTGTTGCGTTCCCACAGTGAACACTTTCAAGGCTGCTGCGGGAAGTTGCACAGAAACGGCTGGTGGGCCTGGAGGGGATGGTGAGGCGCAGTGGGCCTGTGTACCGGATGCCAAATCCACAGCATGGGAGGCAGGGCCCACTGCAGGAGCCACACAGCAGCTGTGTGCTGCTCTCCCACCTGCAACCTGCACCTGTGGGGTGCACCTGAGTGACCCCGGCCCCCCGGGGTGTCTCTGGGATGCCTCCTAGGAGGAGAGGCTCCACGCCTGGAGGGAGACAGGTATCACACAGGTGCGTGGGGTGGAGTGTGATGCAGGGAGGTTGGGGCAGGGCCACACAGAGAGACCCCACTCAGGCAGGCCTTGGGTCAGGGTAGGCCTCACCAAGTGATATTATGTTGGGACTGGACCGTGGCCAAGGCTGGCCTGCAGGCAGGGGGCACACATATTCCTGGCAGGTGAGGCTGCCCACAAAGCTCACCTGCCTGAGAACCCTACCTGGCTGGGGCATGCGGGAGCCTCTGGACCTTCGCGCCGGCGGAGCCTGCAGTGTCGCCAGATGGCCACAAGGGGGCTCCCGAGCCCGGCTCTGGGTCCCTTTGAGGAGGGAGCCGCGGGACCCGGCTGTGAGACCGGGACCTGCCAGTGGTGCCCCGACCCCCCGACCCCACAGGACCCTGCGCGGCCAAAGGCTGAGGCTGCCCCAGCCCCAGGCTGTGCTGATGCCCCTGACCAGAACCCGAGCCCGATTCTGCTCACTGAACACTCATCTGCTCCCTTGCCTCTGCCTGCCCCGGCAGCGAGGGCCTGGCCAGTGGGTTCGTATCAACTCCCACGTCACCTCCCGTGTCATCTGTGTGTCACCTCCATGTCACCTCCTGCATCAGCTGTGTCACCTCCCACATCACCTGCATCAGCTGTGTCACCTCCCACATCCCCTGCATCAGCTCTGTGTCACCTCCCACATCACCTGCATCAGCTCTGTGTCACCTCCCGCATCACCTGCATCAGCTCTGTGTCACCTCCCGCATCACCTGCATCAGCTCTGTGTCACCTCCCGCATCACCTCCTGCGCCACCTTTGTGTCACCTCCCGGCTGACCATGGCCCAGCAGCATCTCCCTGTTGCAGCGTCCGGAGAGGCTGCGGTTGCACGGGGTGGGCTAAGGAAGGTGGGGCTGCCTCAGCCTGGGCCCTGAGTGAGCTCTGGAGTGGATCCCACCTCCCCACCAAAGCCCAAGCAGGAGACAACCCTTTGCTGCTGAAGCCACTGAGCGCTTGGGGCTGTTTGTTTCGGCCTCGTCCCCGACGGACGTGTCTCCCACAGTCCCAGGCCCTGAGTGCAGGTCCACACTGAACCTTGACGCTCATCGCAGACTGACCCTGGCTTGCCCTGGGTCACACTCGGGCTGAGGCCCCGACAGCCTGGCCCGGTCGAAGCTCCCCGGCTTATCTCACTCACTGTTGTCCAGGGCCCAGCCTCACGGTGACATCTGCCACAAGAAGGCTGGGACTCTGTCCCACTTGTGTTCAGGAACGAGAGACCCTGACTTGGTGTCTGTTATCAACACATTACAAACATCACTGGGCATTACAAAAGATTTCTGAGGGCTGGGTGCTGTGGCTCACCCCTGCAATCCCAGCACTTTGGGAGGCTGAGGTGGGAGGAGGATTGCTTGAGCCCAGGAGTTTGAGACCAGCCTGGGCAATGTAGTGAGACCTTGTCTCTAAAAAAATTTTAAAAATTAGCCAGGCATGGTTGCGCGTGCCTGTGGTCCCAGCTACTCAGGAGGCTGAGGCAGGAGGATCACCTGAGCCCAGGAGGTCAAGGCTACAGCAAGCAGAGATGGTGCCACTGCACTCCAGCCTGGACAACATAGCAAGACCCTGTCTCAAGAAAACCCACACAAAACACAAAGAAAGAAATAAAAATCCAGATTTCAAATAATTTAAACTTATTTATCCAACACAAAGCAGTTCTTCATGGCACACTTTAAACTTCGAAATTCTTTGCTCTCCCCATGCTTGGCTGATTGGGTCTGGGGCAGGCGATGGTGCTCACTGGATCCAGTTTCTGACAAATCTGGATTGAGACAAGCTTCAGAACTGGCCCAGATGATCAATTTTCATATAAGTTAAGGTGTCCTCCTTGTTCCACAGCTTTTAGTGATTTTTTTTTGTTTTTTTTTTTTGAGACGGAGTCTTGCTTTCTCGCCAGGCTGGAGTGCAGTGGTGCGATCTTGGCTCATTGCAACCTCCGCCTCCTGGGTTCAAGCGATTCTCCTGCCTCAGCCTTCTGAGTAGCCGGGAGTACAGGCACATGCCACCACACTCGGCTAATTTTTTGTATTTTTAGTAGAGATGGGGTTTCACCGTGTTAGCCAGGATGGTCTCGATCTCCTGACCTCGTGATCCGCCCGCCTCGGCCTCCTAAAGTGCTGGGATTACAGGCGTGAGCCACCACACCTGGCGCTTTTAGGTGATTTGATAATACATTTTTCTGTTAAAATTTTATGATACATAATATAGAAAGAATCTACGTAAAATGATGTCCATGCATTTATGCACACAGAGCCCACTTTGAGAGACAGAATATGAGGGCCTTTGGTCCTGCCAGGAGCAAAGAAAGTTAATAAAAAATCAAGTCTGGGCCAGGGGTGGTGGCTCATGCCTGTAATCCCAGCACTTTGGGAGGCCGAGGCAGGCGGATCACCTGAGGTCAGGGGTTCAAGACCAGCCTGGCCAACATGGTGAAACCCCATCTCTACTAAAAATATAAAAATTAGCCAGGCGTGGTGACATACGTCTGTAGTCCCAGCTACTCGGGAGTCTGAGGCAGGAGAATCACTTGAACCCAGGAGGCAGAGGTTGCAGTGAGCCGAGATCGCGCCACTGCACTCCAGCCTGGGCGACAAGAGTGAGGCTCTGTCTCAAAAACAAAACACAAACAAAAAAAATCAACTCTGGGCCAGGTGTGGTGGCTTGCGCCTATAATTCCAGCACTTTGGGAGGCTGAGGCAGGAGGATCGCTTGAGCCCAGGAGTTCCAGACCAGCCTGGGCAGCATGGCAATACCTTGTCACTACAAAAAATTTTAAAACTTAGCAGGGCATAGTGGTGTGCACCTGTAGTCCCAGGTACTTGGGAGGCTGAGGTGGGAGGATACCTTGAGCCCAGGAGGTGGAGGCTGGAATGAGCTATGATTGCACCACTGCACTCCAGTCTGGGTGACAGAGCAAGACCCTGTCTCAAAAAAATGAAAAAAATCACCCTGGAGAACCTGTATTTATAGGAAGACATATTGATTCCAGCGGCAAACGCTTAGGGCTGCAGAGCCCTGGGCAGGCTGGATGCTGTCTTGGCCCCATGTGGGGTGAGGGCTGCAGATTGTGGTGGAGGCCCCGGGGAGGCAGAGGGAACCCTCGGGAACCATTTCCCTGCCTTCTGCTCTCGTGACTGACCTTTTCTTGGCGAAACTTGGTGGGGGCAGCTGGGCCTCTGCCACTGGCATCCTTTGGATGCTTCCTGGTGGTGGCAACCCTGTGGGGAGGAGTTGGGGAACCTGTGGGCCAACGCGGCTCCGTGAGCCTCATCAGGCTGCAGGGCACCTTGGTTCTCCCTTCCTGACCCCTCTCTGCCCGTCTCCTTTCTGCTCTGTTTGTCAGATTTTTTTTTCTCATTTTGATTCCATTTTGTTTCTGACAACTTTCCCAAGACCATTGCTCCTCCAGAGGCGGCTGGGTCCACACAGCTTCCCTTTGTGCCGGACCCTCGCCTTGCTGGGTCTTGGGCTGCAAAGCTCGGATGCTGACAGCCTTAGGTTCCTGTGCTGACCCTCGCGGTTTCCGCATCCCACTCATCCCACTCTCACCTCTAGTTCCTTTGGAGATAGACCTTCCATGGAAAATCCCAGTTGGAGCACACCCGCCGCATTCCCGTTCCCTCACCTGCCCACTCCGTCCACGTCTCCAGGGCTGGGCTGCAACTGTGGAGACCACCGCCTCCAGCCTTCTCCATCATGGAGACTGGAAGGTGAAGCCCGGCTAGAGGGCAGCCTGGTGGTGGGGCAAGAAATAGGACGGCTCACCGGCTGAGCCAGGGTGATGAGGCCTCTCTGCTCCCCCTTCCTCTCTCCAAAGCTTGCCAGGACCCACCCAGACCAGGCTGCGGCCTTCAGCACTTCCCCAGGCCACACCACAAGACAGAGGAACTGAGCCCCTCTGGGGCACATGCCCTCCCAGGCCAAAGTAACAAGACGCCTGGAGAGAAGAGCGCCTGAAAGAAAAACAGCACCCTCCACAGCATGACTTGTGTGCAGCAGGAGTATGAGACCCTCTGGGCAAAGAATTAAAGACAAATGCGGTAACATCCTTGAAGAATTAAGGAAAGATATTAGCAATAACAGGGAGAAAGCAATAACAGGGAGCACAAAGAACTAAGTAGGAATATCAGGTATCAAAATAATGATTGAGAAAAATGTGGTAACTGAAATTCAGTGGGACGGACGCAGCCGAGGAAAACAATCTGCGAAGTGACAGACGAGGGGAAGGAATCCTGGCAGAGTGGCCAGCATGCAGGAAGAAGGACAGGGACTGTGAGGAGAGAAGTGGGTGGGAGGACAGAGCAGAAGAAAAAGATGAGAGGGATTTTCAAACATTAGGGATGAAAGACGCCACAGAAATCCAAAAGATGATATGAGGAAAACCTGTACCTAGTCACAATTATATTAAAATTGAAGAATATTAGGAAAAAAAGGGAATATTTAAAAAATGTTGAAAAGAAGGAAAAAGTTTTAATGGAAGAGCAAGTGGTGGATAAAGGGTAAGAATCACACCGACTTCAGACCTTTCAACATGATTCAAAAATGCAAGAGGACTACAAATTATTTTTAAGGTATCAAAAAAACCCACTTTATACCTTTTTTTTTTTTTCTGAGACAGGGTCTTGCACTGTCACCCAGGCTGCAGTGCGGTGGCTCAATCACAGCTCACCACAGCGTTGAACTCCTGTGCTCAAGCAATCCTCCCACCTCAGCCTCCTGAGTACCTGGAGCACAGGTATGTGCTACCACACCTGGCTAATCTTTTAATTTTTTGTAGAGATGGGGTTTCCCTATGTTTCTCGGGCTGGTTTTGAACTCCTAGCTGCAAGCAATGCTCCCACCCCAGCCTCCCAAAATGCTGGGGTTACAGGCATGTGGCCAACCTACACCTATAATCTTATATCCAGCAAATTTTTAAATTCAAATGTGAAGGTATACTAAAAACATTTTTAGGCAAAAGAGGCCTCAGAATACTTGCTATACAGAGACCACATTGAAAACACTGTAGGAAAAAGTTCTCGCAAACGAAGGGAAAATCCCAGGAGCTGTTGCAAGAGATACAGGAAGAAAGAGCGAGTAAAGGTTATTGTTAATATCATGATATATACCTATATAATATACTGTTGATAACAGATATCATGAAAATGAAAAATTGATAATATGTCTACAATTACCCATAACCAAAACTCCAGACAATATCAATATGATGCGGGATAAGGAATTAATCAAGGAACTAAGATTATGCTAAAGCATATATCTTGTTGGGAGAATATGAATTATATTTATGAATACATTCAATAAATGAGTAAAGTTATTAAAAGTTAATCTTAAGAACAATCACCATGAAAGTTACAAGTACAATTTTTTAAACTAGTAAAAGAAGATGTAATCTATTCAATGGAAAACAGGAAATGTGGAAGAAACAAACAAAAAATAACTTTGATGATAGAACTAAATCATAATACAGTTGTAATCACAATAAATATTAATGGCTTAAACTAATCAGTTAAAAAGTAGAGATTCTTGTATTGAAATTAAAAAAAAATTAAGACAAGACAAAGCTAGGCATAGTGGCAGACACTTGCCTATAGCCCCTGCTACTCAGGCTCAGGAGGCTGGGGTGGAGGATTGCTTGAGTCCAGGAATTTGAGTCCAGCCTGGGCAACACAGCAAGACCCTGTCTCTGAAACAAACAAATGAACAAACAAAGAAACGAGCACTCCAAGAGCAACTTTATAATTAAAACAAAAGAAGACACAAGTTGAAAAATTACAAGGATAGAAAACTATGAACTAAGAGGGTTATCATCACAGTTATAGCAGGGAAGCTAGGAGTGGAGAGGGATCCTGGCCATTGAATGCTTAGACCTGGAAATTCCATACATCGCTTCTCAAATATCATTGGCCAGAACGAATGACAAGGCCAAGGGGTGAGGGAGGAGTAACTCTGTGCTCCTGGAAGTAGAGAACCACTGGCTATTGGTGAATATGAACAATGTTTACTGCTACCACATACAGATTCTTAATATAAGATAAAAAGGAAACACCACAAATCAATGAGACAAGATCGTTTATAAATGGTGTTGGCAAAATCGACTCACTATACAGGGAATAATAGAAACTGGGCCTCCACCACTTATCCCATATGTGCGTGGACTTGAGCCAGATTATAGATCTGTGAATTGCAAAACTATAAAGTTAATGCTAAAAAAAGGAGGATCACTTATTGATGTTGGAGCAGGGAAAAAGTTATAAAATAAAAATTCGGAAGCACAAATCATAAGGCAGATGATTGAAAAGACAGCTTACATGAAAATTCAGAAAATACTTCCTGACTGTTCTGTGCTTGGCTTCCTTCACCTGTAAAATGGGGAGTTAATTTAACTAAGGGGTTGAGAGCAGCCCCCAGGCCATTGTAAGTGCTTCGTGTGCTACATGTTATTACAATAATCAGTATTTCATGCCCTTTAAAACATCTCTAGTAATGCTTTTTCCCAAAACATCAATTTTGCCTGACAGTAAAATGCCACAAACTTGTGAGTTTTGTGAGCTACTGTGTGCCTGGTTTATCTTTTCCCATGATTTTCCCTCCTAACTCTTCTGTGTCATTTTGTTTTGTGTGTGTCTCTTGAAAAACCACATAGCTGGATTAAGAGCATCCATCTTTTAACTGGAGAATGTAGTCCATGTCTTTTTATTTTCATTACTCGTTATTTATTTCTACCTCCTTATTTTGTGTTTCTATTTGTCTTGCTTTTTCTGAGTATCTTTTAAATCGTTTTCTTATTTCTTTAGGAGTTATTTTCCTCACTTAATCTTTCTTCTTCTGATTTAGAAGTTATACATTCAGTTTCTATTCTTTTGTTAAACAAATTTTAAATTTTACCTTTTAGAGACAAGGTCTCACTTGTCACCCATGCTGGGTGCAGTGGTGTGATCATAGCTCACTGCAACCTCAACCTCTTGGGTTCAAACGATCCTCTAGCCTTAGCCTCCCAGTAGCTAAGACTACAGGCATGGGCCACAACACCTAGCTAACTTTTAATTTGTTTGTAGAGACAGGATCTTGCTATGTTGCCCAGGCTGGTCTCAAACTTCTGGGCTCAAGTGAGCCTTCTGCCTTGGCCTCCCAAAGTGCTGGGATTATAGGTATGAGCCACTGTGCCTGGCCTGGCATCTTGTTTTTATATGGTATTGAAAAGCTAAACATATTTGGGTCTGTTATTAACATGAGAAGCTGTACTATGAGGAAGCGTGTTTTTAAAAATTATGAAATGTTAGGCTGGGCGTGGTAGCTCATGCCTGTAATCCCAGCACTTTGGGAGGCTGAGGCAGGCGGATCACATGAGGCCAGGAGCTAGAGACCAGCCTGGCCAACATGGTGTAACTCCATCTCTACAAAAAATACAAAAACTAGCTAGGCATGGTGGTGCATGCTTGTAATTCCAGCTACTTGGGAGGCTGAGGCACGAAAATCGCTTTAACCTGGGAGGTGGAGTGAGCCAAGATTGCACCACTGCACTCCACTCCAGCCTTGGCAACAGAGCAAGACTTTGTCTCAAAAAAAAAAAAAAAAAAAAAAAGTTGTAAAAGGATTGTGGAAAAGGGATCTTATGTGGTTAAAGTCGGCACCGTCCCCCAAATCACCAACCCCCAGGTCCCAAGGCCTGGGCTGGGCCAGGGCTGACAGGGAAGCCCAGGAGTCTTTTGAACCCACTCTTCCTGCCTAGAATAGAGACAGGACAGGCTTTATGTCCCCCATTCCTCCCTCCCAACTCCAGGGACATTGAAAGTGTCCTTTGTACCTACCTGCAGGAAATTGGGGGGCTGGGAGGGAGGGAACTGAAAATACACATTTGTTATCAAAAATAAACCCCTGAGGGGGAGGCGGCAGGAAGATTGCCCCCCACATCCCTTCCTTCACATCCACCCCACCAAATATAGGAAGAGATGACTCCCTCTCCTCTATTGAAAAGCCCCATTTAAAAATAGATTATACTATCAAAATGGCAGCAGGGGAGAGACAGGGAGACCTGGAGTACTGGCTGGAGGGGCCCCCCAGACAGGAACCACCCCCACAAAACCCCTCCATGGGAGGAAACAGGCAGGACCCCAGGGAGTTTGGCAGACAAAGGAATGGCTTCTCAGGGGGAAGAAGAACAAAGGGACATTCCTCCCTGGCCAAAAAGTTGGTTAAAAAAGGATAAGCTGTCTGAGAGAAAGGTTGAGGAGGTGGAAATTTCTATTCCAAGGGTGTGATTCTGCCTTGGCCAAGACTCCCAACCCATTAAATGGTACAAATTCTTCCTGGACCCCGAGTATGGCCAGGAATAATAAAACGAAACTAACTTCTACTCACATCCTAAAATGGACACAGGGCTCCCTCATCTCCCCACGGGCAGGCCGAGGAATGAAGAAAGAAAGGTCGTTCTCAAGCCAGACCCCGATTGTCCTGTCTTGGGGAAAAAAGCGGGGAGGTGGGGGAGACGTCCTGACCACCCTAATAGGTTAGGTCAGGCGCTTCCCAGTGGCCTTCAAAAAATAAATAAATAAACCGCCCCTACCATTGAAGTAGGAGACGTGTCAGGGCAGCCACTGGGGGACGGACAGAAAAGAGAGAAAAGAGAGAAGCTGTGGAAGCTGAGTGTTTTCTGTGGAGGAGTTAATGAGAGTCACTCCTGGGAGAAATCCTTCCCAAGGATCCCCACCCCACCACAATCAGAGCATGAGTCTTTCAGTTGAACTGTGTTTCTCCTTGAGAGAGCACGGATGGAGGGACCCCAGAAGGGGTGGTGGTGCTGGTGGTGGTCATGGCCTCTGGGGCCCTGGCGAGAGCACCGCGGGGGTCGAGAGGCCAGCCACGCCGATGGAAGGGATGTGCACCTGGGCGCCGCCACTGGACGGAAGCTGGCAGGAGAGCTTGGCCGGGCTGCGGGGCGCAGCGGGACTCAGGCTGCTCCGGAAGTGAACGCTGGGAGGCAGCGAGCTGGGTGTCAGCAGCGCCGGGGTCAACGTGTGCGTAGGAAGCAGGGACAGGGTCAGCGCCGGCCTCGGCGCCTGGAGGCCGGAGCCAGTTCCCGATCCTGGGGTCCGTTCGGCTCCCGGCGCACCTAGCAGGCTCGGGCTGAGTGGAAGCTCTAGGTCCCGGGGCTTCCGGCCCTTCTGCGGCTGGGAGATCTGAGGGCTGGAAGCCGCGTGGCCGCCCGCCTGCCCTGCGGTGTCCATAAGGACCTCGGCAGCCACGCTGGCACGCCCTCCTGTGGAGGGACTTCAGGCTCGGCCTTGGCGGTTTCTGGCACGAACCCTCTCTCCCCCGCGAATTCCAGCTCTTCCTCGGGCCCTTCCACTTCCACTTCCGGGGGCAAAGGGCGGCGCAAGCCCGGCTCCACATTCGGCTCTTCCAATTTCAGGTTTGGGGCCTCGGGCGGGGTCAGGATGACCTGCAGAGGGAAGCCGGCTTCCTCAGCCTCCAGGCAGGCCTCCCAGGGGCTTGGACTGCAGGAGCTGCGTTGGGGAGCACCGCAGCAGGCCGAGGCTGAGGGGGTGGCTGCGGCTGCAGAGACTGGATGTGAAGGTGGAACAGAGGCCCGAGCGCATGTACTTGTTCCGGCTGTTGCGCGCCAAACCGCCAGGGCCTGCCATTCCTGCACCCTTGGGTGTGCCTGGCTTTCCTGAGGCAGTGCCCCCTGGGGCGGCATGTGCAGCAGCAGGGGCCACAACTGCCATGGTGAAGTAACCGACACCTCTGGGTGGGGCGGGCAGTCCTCACTCAGTGGAGCACCCTGCGACCTCAGGATAGGACACAAACTTGTAGACCAACTTCTGGCCGCTCACCTTGCGGATGATGTTCTCGTCATAGTCGTGAGAGGTGACAGCATGCTGGCAGCCCTCACTCGCTCTCGGTGCCTCCTCGGCCTTGGCGCCCACTCTGGCCACGCTTGAAGAGCCCTTCAGCCCGCCGCTGCACCGTGGGAGCCCTTGTCTGGGCTGGCCGAGGCCGGAGCCGGCTCCCTCGGCTTGCAGGGAGGTGTGAAGGGAGAGGCACGGGTGGGAACCGGGGCTGTGCGCGGCGCTTGCGGGCCAGCGCGAGTTCTGGGTGGGCGTGGGCTCCGCGGGCCCCGCACTCGGAGTGGCAGGCCCCGCCTGCCCTGGGCAGTGAGGGGCTTAGCACCCGGGCCAGCAGCTGCGGAGGGTGCGCCGGGGTCCCCAGCAGTGCTGGCCCACCGGCGCTGTGCTCCATTTCTCACTGGGCCTTACCTGCCTCGCCGTAGGGCAGGGCTCGAGACCTGCAGCTTGCCATGCCTGAGCCTCCCCGCCGCCCCCCACCGCCACCCGCCGGCATGGGCTCCGGCCTGGCCCGAGCCTCCCGGAAGAGCGCTGCCCCCTGCTCCACTGCGTCTGGTCCCATTGACCGTCCAAGGGCTGAGGAGTGTGGGCACACAGCGGGGGACTAACAAGCAGCTCCACCTATAGCCCAGGTGCAAGATACACTGGGTGAAGCCAGCAGGGCTCCTGAGTCTAGTGGCGACTTGGAGAACCTTTATGTCTAGCTAAGGGATTGTAAATACACCAATCAGCACCCTGTATCTAGCTCAAGGTTTGTAAACACACCAATCAGCACCCTGTGCCTAGCTCAGGGTTTGTGGATGCACCAGTTGGCACGCTGTATCTAGTTAATCTGGTGGGGACTTGGAGAACCTGTATGTCTAGCTAAGGGATTGTAAATACACCAATCAGCACTCTGTATCTAGCTCAAGGTTTGTAAACCCACCAATCAGCACCCTGTGTCTAGCTCAGGGTTTGCGGATGCACCAATCGGCACTCTGTATCTAGTTAATCTGGTGGGGACTTGGAGAATCTTTATGTCTAGCTAAGGGATTGTAAATACACCAATCAGCACTCTGTATCTAGCTCAAGAGTTGTAAATGCACCAATCAGCGCTCTGTGTCTAGCTAATCTGGTGGGGACTTGGAGAATCTTTATGTCTAGCTAAGGGACTGTGAATGCACCAATCAGCACTCTGTATCTAGCTCAAGGTTTGTAAATGCACCAATGAGCACTGTGTCTAGCTCAGGGTTTGTAAATACACCAATTGACACTCTGTATCTAGCTAATCTAGTGGGGACGTGGAGAACTTTTGTGTCTAGCTCAGGGATTGTAAACACACCAATCAGCACCCTGTCAAAACGGACCAATCAGCTCCCTGTAAAACAGACCAATCGGCTCTCTGTAAAATGGACCAATCAGCAGGATGTGGGTGGGGCCAGATAAGGGAATAAAGGCAGGCTGCCTGAGCCAGCAGCGGCAACCCGTTAGGGTCGTCTTCTATAGGGGAAAGCTTTGTTTTTCACTGTTTGTAATAAATCTTGTTACTGCTTCGTTTTTGCATTTACAGTGCCTTTGTGAGCTGTGACACTCATGGTAAAGGTCTGTAGCTTCATTTCTGAAACCAGCGAGACCCCCAACCCACCAGGAAGAACAAACAACTCTAGACGCGGTGCCTTAAAAGCTCTAACACTCACCACGAAGGTCTGCAGCTTCAGTCTTGAACCACCGAGACCACAAACCCACCAGAAGAAAAAAAAAAACAAAAACTCGGAACATGAGGGAACAAACGGCGGGACATGCCGCCTATTAAGAACTGTAGCACTCACTGCGAGGGTCCGCGGCTTCGTTGTTGAAGTCAGTGAGATCAAGAACCGACCAATTCCAGACACAGTAGTACGGCAAGGCCCGCCTGAGCTTGTCGTAATTCACGTTGGTCTTGTTCTTGCGTCGCCCCCACGGCTAGGCCACCTTCCTCTGCAACCACCACCATCCCATGAAGTCCAGGAGCTGTGGCCGTTGCCTTGCTCTCAGCTGCAGCAGAAAGTGCCAGAGCGTCACAGGTGGGTCCATCGCCGGGGGAGTGCTCACGCCATCCTAGGGGTACCTGTGTGTAGCGGGGCGGTGGTGCTGGCCATGCTGGCAGCTCCGGGAGGTGGGGGGCTCCATACGCGGCCCCGCCGCCCCCCAGGCCTGGGTGCGGAGGCCGGAAGGTTTTTTTTTTTTACGTTTTAAGTAATTGGCTTAGGAAAAACAAGGATTTTTGTGTGCCATCAAGATAACTTGTGCTTCATGTTGTTTTTCATTATGTCAGTGATTCACGAAAAAGGTAATTTTTTTTCGCAAAGACATTTTTCTGAAGTAGAGAGCTGCGTTTGACGTCCCAAGTCTCCGCAAGGTGTAACAAGACAAGCATCAAAAGTAATGATTTGGGGTGACTTTGCCGTGGTTACATTAATAATGAGATGTGGGGTAGCTAAGGGAAAGAGAAGAGGAAATGCGGACAGGCCAATTAGGCTTTTTTCTTTCACGTTACTCTGGTGGGGGTTGGTCCTGGGATGAAGGTCCGTGACTTTGGAGAGGGAGACTCCTTTTTGACTGGGTATGGTGGGTCTACTCCTTAGCGGGCTGACTGCCGTCTCAGTCGTTAGGAGCATCACATAAGGTCCTTTCCAGGTGGGTTCAAGCTTTTCCCCTTTCCAACTTCTGATAAGAATGTGATCTCGGGGCTGGTGTTGAACTGAGAATTCAAGGGAGGAGAGGATAGAAGACAGACTGGATACATAGTTTTTAAGAAACTCATCGTTTGTCTCAAATGTTGGGAGGTGAGTAGTGGAACTTAAATAAAGCAACCCATGAAGCATTTCATAAGGGGATAGGCCGATGTCTTTTCAGGGAGCAGTTCAGACTCTTATAGGGCCATGGGAAGACACTTAGTCATGGTAACCGGGTTTCTAGAATTAATTTAGGTAGGTGGGTTTTTAGAGTCTGGTTCATTCTTTCTGCTCTTCCTGGTGAGGGTGGATGCCAGGGAGTATGGTATTCCCACTTTATTTGTAGTGCTTGGGTTAGCCCTTTAATGAGCACGGTAAAGTGGGTCCCATTGTCTGAATCAGTGGTCTCTGTTAGTTTGAACCTGGGTATGATGTGTTCTAACAGGGTTTTAACTGCATCACTGGCTGTTGCGCGTGGGAAGGGGAGAGCTTCTGCCCAGTGGGTAAGGTGGTCTGCTATCACTAGTAAATACTTGAGGTGGCCTATTGGGGTCATTTCAATATAGTCAGCTTGGATGCTTTGGAATGGCCTTACCCCTGGATTGTAGGCTGGGCATGGTGGCTCATGCCCATAATCCCAGCACTTTGGGAGGTCAAGGTGGGAGGATCCTTTGAGACTAGGAGTTGAAGACAAGTCTTGGGAACTTAGTGAGACCCTGTCACTACAAAAAAATAAAAATTAGCCCGGTGACATGGCACATGTCTGTAATCCCCACCACTCCGAAGACTGAGGTGGGAGGATAGCATGAGCTTGAAAGGTGGAGGCTGCAGTGAGCAATGGTTGCACCACTGTATTCCAGCCTGGGTGACAGAGCAAGAGCCTGTCTCAAAAAAGAGATTTTAAACTAATTAGGCTTTTTTTTTTGTTTGTTTTTTTTTTGAGACAGTCTCACTCTGTTGCCCAGGCTGGAGTGCAATGGTGAGATCTTGGCTCACTGCAACCTCCGTCTCATGGGTTCAAGTGATTCTCGTGCCTCATCCTCCCAAGTAGTTGGAACTACAGGTGTGTGCCATCACGCCCAGCTAAATTTTGTATTTTTAGTAGAGATGGAGTTTCACCATGTTGGCCAGGCTGGTCTCAAACTCAACCTCAGGTGATCTGCCCACCTCAGCCTCCCAAAGTGCTGGGATTACAGGTGTGAGCAACTGTGCCTGGTCTAATTGGGCTTATTTGATAAGTAAAGTTATAAAGAAAACAAATAGTATTTGATACTACATCTTTAAATCATATTTTTGGATATGTCATTAATGAATGCTTCAGAAATTATGTGGAAATCCTAGAAATCGGATATGTCCTGGTATAATTTTATCAGCCATAATTTCAGATATTGTGTTAAAGTGTTGTATGTTACAGAAATAACCAGATTTCCTTGTCAATTGTATCATTATTATAATGAACTCTCATCAGATCTTTAAAAATGGCCATTTTAAGCCTTTGCCATTCAGTTATTCTTTTCCTTTGATTCTTTACTAAAGTAATTTGCAATTAGGTAGACAAAAGTGGCTATTCTTCAAGATTCATGAAAAAGACTCTGACAGTTACTCCGAAATACAGACCGCTGCTGATAGCTTTAAGATCATACCATTGGACTGTGTAAGAATTTTCAGAAATGGAATGAAAAAACTGATGTCATCAGACTACTAATCCAGCTTCAAACAGAACAAGATTCAATTACATGGGACTGAATGAACAAAGGAAGATAATTTTTTTTTTTTTTTTTGAGATGGAGTCTCACTCTGTTGCTCATGCTGGAGTGCAATGGCGCGATCTCGGCTCACTGCAACCACCACCTCCCGGGTTCAAGTGATTCTCCTGCCTCAGCCTCCTGAGCAGCTGGGATTACAGGGGTGCGCCACCACACCCAGCTAATTTTTTTGTATTTTTAGTACAGACGGGGTTTCACCATGTTGTTCAGGCTGGTCTCGAACTCCTGACCTCGTGATCTGCCCGCCTTGGCCTCCCAAAGTGCTGGGATTATAGGTGTGAGCCACTGCACCCGGCCGAGGATAATTTTTAAATGACTTTTTGTTGGAAACATTGCTGGTTCTTTAATGTTTTGTTTTTCAGATTTTAGAAAACTTTTTTCCCTTAAGCTGTCAATAGTTTGCAGCAATTTGGTAAGTTACATCTTTGTGAACAGAGAGGAAACAACTATTTTCTCCCTTCCTAATCCCTCCAGAACCCCAAAACCAGTAGTGAGTGTTTTTATTGAAGGGGGCCAGCCCCTCCACACCTGTGGGTATTTTTCGTCAGGTGGGACGAGAGACTGAGAAAAGAAGTAAGACATAGATACAAAGTATAGAGAAAGCACAGTGGGCCAAGGAGACCAGGGCTCAGCATACGGAGGACCCGCACCGGCACGGGCCTCTGAGTTCCCTCAGTATTTATTGATTACTATTTTCACTATCTCAGCAAGAGGAATGCGGCAGGAGAACAGGGTGACAGTGGGGAGAAGGTCAGCAAGAAAACGTGAGCAAAGGAATCTGTGTCACAAATAAGTTCAAGAGAAGGTACTATCCCTGGATGTGCACATAGGCCAGATTTATGCTTCTCTCCACCCTAACATCTCAGTGTAGTGAAGAGTAACAGCAGCATTGCCACCAGCATATCTTGCCTCCAGACACAGGGCGGTTTTCTCCTCAGAATAAAATGAATGTATGATCAGGTTTTACACCGAGACATTCTGCTCCCAGGGACATGCAGGAGACGGAGGCCTTCCTCTTATCTCATCCACAAGAGGCTTTCCTCTTTTTTTTTTTTTTTTTTTTTTTGTTGAGACAGAGTCTCGCTCTGTCGCCCAGGCTGGAGTGCAGTGGCATGATCTGGGCTCACTGCAAACTCCGCCTCCTGGGTTCATGCCATTCTCCTGCCTCAGCCTCCCGAGTAGCTGGGACTACAGGCGCCCACCACCACGCCCAGCTAATTGTATTTTTTTTTTTTTTTTTAGTAGAGACAGAGTTTCACCATGTTAGCCAGGATGGTCTCGATCTCCTGACCTACCTGGTGATCCATCCGCCTCGGCCTCCCAAAGTGCTGGGATTACAGGCATGAGCCACCGCACCCGGCCGAGGCCTTCCTCTTTTACTAATCCTCCTCAGCACAGACCCTTTACAGGTGTCGGGCTAGGGGGACGGTCAGGTCTTTCCCTTCCCATGAGGCCATATTTCAGACTGTCTCAGGGCGGGGAAACCTTGGACAATACCCAGGCTTTCCAGGGCAGAGGTCCCTGGCTTTCCGCAGTGCATTGTGTCCCTGGTTAATCGAGACTGGAGAATGGTGATGACTTTTACCAAGCATACTGCCTGTAAACATTTTGTTAACAAGGCATGTCCTGCACAGCCCTAGATCCCTTAAACCTTGATTCCATACAGCACAGGTTTCTGTGAGCTCAAGGTTGGGGCTAAAGTTACAGGTTAACAGCATCTCAAGGCAAAACAATTTTTCTTGGTACAGATCAAAATGGAGTTTCTTATGTCTTCCTTTTCTATATAGACACAGTAACGGTTTGATCTCTCTTTTCCCTACACTTATTTTTATGACAGTAGAGTTATTTGTAAAAGTTCAGTAAGAATCTGTTCTCCTTGTAACGGCACAATTACAGACTCTGATGATATTACCAAGGCTTTGACCGGAATATCCTATCTTCAGATACGACCACACAGCTTTAAGGAACTAGAGTTGACTTTATGGAGCCAGTAAACCCCCCCTTGGAAAAATTGGCCTGAGGGTTCCCAGTCTTGCAGGTTGAGTAAGGCAGCCCAGCAACCTCTGTATTTTGGGGACTGAGCAGAAAGGAACTCACCCAGATCTATAGGTACCCTGTGCCAAGTCAGATGGCATGTCCTTGATGTGGCTTCCCAGCCCCGGGAGGCCTTTACAGTTCAATCTGAGATTCTTTATGAAAAGCTCCAGCAAAGCAATTTTTTTTTTATTTTGAGACGGAGTCTCATTCTGTCACCCAGGCTGGAGTGCAATGGCGTGATCTTGACTCTGCAACCTCCGCCTGCCAGGTTCATGTAATTCTCCTGCTTCAGCCTCCCGAGTAGCTGGGATTACAGGTGCACACCACCACACTCAGCTAATTTTTTTATTTTTAGTAGAGACGGGGTTTCACTATGTTAGGCAGACTGGTCTTGAATTCCTGACCTCGTGATCCACCTGCCTCAGTCTCCCAAAGTGCTGGGATTACAGGCATGAGCCACCACGCCCAGCCTCCAGCAAAGCAAATTTAAAGAGAGCGAATGTGGTCAACTGCTTCTTGTTGCACTTATGTAAACAATCAGGCCAAGTATAGTGAAACTAGACTGACTTTGCAAACATATCACTCTTATTTGGATCAACATTTATGGAAATGTGGGAGTGACTGTGGAGAAAAAAATGATTCAATGCAAAACTGCAGGGCACCGTGATGAGATTTCAGCCCTGCTCATTGTTTACGAGGTTTTGTTATTTATCTACAAACTGGACTGGATCTTGAATTTTTAGGGAAAAGAAAGATCAGACTGTTATTGTGTCTATGTAGAAAAGGAAGACATAAGAGATTCCATTTTGACCTGTACCCTAAACAATTGCTCACAGAAACCTGTGCTGTATGGGATCAAGGTTTAAGGGATCTAGGCTGTGCAGGACGTGCCTTGTTAACAAAGTGTTCACAGGCAGTATGCTTGGTAAAAGTCATCGCCATTCTCCAGTCTCGATGAACCAGGGGCACAATACACTGCGGAAAGCCGCAGGGACCTCTGCCCTGGAAAGCCGGGTATTGTCCACGGTTTCTCCCCATGTGATAGTCTGAAATATGGCCTCGTGGGATGAGAAAGAGCTGACCGTCCCCCAGCCCGACACCCGTGAAGGGTCTGTGCTGAGGAGGATTGGTAAAAGAGGAAGGCCTCTTGCAGTTGAGATAGAGGAAGGCCACTGTCTCCTGCCTGCCCCTGGGAACGGAATGTCTCGGTATAAAACCCGATTGTACATTTATTCTATTCTGAGATAGGAGAAAAACCACCCTGTGGTGGGAGACGAGACATGCTGGCAGCAATGCTGCCTTGTTATTTACTCCGCTGAGATGTTTGGGTGGAGAGAAACATAAATCTGTCCTACGTGCATGTCCAGGCATAGTACCTTCCCTTGAACTTACTTGTGACACAGATTCCTTTGCTCACGTTTTCTTGCTGACCTCCTCCCCACTGTTCTCCTGCTGCATTCCCCTTGCTGAGATAGTGAAAATAGTAATCAATAAATACTGAGGGAACTCAGAGGCCGGTGCCGGTGCAGGTCCTCTGTATGCTGAGCGCTGGTTTCCTGGGCCCACTGTGCTTTCTCTATACTTTGTCTCTGTGTCTTATTTCTTTTCTCAGTCTCTCGTCCCACCTGACGAGAAATACCCACAGGTGTGGAGGGGCTGGCCCCTTCAGAATTCTTCTAGTTTTCTCTAATATCAGGCAACAACTCTGCAAACTAATTTTTCCAATTTTTCCCTCACCCTCTGACTTGGAATCAGTCAAATTTAAAACTGCTCTGTTCCTGAAGCCCTGTGAGCTGAAATGGGACAAGTTGATGTAAACTTTAGAGAAATCATCCCCACAGATCCTGTGCGGGCAGCTTCTGCAACACCTGACCTGCAAATCAGGAAGGCCCTTCAGCTGCCTACCTGGCTGCAGCTGAAGATGCTTCAGGCCCAGCGTCTAGAAATCTTCCAGCCTGGTGCCCACTGGGTTCGGAAACTGCATTTCTAAGTGTTAACCTTTGTGTTTCGTTTATTTTCAGAGTCTCTCCTCTTTGAATGTCCAACTGCTAGCACCATGCGGCAAAATGTCCTCTTCTACCCAGTCCCAACAGAAAATCCAGCTGGTTCTTAATGAACGAAAGGCCACCCAACAAGAAAATGTACTTATATTGTTGGAGGGAAACCAGAATGTCTCCTCTTTCTTTAAACAGGGTGGACTGACAAAGATTCTCTGCTTGGCCAAACTACAGTCGGGCTCTGGAACCTTCTCCTAGGCCAGCCTGCACTTCCTTGTAAGAAAAAGGCTTTAAAAAGTACCCGGTGGGGCCCGGAGCGGTGGCTCATGCCTGTAATCCCAGCACTCTGGGAGGCTGAGGTGGGCGGATCATCTGAGGTCAAGAGTTCAAGACCAGCCTGGCCAACATGGTGAAACCCTGTCTAGTAAAAATACAAAAATTAGCTGGGTGTGGTGGAGGGTGCCTGTAATCCCAGCTACTCGGGAGGCTGAGGCAGGAGAATCGCTTGAACCCGGGAGGCAGAGGTTGCAGTGAGCCAAGATCATGCCACTGCACTCCAGCCTGGTGACAGAGTGAGACTCCGTCTCAAAAAAAAAAAAAGAACCCCCCTAAGTCAGGTTAAAGACCCACTCTTGACATCTGATCACCCTTGATCCTGAGTTCCTCATCTTCCACCATCTCCCAGGTCTGATCACCCTGGTCTGTCTTCAGCAAAAATCTTCCTGGGCTAATTTAGCCAGAACCCTCCTTCCCCCCAATATTTCCTCTTGGGAATGTCCGTCCTCCGAGTTTACCCAGCTCCCTCCTTGGCTGTCGATCCCTGCCAGCCCATGCTGTGTTAAGAACTGAGCCCCATCTCTCTCCCCCATGGCCATGGTCCCTGCTCCTGTGGCGGTGGTCCTGAATCACACCTGCTTCCGCATTGAACAACTATCATGGAATAATTTTTTCTTTAACATTTCTAAACACACTCTTAGGAGGCGCCAGCAGCCAGCGTGCGGAGTTAAGTGCCTGTGCCCTTTGTATGAAAGTGTCACCGTTGTCCTGGTCTTGAGGGGTGGCTTTCGGGTGTAAACGGCCGGCAGAGGTGAGTAGATGCTGGGAGGCTGCTCCAGGCGTCTTGTTTGCTCCAGGGTTCTTGAGACTCTCCTGTCTATGAGAACGTGCAGTGGCACGGGACGGCCGCCGGGGGGCTCCCGAGTCCGGCTCTGGAGTCTGTGGCCGCGCGAGTGCACCTGCCTGGGCCGGCCCTGACGGATTTTTTTTTTTTTTTTTTGATGGAGTCTCACTCTGTCTCCCAGGCTGGAGGGTAGTGGCGCGATGGCAGCTCACTGCAACCTCCGCCTCCCGGGCTCAAGCGATTCTCCTGCCTCAGCCTCCTGAGTAGCTGGGACCACAGACACCCGCCACCACGTCCAGCTAATTTTTGTGTTTTTAATAGAGACCGGGTTTCACCATGTTGGCCTGGCTGGTCTCTCCAACTCCTGACCTCAGGTGACCCACCCACCTCTGCCTCGAAAAGTGCTGGGATTACAGATGTGAGCCACCACGCCCGGCCTCCTTTTGGATGCTTCTAAAGTCTCTTTGTCTCTGGTGTTGGCAGTTCCATCGGCAAGCGTCAAGGTGTGGACGCGGTTTGCTTTTATTTATCCTGCTTGGGACTTGGCCTTGATCCTGACACATCCTGTTATTCAGCGATTTTGGAAAATTCCCAGCCACTGCCTCCCCCGACTCTGTTTCTCCTTTGGGCAGAAGAAGCCCTTGTGGGAGCCTCGGTCCAGCCTCCGCGGGGCTGCGCTCGGGCTGGGTGGCGTCTCCTGCTCTTTCTTCGGTGTTACCAGCTCCTGCTCCTGCGTGTCCTCTGCGCTGCCTGTCCCATCCATTCTTATTTTAGCCTCATCTATTACGGTTTTCAGTTCTAGAAGTTCTTCGTAAAACTCTCAGGTCATTTCAAAATGCAATGTGCAGTAATTTCCCATTTTGCAGTAATATTTGAATAGCTTCTGTAAGTAAGTTTAAAAAATCTCTTGGCCGAGCGTGGTGGCCACGCTGTAATCCCAGCACTTTGGGAGGCTGAGGCAGGAAGATCATGAGGTCAGGAGATCGAGACCATCCTGGCTAACACGGTGAAACCCCGTGTCTACTAAAAATCCAAAAAAATTAGTCGGGCGTGGTGGCGGGCACCTGTAGTCCCAGCTATTCAGGAGGCTGAGGCAGGAGAATCGCTTGAACTCGGGAGGCGGAGGTTGCAGTGAGCCGAGATCGCACCACTGTACTCCAGCCTGGGCGACAGAGCGAGACTCCATCTCAAAACAAAACAAACAAAAAAACCCTCTTAAGCACACATTGCATATTCTATGTCTGATAACGCCGACATTTTGCTTTTGTTTGGGTTCTTATTCTATAGTTTCTTGTTTCACTGATTCTTGTTTCTGCTTCTTTAGGGCTTTTCTGATTTGTATGTGAGCTGGGTTCCTGGGATCCTGATCTGGGCGCGTCTTTGAGGCTTGCCTCTGAGGTCCGCTGTCCCCGCATGAGCGGACGGCAGAGCGCGCCTGCCTGGGAGCCCAGGAGGCTGCCGGGCCAGGGACCCCGGGAACCCCGGGAACCCCGGGAACCTCTCAGCAGCAGAACTGCAGTGGCACAAGACGGCCACCAGGGGGTCCCGAGCCGGTCTCTGGGGTCCCTGCTGGGGTTGAGGGGCTGTGGCTGCAGACGCGGACCTGGCAGGGGGACCCGAACCCCAACAGGGCCCTGACCGGCCCCAAGGCTGAGCCTGCCCTGTCCCACCAGCGCCCAGACCCCGATGTTGGGCCGGGGCCTTCCTTTCCTTGTCCCGACCCTCTGAGGTTCCTCCCCGGGGTGTGAGCTGATTGTGAGCACACGGAGGCCTTCCTCCTCTCTGGGGCTCTGGAGCCCCTGGGGGCCTGCAGGGCCTGGGCCTGGGCCTGGCTGCTGTCCTCTGTGCTCAGGAGGCTTCTCCCACCCACCCACTTCCGGGCACAGCCCCCAGCCCCACACCCAGCCGCCGGGAGGGCATCCCCAGGGGAGGACCCTCTGCTCCGGAGCCGCGTCCCTTGTCCTCCAGGGACAGTGGCCGGAGGCTGGTGCCTCAAGCTCGTGCGCCTCATGCAGCATCCCGTGGGTCCATTCGCGACCATAGTGAAGACCCGCAGGCCCCAGGCCCGAGCCGGCTCCCGGGCAGGCCGCGTTCTGGGGCTTCTGCGGGGACACTGGGCCACGCCAGGAGGAAGGGTCCTGACCAGGGTCAGGGAGCATCGGATGCTGCCGGCAGAAGTGGGGGGCGCGGGGCCCCACCGAGGAGCCCAGGCCAGCTTCCCCATCTGCCCCAGGTGCAGCCCTGCAAGGCCCCCAGGCCACAGCGTCCCCAGGTCACAGCGTCCCCAGGTCACAGCGTCCCCACACCCAGGGAATGCAGGACTTTGGCAGAGGCTGGGATCCCAGACCACAGAGCCCCACAAGCTGACGCCTGTTCGCGGATGCCACAGCCATCTCCGCGGCAGGCGCTGGGGAGGGGAGGGGATCACAGTGCTGGACACGGACCGGGCCCCAGCCCTGAGCCCAAGGCAGAGCCGGGATCCGGCCCCGAGAGCGCCCCTGCCCCTGCCCCTGCCCCTGCCCCTGCCCCTGCCCGTGCCCCTGCCCGTGCCCCTGCCCCTGCCCCGAGCCCGGGAAGCGCCGCGTGGTCGGCGGCGTTCGATGCTGCTGTCGGCCACACGGGGGCAGCAGAGCCTCAGCGGCTGCCGCAGCGGGTCCAGTTTCCGGCCGCCGGGGTTGGGCTGGCGGTGCCTGGGGGTCCTCCCCAGAGGCCCGCGTGTGAAACGTCCGAGTGCGCTGGGCGCTGGACACGGAGATGGGTGCTTGGGCCACGGGCCTGGGGGACCCCACACGGCCGGCTAGGCAGGCCCAGACAGCCCAGGGTGGGGGTTCCATGGGGGCAGGAGGGGAGAAGCCTGGGCTGTGGAGCAGCTGGGACGTCCGGGGAAGGGCCTGGGGGTCAGAGGGGCGGCTCCCGGGACAGGGAGGCACGTGGAGGGGCGGGGTTTGTGGCAGCCCCGGAGCCGCCTCTGAAGCTTCCATCTGCAGCCTCCTGTGGGGCCGGGTCTGCTTCTCTTGCTGGGCACCCACATCCACCCCCGAGGGGTGTGCGACAACCCCCATTCCAGCCCACTCAGATGGTCTCTAGCCCCTCCCGTCACAGTGAACCCCGGTGTCGGTGCGAGACGCCTCCGTGTATTCCCGGACGTCCCTCTGCAGGCCCATCCCCACCTCACAGACAGTCACACCCTTCCAGGCCTTGCCCCATCCGCAGTCCCTGGCCTCACCATCGCATTGCAGGGAGGCGGGCATATGCAACCTCCATGAAATAAAGCCCTAACGGAGAAGGCCAGAGTGGGAACTTCGTTTCCACCAGCAGGTGGGGCAGACACCCTGGCTAGCCCCGGGGAAAACCAGTAAAAATACTGGATTTAAATCCCTTCGAATTCTCCTTTCTACAGGCAAGCTGTTTAGTGAGAAAGAAAGGGCCCTGCAAAGATCCTCCCCAGGTGGACGGGCAGCCCCCAAGCCTGTATTGAGCTCCCGGACGCTGCTCCTGGGGAAGGGCCTGCCGAGGACAGGGGCCAGTGGGAGCCCCTGCCTGACCACAGGCTGTTCTGCAGCCCAGGTCAGGAGCGCTGGTGCCTGCCGTGTGGGGTGGCCCTGGTCCTGACCGCCTGGGGTCCCAGGTGGTCCCGGGTTGTAAGAGTCTGTGGTGCTTGTGAAAAGCTTGCACATCCTTCCAGGGGAGACTCGCGCGTGGGGCGAGGGCAGGAGCAGGAGCTCATAATCACACAGGAAAACAGGAAGCCCTGAACCCCGGGCTCGGGAAGCGGCGGGGCGTCAGGTTTGGAGGGGCTTCGTCCCCCACCACCTCCCCATTTGCACCCCCAGTCCCTGACCCGCATCTTTCCTCACCTGGTCACTGTCCCCCACCCTGTCCCCCACCCTGTCCCCCACCCTGTCCCCTGTCTGCCATCTCCCTCCCAGGAGGGGGCTGCTCCTGCCTAGCACGCGGTGCCCTTCCTCCCACGTCGCTTAATTATATTTGAAAATACAACATTTGAAACGTGCAAAGAATGGAGGGGCTTTTCTGTGAGTGCAGGGTTCCCCTCCCGTGTCCCCCCACCAGGGGGCTTCCCCGTCCAGCCCCGGCTTGTCCCTTTCATTTTAACAAAACGTCCTCACCACAGTGCATGTGTGTTTTATAAAAGCAGTATTGGAAGTTAATGCTTTTAATACAGAAAAAAAAGAACCCGAAACAATATAACTGTCCTAAGTGATGTTGAGTGGGGAGTGCCGGGTGGGAGTTGAACTGCGGGACCACGATCCCTCCACTTCCAGCCTGTCCTGGGGGTGTCATGTGGCCCCTTCTGACCAGCCCTGGGCAACTTCTGGATGGACGGGTGGGGAGGGGCCGTGGAGGGGATCTGGGACCAGGAGAGAGAGAGCGTGGCCAGGCAGCCCCAGGAGGGCCCTCCAGAGCCCGAGTGGGCCTGCGTCTGTGGTCCCCAGGTGCGGTCCCTCGAGGTGGCGTGTGGGCCCCCCAGGCCCGCGCCCTGCGGTTCCAGCGCCTCCCCAAGCCTCTGTCCCTGCAGCCCCCACCCCCCCTGCACTTTCCTCTCCTTTGTCTGTGCTGGTGGTCCCTCTCTCACTGTCCCACACAACACCGCACCGCCCTCCCCCAGGAAAGCCTCCACCTTTTCTCTTAGTGAAATAGAAGCCCTTTCAAGGTGACATGTCACCTACTCACAGAACAGTGCCCCAACCCAGGACGCAGCCTGAGGCCCCTCAGGAGCATTGTGTGCCCCCAGGCCTGTCCCCAGTGGTCCCCACCGTGGGCCCACCACAGCTCCTGCTGTCAAGGGCAGCCTGGGTCTGAGCCCCGTCCCCCTGTGCAGGGCACGGGTCTGGGGGCTGGCTTGTCCCCTGCTGGGCGGTGGGCGGCCTGGGGTGTCTCCCAGACACGCTGCCTGCGGCCGGCTGGTGTGGACTGGGCCTGGTGGGCCAGGAGCTGCCCTCACTATGGTGACAGGATCGGGCTGCCAGGCTCCTGTGGGGGCTCAGCAGGAGGGGATGGGAGACGGCAATGCTCACGCCTGACCTGCTGCCCTTGGGGGAGCCGTGGTGCCACCTGGCCGGCCTGCCTGAGAGACCCCCACGGCTGGTGTGGGAGCCTGGGGGAGCCCTGGGCAGGTGGTGGGGCAGTGGGCAGAGGTGGCTGCAGAGGGACAGGGCCTGGCCAGGACGTCACCCTGAGGCCACTGGAGAGGTCAGCAGGGGCCCAAGGAGATGCAGGGATTGGCAGCTGGGGAGCACAGGGGTACTCCTGAGCCGTGGTACCCAAAGGTCATGAGCTGAGAGGGGAAAGGCCCAGAGCCGCTGGATGGTGGATTCTGGGCACCTGATCCGCAGGGTGTGGTGGCCCTCTGAGGGACCCCTCTGACAGACTGCAGGCAAGCTGTCAAGGGTGTGTGTGTCTGAGGGTGAGTGAGTGTGTGTGTGAGGGTGTAAGGGTGTGTGTGAGAGTGTGGGTGTGGAGTGTGTGACAGTGTATGAGGGTGTGGGTGTGAGGGTATGTGAGGGTGTGTGGGTGTGTGTGTGTGAGGGTGAGTGTGAGAATGTGAAGTCTGAGGGCTGTGTGATGGTGTGTGAGGGTGTGTGTGAGAGAGGGTGTGAGGGGGTGTGTGAGGGTGTGTGAGGGTGAGTGGGTGTGTCGGTGTGAGGGTGTGTGGGTGTGAGAATGCATGAAGTCTGAGGGTTGTGATGGTGTGTGTGGGTGTGTCAGGGTGTGTGTGTGGGCATGTGAGGGTGTGAGGGTGTATGAGGGTGTGGGTGTGTGAGGGTGAGTGGGTGTGTCGGTGTGAGGGCACATGAGGGTGTGTGGGTGAGTGTGAGAGAGAATGCGTGTGAAGTCAGTGTGTGATGGGTGAGGGTGTGTGGGTGTGTGAGGGTGTGTATGAGGGCATGTGAGGGTGTGTAAGGGTGTGAGGGGGTGAGGGTGTGACTGAGAGTGTAAGGGTGTGGGGATGTGTGAGGATGTGTGTGTGAGGATATAAGTGTTAGGGGTGCATGAGAGTGTGAGGGTGTGAGGGCTTGTAAATGTTTGTGAAGGTGTGGGAGTGTGGAGATATGCGGAAGTGTGGGGTGAGTGTGAGGGTTGTGAGAATGTGTGGGAGGGTGTGAGTGTGGGATGTATGAAGTTGGGATTGTGTCAGCATGTGTGTGAGAATGTGGGTGTATGAGGGTGTAAGGGTGTGTGAGAATGTGGGTGTGTATGGATGTGTGGGTGTGTGGATGTGTGTGGGTGTGTGAAGTGAGAATGTGTGTGTGGGTGTGTGTATGAGGGTGTGAGGGTGTGAGGGTTGTGGATGTGGGGTGTGTGAGGGTGTGAGGGAGTGTGGGTGTGTGGTGTGTGAGGGTGTGTGTATGTGTGTGAGGATGTGTGGGATGTGTGTGGATGTGTGGGAGTGTGAGGGATGTGTGGGGTGTGTGGATGTGTGGGAGTGTGAGGATGTGTGAGGGTGTGTGGGGATGTGAGGGTGTGTGTGGATGTGTGGGGATGTGAGGGTGTGTGTGGATGTGTGGGGTGTGTGTGGATGTGTGGGGTGTGTGGGGTGTGTGTGGATGTGTGGGAGTGTGAGGATGTGTGGGTGTGTGTGGGGTGTGTGTGGATGTGTGGGGTGTGTGGGGTGTGTGTGGATGTGTGGGGTGCTTCAGAATGTGTGTGGATGTGTGGGAGTGTGAGGATGTGTGAGGGTGTGTGGGGTGTGTGGATGTGTGAGGGTGTGAGGGTGTGTGTGCACGTGTGGGGTGTGGGGTGTGTGTGGATGTGTGGGGTGTGTGGGGTGTGTGTGGATGTGTGAAGGTGTGAGTGTGAGGGTGTGTGGATGTGTGGGGTGTGTGAGGGTGTGTGAGGGAGTGGGTGTGTGGTGTGTGAGGGTGTGTGTATGTGTGTGAGGATGTGTGTGGATGTGGGGTGTGGGGTGTGTGGGGATGTGTGGGAGTGTGAGGATATGTGAGGGTGTGGGGATGTGAGGGTGTGTGTGGATGTGAGGGTGTGTGTGGATGTGTGGGGTGTGTGTGGATGTGTGGGGATGTGAGAGTGTGTGTGAGTGTGAGGGTGTGAGGGTGTGTGTGGGGTGTGGGGTGTGTGGATGTGTGGGGGTGTGTGGGGATGTGAGGGTGTGTGTGGATGTGTGGGGTGTGTGGGGTGTGGGGTGTGAGGGTGTGTGGGGATGTGAGGATGTGTGGGGTGTGTGGGGTGTGTGTGGATGTGTGGGGTGTTTGAGGATGTGTGTGGATGTGTGGGAGTGTGGGGATGTAAGGGTGTGAGGGCTTGTGGGGATGTGTGGTGTGTGTGAGCGGCTGTGTGCACTGGCCGAGTTGCCTGCTGCTGTCCTGGCCTGGGGCCAGGCGTGTGCCAGCTCCTGTGTTTGTTGTGTGCCCGGCGTGTGCTGGGTGCCCGAGTCGGGCTGGGTGTGTCTGGGTGTGGCCCTGGGGTGTCCCTTTCTGGACGTGTGTCTCCGTGCAGAACGGAGGTCCTCGTGTTCCCAGAAGGAAGCCCCCAGCCCCAGGCGGGTGCCTGAGAATAGACCTGGGGCCTGTGGGCGTGGCAGGGCTGCCCCTCGGCTCCTCATGGACCCCCCGGACACCAGTCCCACCCTGTGTCTGTGATGCTCACTCTCTGAGCCTTCCCTGACCCCATGTGCCAAAGCCTGGCCCAGCAATGCCACGTGTGCATGTGTGAGCGTGAGCTTGGCAGCGGGTGGGAGAATGTGTGCGTCAGTGTGTGAGCGTGAGCACGGCCTGTGCTTGTCTGGCTGTGGGACTGGGGGCCTCTGTGACGCTGTGAGCCCTTGTGGACCTGAGTGTGGGCCGTGTGAGCTGTGTGCACGTGGCTGTGGCTGAGTGTGAGCCTCTGAGTGTGTGTGTCTGTGCCGTGTACCTCTGTGTGTCTATATGTGTCTGTGTGCCTCTGACTTTATGTGTGTCTGTATCTATCTCTGTGTGTGTCTCTGCGTGTGGTAGCATGTCTGTGCTTGTGTACCTGTGTCTGCGTGTGTCTTTGTCTCTGTGTGTGCCTATGCGTGTCTGTGTGTGGTAGTGTGTCTGTGCTTGTGTTTCTGTGTCTGTGTGTCTCTGACTCTGTGTGCCTATGTGTGTCTGTGTGTCTCTGTGTGTGTGGTAGTGTGTCTGTGTGTCTCTGACTCTGTGTGTGCCTATGTGTGTGTGTGTCTCTCTCTGTGTGTGTTAGTGTGTTTGTGTGTATTGTGTGTCTTTATGTCTCTGTATGTCTATGTGTCTGTGTGTCTCTGTGTGTTTGTGTGTTCTGTGTGTCTCTGTGGGGTGTGCATGACTATATTTGTGGGAGGCTGTATGTGCAGGAAGGGCCCCCTGAGCATTGTCACCCGGGCTGCACCCTGGGGGTCTTCCCAGGGATCCTTTCCTCAAACTTGAGTCCTCCCTGGAGGGCTTAGGTTCCACTGAGGGGGTGGGCGCGGGCACAGACCCCTCCTCTAGGAGGCTGGGGTGGGGCTGTCCTGCCTGGCTGGGACACGGGTCAGAATGTCCCCCCATGTGGTCCACCCTGTTCTAGGCACAGGGTGTCATCTCCCAGGGTCTCAGCTGCTGGGGTGATGGGCCCCGGACAGCCCCTGGGTGTGGGGTGGGGTCCTATGGAGGCCTCTGTGTCCCACTGAAGATGCAGGGCTGGGGTTGGGCAGGTCTGTTCTGGGGTGGTCTCGTGGGGCAACCCCAGAGGGTACTGAGGCCGGGGTAGGGTTGGGCGACCCCACCTAGGGTCTACGGGCTGAAAGCGCCTGGGTTGGCCAGGCCTGGGCACAGGGGAGGACAGAGGTTTGGTGACAGGTGGGCTGTGAGGGGCCCAGCAGGTGCACGGAGGAAGCTCTGTCCCCAGGTGACCCACAAAATCCTCTTCCGAGGGTGCTGGGGGTCCTGTTCCTGGGGGCCATGCCTGGGACCTCCATGCAGGGGTCTCCTCCCTGGCCCAGCTCCCCTGGGGCAAGGTCCGACTTGTTACCCCCTCCACCAGGCAGTCCTCTGGGAAGTGCCCTGGGGCCTGGTCACTCTGGGCCTGGCCACAGCATTGGCCTGGACATGGGGTGTGGCTGGGGAGTGTGAATAGTCAGGAATCCTGCAAACCAGCTGCCTGGGTGCCAGCCTTCCCCCCACCTCCCCCAATGCAAATCGCCATCTCGGAGGTGGGTGGGGGTTTCCACACCACTGTCCCACCTGCTCTGTGGTTCCCATTTTCAGCATTTTTAGAAATATTTGCAAGAATGTGTTTGTGCCTGTGTGGTGGGGTGGGGGTGGGAGCTGCGGCCCGGTGCCCATGAGGTCTTGTTTTTCAGACTGGACGGGGGTGGGGGAGGGGGAGCTGCGGCCCCCCCACCTGCTAGTGTGTCCAGCCTCCTGAGTGGGGCAGCGAGCGTCCTGGCTGGGCCCCAGGGCATGACCCCCGATGAGTGTGAGGCGCTGAGGCCGAGTCTGGTCCTTGGCGAGGAGGCCCAGAAGGCCCAGGTGCCCGTCCTGAGCGTTATCCAGGGCCCTGCCTCAGGCCTCATGCCGGGGCCAAGCCCAGGGCTGGCTGGTGGCCACGCAGAGCTGAGAGGGGCGGGGAAGTGAGGCTGGGTTGGAGGAAAGCTGAGGGGCCCAGGCCTCCCACTCCAGCCCCCGAGGCAGACCCTGGCCCACCCAGGGACCCCCTCCCATGCACACAAGCACACACAACACATATATGGGCATGCGTGTGCACACACACTCGCTGCAGCCCGCAGCACTGGCTGGCCCAGGTGTCCTCGGGACGTGGTCCACGCGGTGCTGACACGAGCTGGCCCTGAGCGCGGGCTCTGCGGGGTGCCATTCCCAGGCCCTGCAGGGGCACATGCGGTGTCGTGGGGCAGCAACTGTGACCTCTGCCCCGCAGACCCGGACATGCCGCCAGAGAGGCCAAGGCGTACGCTCTCCGAGCCTTCCCTGACCCCATGTGCCCAAGCCTGGCCCAGCAACGCCATGTGTGCATGTGTGAGTGTGAGCTTGGCAACAGGTGGGAGAATGTGTGTGTTAGTGCATGAGTGTGAGCATGAGCGTGTGAGATGCAAGCGTGTGTGCAGTGAGTGGTGGATGAGCTGGAGGTGTGAGGTTGTGCGTGATGCGGACAGGTGTGTAGTGTGGACAGGTGTGTGGTGTGGACAGGTGTGTGGGGTGGACAGGTGTGTGGTGTGGACAGGTGTGTGGGGTGGACGGGGTGTAGTGTGGACAGGTGTCTGGTGTGGACAGGTGTGTGGTGCGGACAGGTGTGCGGTGTGGACAGGTGTGTATTGTGGGCAGGTGTGTGGGGTGGATGGGGTGTAGTGTGGACAGGTGTGCAGTGTGGACAGGTGTGCAGGGTGGACAGGTGTGCGGGGTGGACAGGTGTGCGGGGTGGACAGGTGTGTGGTATGGACAGGTGTGTGGGGTGGACAGGGATGTGGGGTGGATGGGTGTAGTGTGGACAGGTGTGTGGTGTGGACAGGTGTGTGGGGTGGACGGGGTGTAGTGTGGACAGGTGTGTGGTGTGGACAGGTGTGTGGGGTGGACGGGGTGTAGTGTGGACAGGTGTGTGGTGTGGACAGGTGTGCGGTGTGGACAGGTGTGTGGTGTGGGCAGGTGTGTGGGGTGGATGGGGTGTAGTGTGGACAGGTGTGTAGTGTGGACAGGGGTGTAGTGTGGACAGGTGTGTGGGGTGGACAGGTGTGTGGTGTGGACAGGGGAGGCAGGTTCATGACACGGGGCAGGACAGTGGCCAGGGGCTGCAAGCGTGACCTGCGGGAGGGGGTGCCTGTGTGCGGGCATGTCTGTGTGTGTCTTTATGTGTCTGTGTGTGTGTGTCTCTATGTGTGTCAGTGTGTGTCTGTGCATCCACGTGCATGTGTGTGTGCATATCCGTGTGTCTGTGTCTTTATGTGTCTGTGTGTGTATGTGTTTGCCTGTGTGTGTCTCTGTGTCTGTGCATCCATGTGGATGTGTGTCTATATGTGTGTCTCTGTGCACATATGTGTGTGTCTGTGCATGTCCGTGTGTGTCTGTGCATTTCTGTGTGTGTCTCTGTGCATGTCTGTGTGTGTCTCTGTGCATGTCTGTGCATGTCTCTGTGTGTGTGTCTCTGTGCATGTCTGTGTGTGTCTGTGCGTTTCTGTGTGTGCATGTCTGTGTGTGTCTGTGTGTATGTGTGTGTGTCTGTGCATGTCTGCGTGTCTGAGTGTCAGGGGATGGCCTGTGCGGGGCTCGCAGTGCAGGCGGGTTTGCTCACACCTCCCCCGCAGGGCTGAGCCTCCAGACTCCCAGCCCCATACAGGCCCCAGCCCAGGGGGGAGCCGGGCGGTGCTTGGGGCCTGGAGCCCTGACCCGGGGAGTCAGGGCAGGACTAGGGTGGAGGCTCTGGTGACTCAGCCTCCTCGTATGTGTGCACTGCAGTTTGTCCTCCGTGCATCCCTTGGTGGACACTTGTGGGGCTTCCTGGGAGGCGGCCCCAGACTTGGGCAGATTCTAGGACCCAGAGGGATGGGGCAGAGGCAGGGATGACAGAGACAGACACAAAGCAGAGAGACGGAGGCAGAGGGAGACATGCAGAGTCGCGGAGACATCCGGGCTCAGGCCCCGACTCTCAGGGGCCACCCCCAGGGAGGACACGCAGTGCACCCCCACACCCACACCTCACACACACACTCACACCCACATACCCCCATCCACACACACCCAGAGACACACAGACACCCACAGCCACACACTCACACTCACGAACTTATCCAGTCACGTCCCACACACTCCCACCCAACCCATACACCACACACCTACACAACCCATACACCACACACACTCACAAACTATATACCACACACACACCAACCATACACCTATATACACTCACACACCCATATACCACACACTCACACACAACCCATACACCACACGCACACAACCCATACACCTATACACACTCACACCTACAAACTATATACTACACACTCACACACAACCCATACACCTATACACACACACCCATATACCACACACAACCATACACCACACACACAAACCATATACCACACACTCACACAACCCATACACCTATACACACTCATACCCATATACCACATACAACCAATATACCACACACACACAACCCATACACCTATACACACACACCTATACACCACACACAGCCCATACACTACACAATCACACCACAAACTGTATACCACACACTCACACATAACCCATACACCTATACACACACACCCATATACCACACACACAACCTGTGCACCTACACACACACATACACCACACACACACAACTCCTACACCTACACACACCCACCACCCATACACACACAGCCTATACACCTACACACACTCATACACTCATATAGCACACACACAACCCATATACCACACACACAACCCACATACCTATACACACACGCCCATACACCACACACTCACACAACCCATGCACCACATACACCCACAAACTATATGCTACACACTCACACACAACCCATACACCTATACACAATCCCACAACCCATACACACTTACACAACCTATACACCACACACACTCACAATCTGTATACCACACACACAACCCATACAGTTATACACACACACCCATATACCACACACTCACACACAACCCATATACCACACACTCACACACAAACCATACATCTATACACATACCCATATGCCACACATACAACCCATACACCACACACTCACACACAACACATACACCACACACACAACCCATAGAACACAAACACAAGTCATAACCACACACACAGCCCATATACCTATACACATTCACACACACAACCCATACACTACACACACAACACATACACCTATACACACACTCAATTCATACACCACACACACACAGCCCATACATCTATACACAAACTCACACACAATCCATATACCACAAACTCACACACAACGCATACACCTATACACACACATGCAACTCATACAGCACACACTCACACAACCCACAGACCATAAACACACACAAGCCATAACCACACACAAACCCATACACCTATACACACACTCATAAACAAGCCATACACCCCTACACAACCCATACACCACACACTCACAACCCATACACCTATATACACACACAACCATATACCACAAACTCACGCTCAACACATACACCTATACACACACACAACTCATACACCACACACTCATACACAACGCACAGACCACATACACAAGCCATAACCACACACACACAACCCGTACACATATATACACACTAATAAGCCATACACCTACACATACAACCCATACACCACACATTCACACATAACCCATACACCTATACACACACACACACAACCCATATACCACAAACACACACAACCTATACACACATACAACCCATACACCACACACACAACACATACACACCACACACACACATAATACTCATACACACACCCATACACCACCCCCACACAGAACCCATACACCACACACACACAACCTATACACCTATACACACACTCACACACACAACTCATATACCACAAACACACACAACACATACACCTATGCACACACACAACCCATACACCACACATTCACATACAACCCATACACCACACACACACAACACATACATGAAACATACATACAACCCACACACCACCCACTCATACACAACCTATACACCACACACACAACTCATACACCTATACACACACAACACATACACCTATCATACACTCACAACACATATACCTCCTATACACACACAACACACACACTTCCTATACACACAACCCACACGCCTATACACACATCCTCACTCACACTCACCCTCACATTCATATACTCACTAACACACTTCCACACTCACACCCTCACCCACACTTACACCCCCACCCACACTCAAACCCCGACGCTAAGTCACTGTCACATTTGTACCCATGCTCACACGCTCACACACTCACCCCCCACCAGCTCCAGGGCTCACTGGTGTGTGCCCACCAAACCCCCCTCGGGGGTCCCCTCTGTAAGCCGACAGTGCTCTGCTCATCGGTGGCCTGGGGAAACAGGGCCCACCCAAGGCCTGGCTCAGGAAAGGCTCCAAACACACATGGCCCAGGAGCAAATGGGCAGAGCTCAGCCTGCAGCTGGGAGCGGCCGAGCGGGTGCTGGGCCAGAGTCGGGGCCTGTCTGTGGGTGAGGGGCACGGCAGCACGGGCCCACCTGCACCTACAAGGCCTGGCCCCCGAGGTCACTGGGCCACCACCCAGCCCTCGCCCTGTTCCCCGTCTGTGCTGGCCGGGGCAGGACTCTGAGCCTCGGGGAAACCCACAGATACACACGGGACCCCGAACATCGGGCTGGGGAGGCTGGGGTGGGTAACAACATCCCAGAGGGAGGAGCAGGAGGTCCTGGGACCCTGCGCACTGCGACCCCAGCCCTGGGGGCTGAAGCCCAGGACAGCCTCAGGTCTCCCAGGAGGGACTGGATAGTGGGGGATGGTCAGAGAACAGGACAGCCAGCAGGGTGCAGCCCGAGGACAGGGATGGATGCTGGGAGGTCAACAGGACAGGGGCAGGGGCAGGGGCTGTGGAGTGTGAGAAGGTCCTGGAGGGCCTGGAGAACCTGTGGGTCAGTGTCTGTGGGAAGGAGGCCAGGAGCAGCCCTGAGTGGCCAGGCTGGCAGGGATGAGGAGGTGGGGGCAGTGAGGTGAGGGTGACCGAGACAGGCCTCTGGCCAGGGAGGGGACCTTGGCTGGGCTCTGACTGAACCCAGGGCTCCTGGAGAAGGGGCCCCAGGCGGGGATGAGGATGTGGGCATCTGACTCCATCAACAATGGGGCTTCCAACACGCACAGCCTGGGCCTCGGAGACCTGGGCCCTGACCCGCCTCCCCCTGGCACTGGGCCGGGTGCCGTGTGTGGTCCCCAGTCCCCGCAGCACCTCCCCCACACTGGTCACGTTCCAGGGCCCCTCTGAAGCACCTGCTGTGAGGGGATGTGAGGAGGGGACAGGGACTTGGGCCTGAGCTGCCGGGTCGGGGGGGAGTCGGGGACCCAGGCTCAGCGTGTGGCTGCGGACCAGACAGATGGGGATGGAGGAGGACACGCCCTGTACCCACTGCCTGCCAAGGGGCTGGACCCATGCCCAGTCTAGGCCATGTCCCCCGAGGCCTGTGAACCTTCACTCTGAGCCACTAAAACATTCAGGAGCTTTGAAAGCAGCCCCCGTCCTTGTCACTATGCGATGACTCTGAGCATCACGCTGTCCCTGCTGGATCCACCCTCCAGCCCCAGCGAGGGAGGCTGGGCCCCGGGCAGCAGGTGGTGAGGGCAGCGGGCACAGCCACGCTACAGCACACACAGGGTCTCAGGGACGCGTCCACCACAGCCCGTGCACAGGCTCCCCACGGCACTGAGTTCACCCGGGGCGCGGGCCGTTTGTCCTCAGGAGTCCCGCTGTACCCTCCGCCCCCAGCCCTGTCCTGCTGAGGCTGCAGCTGGGTCCCGGGGCACAGGGCGGCCCTGAGCACCTTGTCATGTTGGTCCCTGTCGGGTGGGCTGCTGGCTCTCTGTGGAGCTGGCAGAGCCGCGGTTCAGCCTTGGAGGCCGGTCCTGGGGCCCAGCAGCCGTGGGGAGCACTGCCCAGTCCCGTGCCCACAGGGAATCACCTGGGCTGAGGAAGGGCCCACACGCCGACGGGATCGGGGTCAGGCAGCGCACGCCTGGCACCGAGATCCCACGTCCCGAAGTGGGGACACGGCCCAGGGGCACTGTTCCGGGAGGGTCTCAAGATGGGGTCTCCTATTTCAATCTTCACTCCTTCTGCACCTGTTAGCTGGGAACCTTCTAGAAGGAGGGGTGTCCTCAATCATGGGGTGGTTGTGAGCTGAGCACAGATCATGCAGGAAGGTACATGGCTTCTCCTTCACCAGGAAAACAGTGCAGAGAGACAGAGACACAGAGACAGAGTAACAGAGAAAGACAGAGAGACAGAGACACAGAGACAGAGACAGAGTAACAGAGAAAGACAGAGAGACAGAGACACAGAGACAGAGACAGAGTAACAGAGAAAGACAGAGAGACAGAGAGACACAGACAGAGACAGAGTAACAGAGAAAGGCAGAGAGACAGAGAGAGACAGAGACAGAGTAACAGAGAAAGACAGAGAGGCAGAGAGAGAGAGACAGAGACAGAGACAGAGTAACAGAGATAGAGAGACACAGAGACAGAGACAGAGTAACAGAGATAGAGAGACAGAGAGAGACACAGAGACAGAGTAACAGAGAAAGACAGAGACAGAGACAGGCACAGAGATAAGAAAGATACACAGAAACAGAGAGAGACAGAGACAGAGATAGTCACTGTCACATTCATACCCACGCTCACCTGCTCACACACACACACCTCACACACACTCACACTCACACTCACCTCACACACACAGTCACACACACACTCACTCACACACACTCACACACACACACTGAGCTTCCCTCAGGCCCTGTCACTTCCGATGGGGCCTACGGCCTGTCTAAGCCTCTGGGCCACCAGCCCCTGGCTCACCGGTGTGTGCCCACCACACCCCGCCTTGGGGGTCTCCTCTATGAGCTGGGCACATGCCCTCCGCTCTGTTCATGGCTGGCCTGGGGGAAACAGGGCCCACCCAAGGCCTGGCTCAGGGAAGGCCTCAAACACACATGGCCCAGGAGCAAAGGGGCAGAGCTCAGCCTGCAGCTGGGAGCGGGCAGGGGTAGTGGAGTGGGCGGAGGGCCTGGAGAACCTGCAGGGCTTCGATGTCTCTGGGAAGGGGGCCCAGGAGCAGCTCAGCGTGGCTGGGCCGGCAGGGCCGAGGAGGTGGGGGCCGTGAGGGAGGGGTGACTCGGCTGTGTGGGGTGCCGGGGGACACGGGCTTTGCTCCGGCTGAGCCCAGGCAGTGGCGAATCCCTGAGCTGCCAGGAGGAGAGCAGGGCCGGGGTCAGGCAGAGGTGGGCCGCGGGGCCAAGGGCTGCGGCCGGTCGGGAGCAGTCGGTCGGTTGAGGGCACCATTACATGGAGGGCTGTGAGACGGGAGACCCCATTCCCTTCATTCCTTGTGCACGTGTTAGTGAGGAAGCTTCTAGAAGGAGGGCATTGCTCGTAGTGGGTGAGTGTGAGCACAGATCATGCAGGCTGGCGTGCTGCCGTGAAGTGCCTCTCTTTACTTTCCAGACCTCAGCATGGCAAGCCCGTCCTGCGCCCCAGGGTCTTTCTGGAGTACACGCCGCGCGGTCCTGGTGGGCACCATACCTGGCACCCACGCTTTGGCCGGGCCCGAACCTTGCGCCCTCCCAGCCCCCATGTGGCTCTCCCTTGGCCATCCTGGCCTTTTGCCAGTCCTCCTACCTCACCCTAGGGTCTGCCTGGCCCTGCCCTCCCTTCCTAGCCCCCCAAGGAGGCTGGAGGGCACCCCTGCGTCCACCAGCAGCAGCTCCTCATGGGCGAGTCTCCTTGGGCCAGTGACACATAGTGTGCCCCGATGGTGCCACGGCAGCCTGGGCCCTCCGCCTTCCTGCTTGGCAGGCACCCCCGCTCCCTGCACCCTCACCGGGGCACCTGTGAGCCCTGAGGGCCAGTGGGGGTCTCACTGCTGCTCCCTCCCACAGCCTAGCCTCGGGCCTCAGGGCTCTGCATCCAAGCGGCCCAGGGCTCCCTGCGGTCTCAGCCCGAGTGGGCCTTTGAGCCTTCGCGTTCTCTGCAGGGTGGGACCTGCCCAAGGGCTGCTGAGGGCTTCCCAGGGGTCCTGTGGGTCCCACCTAGGGGCAAGCTGGTGAGGAAAGTGGGTCCTGCCATGGCGGCCGGGTGGGCTGAGTTTTCGGCATCTCTGGGCCCAACAGCAGGTCCCTGGAGCGGCGCCCACCCCTCCCCCAGGCAGGTGTGAGGGCTCTGATCTGTTTCTCCTTGAGTGACTCATTCTGGGCAGACTTGGCCCTCAGGGCACATGCAAATGGTTGTTTGTTCCACACCGAAAACATGTTTCTTGCCCTCTGAGGCTGTTTCCAGAAATAGCTTGCACGATTCTCCACCTGCAGCTGCAGCCGCCACCCACCCAGTGTGGCCAGGCTGGCCCAGGCCTCCAGATTCGGGGACACCCCCCGCCCCCTCCCCCAGCGTGGCCAGGCTGGCTCAGGCCTCCAGATTCAGGGACACCCCCCCCCCCAACAGCGTGGCCAGGCTGGCTCAGGCCTCCAGATTCGGGGACACCCCCCCACCACAGCGTGGCCAGGCTGGCTCAGGCCTCCAGATTCGGGGACACCCGCCCCCTCCCCCAGGACAGGCCCACTTGGGTTACTGACACTGGGACCACCCTGCAAACGTCAACTTTATTGAATTCAGTGGTTCTGAACTTGTTGCCATCTTTGGGACCAGGACCCAGGGGCAGCCCCCAGGTTGGCAGGAAGGGCAGGGGAGCCAACGCTGGCAGGGCCCCCAGCCAACCCCCACCCCAGAAGCCCCAAGGAGGCTGAGCGGAGGTGGCCCTGGTGGCCTGGGCACAGGCAGCCCGATTGGTACAAGGCCTGTCTGGTGCAGGCCCGCACCTCCCCCACCCTCATGGCCTGGTGGTCCCCACTGTACAGAGAGAACACTGAGGCTCAGCAGGGCCAGGGACATGGCCTGAGGTTACATGGTGATGGGGGCTGGGTCTCCGGGCCTGGGGGCCGTGGTGGGTGCAGCACCCGGACTGCGTGGGCTGTGGCCTCCCTGCTCCCAGCTCTGTCACACCCGTCTCCATCTGAGCCTCCAGCTCCATCTTTCCCGCTGTCCCTGTCTCTGGCCACCCTTCTGTCTCCCTGTCTCTCTGCCTCTCTGAAGGTATCTCCCTGCCCGAATCTCTGTCTCTGTCCCATTGTCGGTGTCTCTGACTCATCTCTGTCAAGCCCGTCTGCTGGGCTTTGTCCCGCCATCTTGCCTGTCTTGGCCTCTCTCTCTTTCTGTGTGTCTCCGTCTGTGCCTCCTTTCTCCATCCATCTCTCCCCCGTGTCTGTCTCTATCCCTCCGTCTCTCTTCCCGTCTATCCCTCCCTCTGTGCCTGTCCCTTTGCTGTGTCCCTTTCTTTGCCTCTGTCTCTCTGTCTGTCTCTTCGTGTCCCTGTGTGTGTCTCTCTCTGTCTCTCTGCTTCTCTTTCTGTATCTCTGTCTATATCTCAGCCTCTTTGTGTCCCTGTGTGTGTGTCTCTCTCTTCTCTGTCTTTCCATGTCTCTGTCTATATCTCTGTCTCTCTGCCTCTGTATCTCTGTCTGTCTGTTCGTGTCCCTGTGTATGTCTCTCTCTGTCTCTTTCTGTATCTCTGTCTATATCTGTCTCTCTCATCTGTCTCTTCCTGTGTGTGTCTCTCTGTCTCTCTGCCTCTGTCTCTGTCTCTCTGTCTCTTCATCTCTGTCTGTCTCTGCCTGTCTGTGTCATTTGGTGTCTCTGTTTTTGTATGTCTCTCTGTTTGTCTGTGTCTCTTCCTCTCTGTAGCTCTGCCTCTCTCTATCTCTCCTTATATCTGTCTTTCTCTCTCCCTGTTTCTTTCTCTGTCTCTTTTTGTCTTTCTGAGTCTGTCTCTGTCTCTGTCTCTTCCTCTCTGTATATACCTCTCTGTCTTTCTGTTGCTGTCTGTCTCTGTTTCTCTTCTCCTCTCTCTATCTCTCTTTGTCTGTCTTTCTCTGCCTTTCTAACTCTGTCTTTCTCTGTCTCTCTGTCTCTATCTCAGTCTCTCTTCTTATCTCTCTCTCTGTCTCTCTCACTCTCTGTATCTCTTTGTCTCTGTCTTTCTCTTATCTCTATCGCTCTGTCTCTATCTCTCTTTCTGTCTCTCTGTATCTCTATCTCTGTCTCTCTCATGTCTATCTCTCTGTCTTTCTCTGTCTCTCTGTATCTCTGTCTTTCATCTCTATCTCTATCTCTGTCTTTCTGTCTCTATCTCTGTCTCTCTATCTCTTTCTCTGTCTCTCTGTATCTCTCTGTCTCTATCTCTCTCTGTCTTTCTCTGTGTCTCTGTATCTCTGTCTCTATCTCTGTCTCTCTATCTCTCTCTGTCTCTCCCTGTCTCTCTCTATCTCTGTCTCTCCATCCCATGTGGGTCTGTGGGTTTCCCCGAGGCTCAGAGCCCTGCCCCGGTCAGCACAGACAGGGAACAGGGCGAGGGCTGGGTGGTGGCCCAGTGACCTTGGGGGCCAGGCCTGGGGGGTGCAGGTGGGCCCGTGCTGCCGTGCCCCCCACCCACAGACAGGCCCCGGCTCTGGCCCAGCACCCGCTCCGCCGCTCCCAGCTGCAGGCTGAGCTCTGCCCGTTTGCTGCTGGGCCATGTGTGTTTGGGGCCTTTCCTGAGCCAGGCCTTGGGTGGGCCCTGTTTCCCCAGACCACCCATGAGCAGAGTGTAGGGCACGTGCCCAGCTCACAGAGGGGACCTCTGAGGCGGGGTGTGGTGGGCACACAGCAGTGAGCCATGAGGCTGGTGGCCCAGAGGCTTGGACATGCCGTGGGCCCCATAGGAAGTGACAGGGCTTGAGGGAAGCTCAGTGTGAGTGTGTGAGCGTGGGTATGAATGTGACAGTGACTCTCTATCTGTCTCTTTGTATCTCTGTCTCTCTGTGTGTATCTTTCTATCTCTGTCTCTCTATATGTCTCTCTATCTCTGTCTCTCTGTATCTCTATCTCTCTGTGTGTATCTTTCTATCTCTGTCTCTCTTTCTTGATCTCTCTCTATCTCTGTCTCTGTAACTCTCTTTATCTCTTACTGCTTCTGTTTCTCTCACTCTGTCTCTGTCTCTCTTTATCTCTGTCTTGCTCTCTCTCTCTGTAACTTTATCTCTGTCTCTCTGTTTCTATCTCTGTTTTTCTCTGTCTCTGTCTGTATCTCTGTCTCTCTTTATCTGTCTCTCTGTCTCTGTGTATCTCTGTCTCTCTGTAACTTTATCTCTGTCTTTTTCTGTCTCTGTGTGTGTCTGTCTCTGTGTCTTTGTTTTTCTCTCTGTCTCTGTCAATGTCTCTTTCTGTATCTGTTTCTTTCTCTCTGTCTCTGTCTCTCTATCTCTGTCTCTATCTCTCTGTCTCTCTGTAACTCCTCATCTCTGTCTCTGTGTCTGCATGTCTCTTTCTGTGTCTCTGTTTCTCTCTCTGTCTCTGTCTCTCTGTGACTCTGTCTCTGTCTCTGTCTCTGTCTTTCTCTGTTACTCTGTCTCTCTCTCTGTCTCTCTGTGACTCTATCTGTTACTCTGTCTCTGTCTCTGTCTCTCTCTGTCTCTCTTTCTCTGTTACTCTGTCTGTGTCTCTGTGTCTCTCTCTCGTCTGTCTTTCTCTGTTACTCTGTCTCTGTCTCTGTGTCTCTGTCTCTCTGCACTGTTTTCCTGGTGAAGGAGAAGCCATGTACCTTCCTGCATGATCTGTGCTCAGCTCACAACCACCCCATGATTGAGGACACCCCTCCTTCTAGAAGGTTCCCAGCTAACAGGTGCAGAAGGAGTGAAGATTGAAATAGGAGACCCCATCTTGAGACCCTCCCGGAACAGTGCCCCTGGGCCGTGTCCCCACTTCGGGACGTGGGATCTCGGTGCCAGGCGTGCGCTGCCTGACCCCGATCCCGTCGGCGTGTGGGCCCTTCCTCAGCCCAGGTGATTCCCTGTGGGCACGGGACTGGGCAGTGCTCCCCACGGCTGCTGGGCCCCAGGACCGGCCTCCAAGGCTGAACCGCGGCTCTGCCAGCTCCACAGACAGCCAGCAGCCCACCCGACAGGGACCAACATGACAAGGTGCTCAGGGCCGCCCTGTGCCCCGGGACCCAGCTGCAGCCTCAGCAGGACAGGGCTGGGGGCGGAGGGCACAGCCGGACTCCTGAGGACAAACGGCCCGCGCCCCGGGTGAACTCAGTGCCGTGAGGAGCCTGTGCACGGGCTGTGGTGGACGCGTCCCTGAGACCCTGTGTGTGCTGTAGCGTGGCTGTGCCCGCTGCCCTCACCACCTGCTGCCCGGGGCCCAGCCTCCCTCGCTGGGGCTGGAGGGTGGATCCAGCAGGGACAGCGTGATGCTCAGAGTCATCGCATAGTGACAAGGACGGGGGCTGCTTTCAAAGCTCCTGAATGTTTTAGTGGCTCAGAGTGAAGGTTCACAGGCCTCGGGGGACATGGCCTAGACTGGGCGTGGGTCCAGCCCCTTGGCAGGCAGTGGGTACAGGGCGTGTCCTCCTCCATCCCCATCTGTCTGGTCCGCAGCCACACGCTGAGCCTGGGTCCCCGACTCCCCCCCGACCCGGCAGCTCAGGCCCAAGTCCCTGTCCCCTCCCCACATCCCCTCACAGCAGGTGCTTCAGAGGGGCCCTGGAACGTGACCAGTGTGGGGGAGGTGCTGCGGGGACTGGGGACCACACACGGCACCCGGCCCAGTGCCAGGGGGAGGCGGGTCAGGGCCCAGGTCTCCGAGGCCCAGGCTGTGCGTGTTGGAAGCCCCATTGTTGATGGAGTCAGATGCCCACATCCTCATCCCCGCCTGGGGCCCCTTCTCCAGGAGCCCTGGGTTCAGTCAGAGCCCAGCCAAGGTCCCCTCCCTGGCCAGAGGCCTCACTGTCTCGGTCACCCTCACCTCACTGCCCCCACCTCCTCACCCCTGCCAGCCTGGCCACTCTGGGCTGCTCCTGGCCTCCTTCCCACAAACACGGACCCACAGGTTCTCCAGGCCCTCCAGGACCTTTGCCCACTCCACAGCTCCTGCCCCTGTCCTGTTGACCTCCCAGCGTCCATCCCTGTCCTCGGGCTGCACCCTGCTGGCTGTCCTGTTCTCTGACCATCCCCCACTGTCCAGTCCCTCCTGGGAGACCTGAGGCTGTCCTGGGCTTCAGCCCCCAGGGCTGGGGTCGCAGTGCGCAGGGTCCTGGGACCTCCTGCTCCCGCCTCTCCCATGTTGTTACCCACCCCAGCCCGATGTTCCAGGTCCTGTGTGGATCTGCAGGTTTCCTGGAGGCTCAGAGGCCTGCCCCGTCCAGCACAGACGGGGAACAGGGCGAGGGCTGGGTGGTGGCCCAGTGACCTCGGGGGCCAGGCCTTGTAGGTGCAGGTGGGCCCGTGCTGCCGTGCCCCCCACCCACAGACAGGCCCCGACTCTGGCCCAGCACCCGCTCAGCCGCTCCCAGCTGCAGGCTGAGGTCTCCCCATTTGCTCCTGGGCCATGTGTGTTTGGGTGTGAGTGTGGGTATGGATGTGACAGTGACTTAGTGTGTGGCTGTGAGCATGGGTATGTTTCTGTGTGTTTGTGTGTGAATGTTGTATAATAGTCGTGGTGTGTGTTTGTGAGTATGACTGTGTGAGAGGGGCTTGCACCTGAGTTCCTGGGCCCATCTTGCTGCCTCTTTCTCTCCCTGTGTGTTCTCTGCCTCTGTTGTGTTCTCTCTGCATGTCTGTCTCCATGTCTCTTTTTCCCTGTTCCCATCTCCTCCCTTTTTCTCCCATCTCTGTCTCTGTTTCTTATCTATCTCATCTCATCTCTCTCTTTCTGTCTCTTGTGTCTCTGTCCCTCCCCGTCCCTGTCTCTTATCTCTCTCCATCCCCATCTCTCTCTCTGTGTCTGTCTTTGTCCCTGTCTCTATGTCTCTTGTCTCTCCCCATCCCTGTCTCTCTCTATGTCTCTGTGTCTCTTATCTCTCCCCATCCCTGTCTCTCTATGTCTCTGTGTCTCTTATCTCTCCTTGTCCTTGTCTTTCTCTGTCTACGTCTCTGTGTCTCTCTCCATCCCTGTCTCTCTCTATGTCTCTGTGTCTCTTATCTCTCCCCATCCCTGTCTCTCTATGTCTCTGTGTCTCTTATCTCTCCTTGTCCTTGTCTTTCTCTGTCTATGTCTCTGTGTCTCTCCCCATCCCTGTCTCTCTCTCTCTGTGTCTCTTATCTCTCCCCATCCCTGTCTCTCTCTATGTCTCTTCATCTCTTATCTCTCTCCCCATCCCTGTCTCTCTATGTCTCTATGTCTCTTATCTCTCCTTGTCCTTGTCTTTCTCTGTCTATGTCTCTTGTCTCTCCCCATCCCTGTCTCTCTCTCTCTATGTCTCTGTGTCTCTTATCTCTCCCCATCCCTGTCTCTCTCTATGTCTCTTCATCTCTTATCTCTCTCCCCATCCCTGTCTCTATGTCTCTGTGTCTCTTATCTCTCCCCATCCTTGTCTCTGTCTATGTCTCTGTGTCTCTTGTCTCTCCCTGTCCCTGTCTCTCTCTATGTCTCTGTGTCTCTCTGGGCCCCTGGTCCAATGTCCCCTTCCCAGAACCCCTGTTTCCCTGGTGTGGGGTGCAGGTCCTTCTGTGGTCCTGTGGGCCGTGCTTGTGCTGGGCACAGCCTGCCAGGGCAGCCGCTCAAGCCCCAGGGCTGGGCACTGCGTCCTGGCTCTGGCCAAGGGCCCTGGGGAGAGCTGAGGGAGGTGCGTGCAGGGTGTGAGGCCCACCACAGTCACTGCCAGATGCTCAGTGCTGGTGCTTCCCTGGGTCTGCTGTGTGGTGGGCACAGCCCTCGTGAGGGCTGCCCATGGAGGAGGCCTGCCGCCTAGAGAGCCCGGACAGGGGGACAATGGCCTGTGCTGACCCTGGCGGAACCCTGGCTGACCCCAGATGACCCCAGATGGCCCTGGCTGACCCTGGCGGAACCCAGATGACCCTGGCTGACCCTGGCTGGCCCTGGCTGACCCCAGATGACCCTGGCTGACCCTGGCTGATCCTGGCTGACCCTGGCTGACCTCTGCCTAACCCTGGACCTGGAAAGCCCTAGCTGACCCCGGGCTGGTTGGGGCTGGGCCTCCCTGTGGCTGCAGCCCCTCGCTCAGGCCCCAGGCACACCTGGCCAGGTCTCGGTTTTGGGGCATGTTTCTCAGAACAGCAGTTCTCTGGCTGGAACACCTGGCCTGGGCTGTGTTCACAATGACTCAGCCGCCCCACAGGGCTATTTTGGATATTTCTGCAGGTGATGGGGTACAAGAGGCTTCAGGAGAGAGAGAAAAGCAAGAGAATACAAACAGCATGGCCTCCCCCGACCTTCCTGTCCCCACTCCTGTACTGTACCCCCTCCCCAGTGCTAAGTCGAGACCTGGCGACCCCTTAGGGGCTGGGGCTGGGTGTAGCTCACAGGGCCTGGGCTGGTCCTCTCCCCACCAAGTCCTCCTGGGGCCTACACACCCCTCTGAGCCTGGAAAAATGGAGCAAGTCATTGGGGTCATTTCTTCATCTACCAGTGAGTACATGCACTGAGAGGGTCTCGGCTCCCCTGGAGGCCTCCCTCCACCACTGCAGGTCACTTACTCATGAGGGCCAAGGCTCAGAAATCAGACAGGACTCAGTGTCTAGTCAGACTGATACATGCTCAGAAAAGGAATCAGATTTCAAAATGAATATGTATAAGAAAAGAACCGGGGATCAGTGATCAGGAACAGGGATCCATGATCTGGTCCAGGGCTCAGCGGTCAGGAACAGGGCCCAGCGATCAGGACCAGGGCTCAGTAATCAGGACCAGGGCCCAGTGATCAGGACCAGGGCCCAGCGATTGGGTCCAGGGCTCAGTGATCAGGAACAGGGCTCAGTGATCAGGACCAGGGCCCAGTGATCAGGAACAGGGGCCAGTGACTGGGTCCAGGGCTCAGTAATCAGGACCAGGGCTCAGTGATCAGGACCAGGGCTCAGTGATCAGGAACAGGGGTTAGTGATCAGGAACAGGGCTCAGTGATCAGGACCAGCATTCAGTGATCAGGACCAGGGCTCAGTGATCAGGAACAGGGCTGAGTGACCAGGACCAGGGCTGAGTGATCAGGTCCAGGGCTGAGTGATGAGGACCAGGGCTGAGTGAGGAGGTCCAGGGCTGAGTGATGAGGTCCAGGGCTGAGTGACGAGGTCCAGGGCTGAGTGACGAGGACCAGGGCTGAGTGACGAGGTCCAGGGCTGAGTGACGAGGACCAGGGCTGAGTGACCAGGACCAGGGCTGAGTGATGAGGTCCAGGGCTGAGTGACAAGGACCAGGGCTGAGTGACGAGGTCCAGGGCAAAAAACAGGAGTAGGACTCAGTGATCAGGACTAAGGCTCAGTGATCAAGGCTAGAATTAAGTGATCAGGAACAGGGACCAAGTAGTAGGACCAGAGCTCAGTGATCGGTAAACGGGCCCACTGGTCAGGACCAGGGCCCTGTGATCAGGATGAGGACCCAGTGAGGAGGACCAGGGCTGTCTAGGTTATGAGGAATAGGGATCCCATGTAGTTCTTAGGAGCAGGCTTCTTTGCCATGGTCTCTGGTGAATCCAGCATTCATCCTTGGGCCTCAGCCTCATTCAAGATCAGGTCATTTCTTGATTTTGGGACCAGGGGTACCCTCTGTCCATGCCCACCATGACCACCATGACACCCAGGGGGACTTTGAAGCAGGCGTTCTCCAGTCTAAAGCCACCACCCTTTCCCTGACCCCCGTCTCCTCATTCAGAGTCTGTGAACATTTTCCTTGGGGCCACTTTATTGCACCTGGAAGCCACGTGAGTAAGGGCGGGTCGGTGATGTCTGAAAGGGCTGAGTTCTGGCAAGCATAGCTGGCTTCTCCAAGAGGTTCCTCCACACTTCCTCCCTGCAAAGACAGAGGGGTCACAGCCTGAAGGAGCAGCATCCTTGCCAACGCCCTCTGTCTCAGCCCTGGCCTGGCTCATGGGAGCCTGGACGGAATCCTCGTTACTGCACTGGAGGGAAGCTCAGCCCTGACCCTGGGCCTGCGCGTGTCCTCAGTGTCTGTGAAGGGCCCCCAGGAGAGCACGTCCCCCCACAGTGGGAGCAGGTGGTGCTCTCCTCTTAGCCAATCACTGCAGCCCACCCCATCTACTGTGGGCTCATCCCCCTCCTGGGCTCCCACCTGTGCCTTGCCGGCTCCCGCTCAGTACTGGGGGCCCTCCCTCTTGCCAGATGGGCCCCGGACGCTGGTCACGGTCAGTGCTGTGCTATAGAACAGGCTCAGCAGGAAGAGGGTGAGGAAGGTGATGGTGGTGGGCCACAGGTTGGCGCCGGGGGTCTCCTCCTCCAGGGTCTCCTGCGGCAAGTCCAGCACCACATAGGGAGGCGGCATCTGCCAATCTGCAACACAGCAAGAGCCTGCCAGGCCCAGACTCCCAGACTCGTGTGAACAGCGGCTATGCTTCCTTGGGGTCTGGGGACAGTGGGGTCTGGGTCCCCATCTAAGGCCTGAGACTCCCCCAGGGAGGATGAGGAGGCAGGGTCCCAGGTGAGGGGCTGGGACCTTCTGTCTTTGACATTCTTAGGGCACTTCAGGGAGAGACTTGGCAGGGCAGAAAGTGGACACCATCTGCTTCTCCAAGGGAAGCTTGAGCCCGAGGTACCCTCCCGCCCCTCCCACCCCACCCCGTCTCAGTCCCAGCCACGTATTCAGTGACTGGGTCCCGGGGCCAGAGAGGACCAGACACACCCACCCTCAAGGAGATCTGGGTCCAAGACAGAGACCTGGGTCTGACACTCAGTGTGCCAAAGGTTGAATGGGCAAGACCAGAGGCCTCTGTTGCCTTCCCAGGGAATGTGGCTGAGGGGTTACAAGCGAGGGCCAGGTGAGGGCCACCAGCACGGGCATCCTCATTTTCCTCAGGGTCTCAGGGCATAGACCTCCCATGTACAGCTGTACCTGCTTGTCATATGCTGATACATCCAGTCATTCACCTGTCTTTCTATCCTTCCGTCCATCTATCCATCCATCCATCTATAAAGCTATTATCCGTATATCCACCCCTCCATCAGTAACACTCCTACCCACTCACCCATCCATTCATCGTCCATTCATCTATTAATGTAAGGCTATCACTTAAATATCCACCCATATATCTATAAAGCTATTTTCCATCCATTCATCCTTCTTCCATCTATCCATCCATCCATCCATCCATCCATCTATAAAGCTATTTTCCATCTCTTCATTCATCCATTCATAAAGCAATTCTCCATCCAATTATCTTCCATACACCTAGCCTCCATAGATCTACCCACCCACCCACCCATCTATCCTCAATCCTCCCTCCATCCACCCATCCTCCATTCACCCCTCCATCTATCTTCCATCCTCCATCCACCCTTCCATCCTCCATCCGCCTACCCACCCATCCATCATCCATCCATCCATCATCCATCCATCAGTCCATCCATCTTCCATCCTTCATCCACTCATCCATCCTCCATCCACCCATCCTTCATCCATCCATCCATCACATATCCATCCGTCCATCCTCCATCCAGCCATTTACCCACCCATCCATTTTACCACCCATCCATCCTTCATCTACCCACCCTCCATCCACCCATCCATTCATTATATGTCCTAGGATCTACCCATGTGTCTGCCTGATCTCTGTCTGCTGGTTCAGCCCCTCATCTGTTGATTCTCTCTCTTTCCCCCTCTCTTTAAAAGCCCCTCCCCAGGCCAGGTCCTGGGTCCCATGGGCTGGAGGGCTTCTCTGTGGCAGGGCTTCCCCAAGTGACCTGTTGCTCTCAATTACCCTCTGGTGACTGGACCCTCAGGGGTGACAGTGGCCTCCACCTCACCTTGGCCCTGAGAGCAGAGGGAGGCAGCCAGAAGGCGGGGGCCCCTGGGGAGGCCCGGAAGATGTCTAAGGCACGAGCAGGGGCCTCACTGCCCCCTTGTGGGAGTCTGGGTGCCAGGTGTCCCCACAGTGGTTGTGGGACTGTTCTTTCACTCCTGGGAGCCCCAGGCAGAAGCCAGAGGCATGCAGAGGGCCCTGGGCAGGCCCTGTCTCACTGGCCTGCTTCTGATGCCACCCCACGCGGCCCCTCCCTGTCTATGCTTTGGGTCCTAGTTGGGCTTAGGAAGGGATGGGAGACTTGGCCAGGCAGGGAGCAGGGGCTGCCTGGGAGGGGTCTGTGGAGTTGGTCCCTGAGCTGTGCACAGTGGAAACACAGGGAAGCCAGAGGGGCCTGGGGGAGCAGGCTGAGCTTGGGGGCTTGGGAGGGGACTCCCCTGGCTTTTCTGGAACTGGGTCTGGGCTGTGAACGTTCCACTCCTGCAGGGCTCAGGCGTATATGTGAGTGTGAGTGTGCATGTGTGCCCACGTGCCCCGTACAGAGCAGTGTGGTTAAGGGGAGGTGCCCCTTCCTGCATGCGTCAGTGGGACGTCCTGAGGCCCACCCACTAGGGTGGTGGGGCCCTCCTGGAGCTTGTCCTCCCAGTGGGGCCCTGGAGTCCAGCCCCTCACTCCCTCGCCACTCCTGCCACTACCTGCGCCTTTCTTGGCTAGCCTGCTCCTTTTACCCTCCCTATTCCCTCCCAGCTACAGCCAGAGGCGGCTCTCTCAGGGACAAACGGCCATGCCACTGCTCACTCAGAACTGTCCGGGGCATGTGCGTCTCTCAGAACCCATCCTGGGCTGTGCCTGCCTTGGCAGACCTAAGATCTCACACCAGCGAGGCCTCCTGCACCACACACTCTCACACTCACAACTCACACTCACACCAGGGTGGAAAGTCTCATGGGGGTGCCAGGGGCCCCCCGAGGCTCAGGGCAGGGGGTATTCTTCCCTGTCCATGCCCTGGCCCTTTCCCAAGTGCTGAGACCCTGAGGATGGACAGACAGGCGCCGGATGGAAGCGTGGGGCTGCTTGGGGGAGCATGGAGTTTATTCAGGGGTGGGGACAGGCGGGCGGCTCAGTAGCAGGTGCCATCCGCCTCCGCCATGACAACAGACACATTGATGTGGGTGGGTTTACCCGCCATGCGGTCGATGGTCTTCTGTGTGAAGGCCAGCGGCAGGGCCTCGTGGCCCACCATGCAGGAGAAGGTCTCCCCCTTCTTCCAGTCCTCAGCTGCCACGCGCAGTATGCTGGTTACAGCGTAGGTGGTGGTGCCCTGGCTGGGCTCCTGCCGGGATGCCCAAGTCAGGTACTTCTCGCGGGGCAGCTCCTGTGACCCCTGCAGCCAGCGAACCAGCACATCCTTGGGGCTGAAGCCACGTGCCAGGCACGTCAGCGTCACCAGCTCGTTCAGGGCCAGCTCCTCCGACGGCGGCGGCAGCAGGTGGACCTCGGGCCGGAATGTGTTTCCTGGAGGGTAGAGAGCCAGGTCAGGGGGCTGGGCAGGGGATGAGAGAGCCCCTCTGCTCTGGTGGGCACCCTGGGCTGTGTCCTGGCCCCTCAGCCTGCCTCAGTTTCCCTCTGTACTTGGCATGAGCACTGGAGCCCAGGATTGGGAGGGAGGAGGCAGGCCGGGAATATGCTTTGCAAACCAGAGCACTGAGCAGGGCCCCGAGCAGGGTCTGGACCCACCGGATTTTGTGATGTTGGCGGTTAGTGGGGTCTTCAACTCGGGGTGGGCAGCAGTGCAGGTGAAGGTCTCCCCATGGTTCCATGGCTGGGCACAGCCAGGCAGGACACTGGACACGCTGTAGCAGCCACAGAGGTCACGCTCAGGTGGTCCTTGAACAGCGCTCTTCCCACTTGAGGGCGTCCAGGTGAAGGTGGCACCAGAGGCATCTCTCAGGCCGGTCAGTGTGCACGTGAGGTTCGCTTCTGAACCTAAGAGCAGGTCCTCGAGGGCCGGTCGGTGCAGCGACAGTCGGGGGTGGCAGCATGGGGGAGGTGGGGGAACTGGAGTGGAGAGATGGCCTGAGCTGGTCAGAACGCCCTTCCCCGTGCCCCCGCCTCGCCCCTCCTGGCCTGTCCACCACCACCTCCTGGGGCTCGGCCCGCGGTCCACTCTGGTGTGAGTGAAGGGGCGGCTCCCTGTGGGGAACACGGGTGCAGGCGCAGTGTCAGGGCAGGACGGGGTGGCCCCGCCCCACTCCCCAGCCTGCCCTCTGACCTCGGCAGGGCACAGTCACATCCTGGCTGGAATTCGTGTAGTGCTTCACGTGGCATGTCACGGACTTGCCGTCTGGGCACTGTGTGGCCGGCAGGGTCAGCTGGCTGCTCGTGGTGTACAGGTCCCCGGAGGCATCCTGGCTAGGTGGGAAGTTTCTGGCGGTCACGTTCTGTCCGCTTTCGCTCCAGGTCACACTGAGTGGCTCCTGGGGGAAGAAGCCCTGGACCAGGCATGCGACGACCACGTTCCCATCTTGGGGGGTGCTGTCGAGGCTCAGCGGGAAGACCTTGGGGCTGGTCGGGGATGCTGGAACACAGAATGCGCTGTGAGGACGCGGCCCTCATGCCATGTCCCCAGGAGGACAGGCTGTACCTGCCTCTCCTCTACACTGGAGGAACCCAGCACAGAGAGGCCTGGTGACAGCCCCAAGGTTACACAGCTCCTGCACCATGGGCCTGCGGTTGGACCCAGCTGTCTCATCCCAGCGACACAGTTTCTGAACATGCTCCTTAGATAGGGCCTCTGACCCAGGCCATCCCAGACACAAGTTATATTAAACAGGGCTCTGCCATGGAGTGGCTGAGTCCCCTGAGCTCCCTGACCCCAGTTCCTGCTCTGGGTGGGGGACATGTCTTGCTCTTTCCCCTGCCCCTAGAGAGGATTTTGGTGGGGGCTCTGAGGAGGGGGCCTGGGCTCTGAGTGCTGTGTGCATGGGGTAGGGGTGGAGTGGCTTGGCTGTGACCCCATCCCCCTGTCCCTGGTCAGAGTCTCAGTCCAACACCCACCACTCCATGAGCCCCACCCCAGGCCCAAACAAGCCACAGTGGACCCCTGTGGCCTATGAGGTCTCGGGACTAGAGGCCAACAGGCTAAGCCATGTCCCTGCCAGGCCCTCCAGGACAGGGCCTGTTACCCAGGGGAGCTCTGGGCCCAGCCCACTCCAAATTTCCTTCAGGCAGTGGGCAAGAGAGAAGACAGAATCATGGTGCAACAGAGCTGCGTGGCCCTCAGAACCCCTAAGAACACAGCTGGGCTCAGGGCTCTGCAGGTGGAGTCACACTCAACCCACGGCCTCCTTCCCACATTAGCAGCCACCTCAGCTCATCCAGCCCAGCCCAGCCCAGGCCAGTCCAGCTCAGTCCAGCTCAGTCCAGCCCAGCCCAGCTCAGCCCAGCTCAGCCCAGCCCACCCCAGGGCAGCTCAGTACAGCTCATCCCAGCCCAGCCCAGCCCAGCTCAGCTCAGCTCAGCCCAGCCCAGCCCAGCTCAGTCCACCTAAGCTCACCCAGCTCAGCCCAGTCTAGCTCAGCTCAGTCCAGCTCAGCCCAGTCTAGCCCAGCCCAGTACAGGTCAGCCCAGCTCAGCTTAGCCCAGGTCAGTCCAGCTCAGTACAGCTCAGCTCAGCCCAGCCCAGTCCAACCCAGCCCAGCCCAGTCCAACCCAGCCCAGCTCAGCTCAGCCCAGCCCAGCTCAGCTCAGCTCAGCCCAGCCCAGTCCAACCCAGCCCAGCCCAGCTCAGCCCAGGTCAACGCAACCCAGCTCAGCTCAGCATAGCTCAGTCCAGCTCAGCCCAGCCCAGCTCAGCCCAGCTCAGCTCAGCCCAGCCCAGCTCAGCCCAGCTCAGCTCAGCCCAGACCAGCTCAGTCCACCTAAGCTCACCCAGTTCAGCCCAGTCCAGCTCAGATCAGGTCAGCCCAGCCCAGCCCAGCCTAGCCCAGCTCAGCTCAGCCCAGCCCGGCCCAGTCCAGCTCAGCTCAGCTCAGCTCAGCTCAGCCTAGCCCAGTCCAGTTTAGCCCAGCTCAGCCCAGCCCAGCTCAGCCCAGCCCAGCCTAGCCCAGCCTAGCTCACCCCAGCCTAGTCCAGCTCAGCCCAGCTCAGCTCAGCCCAGCTCAGCACAGCCCAGCTCAGCCCAGCTCAGCCCAGCTCAGCCCAGTCTAGCTCAGCCCAGCTCAGCCCGGCCCAGCCGAGCTCAGCCCAGCCCAGCCCAGTCCAGCTCAGCCCAGTCTAGCTCAGCCCAGCTCAGCCCGGCCCAGCCGAGCTCAGCCCAGCCCAGCCCAGTCCAGCCCAGCCCAATCTAGCCCAGCCCAGCTCAGCCCAGCCCAGCCCAGCCCAGCCCAGTCCAGCCCAGCACAGTCCAGCCCAGCACAGTCCAGCCCAGCCCAGTCTAGCCCAGTCTAGCCCAGTCCAGCTCAGCCCAGCCCAGGCCAGCCCAGCCCAGGCCAGCCCAGGCCAGCCCAGCCCAGCCCAGCCCAGCTCAGTCCAGCTCAGCTCAGCCCAGCTCAGCCTAGCCCAGTCCAGCCCAGCCCAATCTAGCCCAGCCCAGCCCAGCCTAGCCCAGCCCAGCCCAGCCCAGCCCAGCCCAGCCCAGCCCAGCCTAGCCCAGCCCAGCCCGGCTCAGTCCAGCTCAGCTCAGCCCAGCTCAGCCCAGCCCAGCCCAGCCCAGCTCAGCCCAGCCCAGCCTAGCCCAGCCCAGCCCAGCCCAGCCCAGCCCAGCCCAGCCCAGCTCAGTCCAGCTCAGCTCAGCCCAGCTCAGCCTAGCCCAGTCCAGCCCAGCCCAATCTAGCCCAGCCCAGCCCAGCCCAGCCCAGCCTAGCCCAGCCCAGCCCAGCTCAGTCCAGCTCAGCTCAGCCCAGCTCAGCCCAGCCCAGCCCAGCCTAGCCCAGCCCAGCCCAGCCCAGCCCAGCCCAGCCTAGCCCAGCCCAGCCCAGCCCAGCCCAGCCCAGCTCAGCCCAGCCCAGCCCAGCTCAGTCCAGCTCAGCTCAGCCCAGCTCAGCCTAGCCCAGTCCAGCCCAGCCCAATCTAGCCCAGCCCAGCCCAGCCCAGCCCAGCCCAGCCCAGCCCAGCTCAGTCCAGCTCAGCTCAGCCCAGCTCAGCCTAGCCCAGTCCAGCCCAGCCCAATCTAGCCCAGCCCAGTCCAGCCCAGCCCAGCCTAGCCCAGCCCAGCCCAGCCCAGCCCAGCCCAGCCCAGCCTAGCCCAGCCCAGCCCAGCTCAGTCCAGCTCAGCTCAGCCCAGCTCAGCCCAGCCCAGCCCAGCCCAGTCCACCTCAGCCCCAGCTCCAGCTCAGCTCAGCCCAGCCCAGCTCAGCCCAGCCTAGCCCAGCCCAGCTCAGCCCAGCTCAGCTCAGTTCAGCTCAGCCCAGTCCAGTGTAGCCTAGCTCAGCCCAGTGTAGCCTAGCTCAGCCCAGCCCAGGCCAGGGCAGCTCAGGGCAGCCCACATGGACGTGTATCAGTTGGCTCCAGGTCATCTTCTCCTCTGCCCTCTGGCTCGGCTCAGCCTAGGCCTCGGCTCAACTTAGGCCTCAGCTCAGCCATGAAAGCTGTTCACCTTGTATCCCAGGAAGGGCCGGGTCATCCCAGCTTAGGCCTGGCCAGCCTGGCTCAGCCCCCAGTGCCCAGATCCTTCCTGCCTGGTTAGGAAGCCCTGCCCTGTGGTTCCGGAGTCCCTGTGGTGACCTCTTTTGTCCTTCCCTCTTGTCTTGGTGCCTGTTCTCCACCTTTTGCTTCCAGAAGGGGCCAGGACCAGCCTGGCTGGACTCCTCAATGTGCAGAGAAGGAGACGGAGGCCTGGAGACCTCCAAGACCCACCTGGTCAGGCTGCTGGAGGGCCCGCAGTGCTGAGTGGGCGGCCTCCGGCGTGCAGGCCCTCATGGCAGGTCCACCCTCACGGGCGTCTGGCTGCCTGCCAAGAGGGCTGCTGTGGGGAGGGAGCCCTGGCCCGGCCCAGGTCCTGCCTTGATGGCCGTCTGTCCTTAGCAGAGCCCTGCTCCGCCGCGCTGGCTGTGTCCACAGATGTGGCTGGATGCTGAGGGGCTGGAGGGGAGGGCCTGCATGCCCGTACGTCTGGCCTACAGACGGGGTCACTCGCCCACTTCCTGCCCCAGCAGACACGGCTGCGCGGCTCCACGTCATGTCTGGCCTGTGGTCTGGCTGTGGTGGGGCCAGGTGTGTGTGGCCAGGGCTCTGTGACCCCACCGGCCGTGGAGCCTCACGGCTCCACATGGCTCCACAGGGCGGGGTGGGGGCCACGCTGCAGGGAAACAGGAACAGACACAGTTAGAGGCTCAGAGACCCCGAGACAGAGATGGCAAAGGGGAGACACAGGGCCAGAGAGGGTCCCCGACCACCCGCAGGGGAAGGGCGCCTGTGAGTGGACTCCCGTTGAAGGGGCCTTGGGGCCACAGGGCGGGCATCAGGCTGGGGAGAGTGAGTCTTGCGCTGCTGGGTTGGAGCCACTCGGGCCTGGCCTCCCTCGGCCTGCCCCATGGGCCACTGGGGGCCCCAGACTGCAGCCCAGGGTGGGGGCATGGGGGCACCCCGTCTCCTAGCCTGCAGCCCTGCGGGTCAGGGCGGCCAAGGTGCCTGCTCTACCCTGTCCAGCACTGCCCAGGTGGCACTCCTACTGTGGGTCACCAGAGAGCTGGCCGTTGCGTTGGAGAGATCCCGCCAGCGATGCTGGCCCTGGAGTCGGGGGAGGCCAGCTATGTCTGGGGGCTCGGGTGGCACCGGCAATGGGAGGCCAGGGGCGCTTCACAGAGGAGCTGCTGCAGCGGAGTCCTGGAAAGCGTGGGCGTGAATGGAAGATGCCCTGGCCATGGGGCCGGGCCACCCCGGCGGAGGCTGTCGGGTGAAATCCAGGGAGTGACAGTGAGGCCGGATCAGGGCAGGTGGGGCCAGAGGAGGAGGGAGGTAGCCTGGGGCTGCCCCAGGGTCCTGGGAAGACACACCTGGCGGTTCAGGGAAGCTCTGGAGCTTTTGTTATGAACCTTGGGATGCCCCCGGCCCTCGCCAGGGGGACGTGGCTGCTGCGTCTTAGTCATTTCTGGCTGCAATAACAAAAATACCATAGACTGGTGGGTTCAGCAGCAACATTCATTTCTCAGGGAAGCTGGAAGTTCAAGGTCAGGATGGCAGCAGGGTCAAGTTCCAGGAAGGGCCGATTCCTGGTTCACAGACCCCCATCTTTTCGCTGCGTCCTCACATGGTGGAAAGAGGGCAGGGCTGCTCTCTGGGGTCCCTTTTCTTTTGGGTCTCTAGTGAGATCAGGGACCGAGTCACATTTTTGAGTGTTCCCCCTCAGGCCCTAACCACCTCCCTGAGGCCCCAGCTCTGCATGCTCTCACTCTGGGATGACGGCTGTCACACAGGAGTTTCGGGCAGACACAGACCCTCAGACCATAGCACCACCCCTGTCTGCCTCTGCCTCTCCCCATCCCTGTGTCTCCTCGTCTGTCTCCAGCTAGGACACTTGTCCTCGGACCTAGCCCCCTCGATAATCCAGGGTGTCCTTCACCTCGAAATCCTTGACAATCCAGGGCGCCCTCACCTCGAAATCCTTGACAATCCAGGGCGCCCTCACCTCGAAATCCTTGACAATCCAGGGCGCCCTCACCTCGAAATCCTTGACAATCCAGGGTGCCCTCACCTCGAAATCCTTGACAATCCAGGGTGCCCTCACCTCGAAATCCTTGACAATCCAGGGTTCCCTCACCTCGAAATCCTTGACAATCCAGGGCGCCCTCACCTCGAAATCCTTGACAATCCAGGGTGCCCTCACCTCGAAATCCTTGACAATCCAGGGTTCCTTCACCTCGAAATCCTTGACAATCCAGGGTTCCTTCACCTCGAAATCCTTGACAATCCAGGGTTCCTTCACCTCGAAATCCTTGACAATCCAGGGCGCCCTCACCTCGAAATCCTTGACAATCCAGGGCGCCCTCACCTCGAAATCCTTGACAATCCAGGGCGCCCTCACCTCGAAATCCTTGACAATCCAGGGTTCCCTCACCTCGAAATCCTTGACAATCCAGGGCGCCCTCACCTCGAAATCCTTGACAATCCAGGATTCCTTCACCTCGAAATCCTTGACAATCCAGGGTGCCCTGACCTCGAAATCCTTGACAATCCAGGGTTCCTTCACCTCGAAATCCTTGACAATCCAGGGCGCCCTCACCTCGAAATCCTTGACAATCCAGGGCGCCCTCACCTCGAAATCCTTGACAATCCAGGGTTCCCTCACCTCGAAATCCTTGACAATCCAGGGCGCCCTCACCTCGAAATCCTTGACAATCCAGGGTTCCTTCACCTCAAAATCCTTGACAATCCAGGGCTCCCTCACCTCGAAATCCTTGACAATCCAGGGCTCCCTCACCTCGAAATCCTTGACAATCCAGGGCGCCCTCACCTCGAAATCCTTGACAATCCAGGGTGCCCTCACCTCGAAATCCTTGACAATCCAGGGTTCCTTCACCTCGAAATCCTTGACAATCCAGGGTGCCCTCACCTAGAAATCCTTGACAATCCAGGGTTCCTTCACCTCGAAATCCTTGACAATCCAGGGCGCCCTCACCTCGAAATCCTTGACAATCCAGGGTTCCTTCACCTCGAAATCCTTGACAATCCAGGGTGCCCTCACCTCGAAATCCTTGACAATCCAGGGTTCCTTCACCTCGAAATCCTTGACAATCCAGGGTGCCCTCACCTCGAAATCCTTGACAATCCAGGGTTCCTTCACCTCGAAATCCTTGACAATCCAGGGCTCCCTCACCTCGAAATCCTTGACAATCCAGGGCGCCCTCGCCTCGAAATCCTTGACAATCCAGGGCGCCCTCACCTCGAAATCCTTGACAATCCAGGGTGCCCTCACCTCGAAATCCTTGACAATCCAGGGTGCCCTCACCTCGAAATCCTTATCTTGATGGGATCTGCAAAGGCCCTTTTGACAAATAATGCCGCACTCAATGGCCCCAGGGGCTAGGATGTGGCTCTATCTTTTGGGGGCCATGGTTGTACCCACGGGTGGGTTAATAGGGGAATGAAGAGGGGGATGGAGAGGCCCTGAGACGGCATCCTCTTGCTCCCGGGAGGCCAGGCCATGTGGAAGGCAGGGGCGCTGTTCCGAGCCTGGGTGTGAATCCGGGCCTCTGCCCCTCCCCACGGGCCCCGTCTGTCTCCTCTACGTGGGTGCTCATCTGGTCTTCCTCTCAGGCCTTTGAGGCGATGGAATTTTCTGTGCGTGAGGACGCCTGCCACACAGTGGGGCAGTGAGCTGACTCCTTGCCCTTGCTCTGGGGCCATGGAGGTCTCATGATCTAGGGTGCGGGGCAGAGAAAGTCACTGAGCTCTGTCCCCCGGGGGGGCTCCCGGTCCGGGGCACCTTGGCTGCGGAGGGCCGGTCTGTTGTAGGAGATGTGGGTTTGCGACACCCTGGGCTGGTGATGGGGTGGATGGAGGGCCTGGCTTCCTGAGACTGTGTGTGTGTTGGTATGAGCGTGCCCGAGCGTGTCAGCCTGTGTGAGTGCATGATTGGTGTGTGTGAGTGCAAATGTGTATGAGAGGTTGAGTCTGTGTGTGTGAACCTGTGTGTTTTTGCATGTGCGAGTGTGTGCCTGCGTGTGTGTCTGTGAATGAGGGAGTGTGTGAGGGGAGCTGGGCAGCGGCTGTGGCCTTGGCCCTGTCCTGCGACGCCCCCTCCTCTGGTGTTGTTTGGACCCAGTCGGCCTCAGCGCTGCCCGCTTTGGGGTTTTCTACCCCGTAGGGAGCCGTCGCTCCTCACCTTCTCCCCCGTGCCCGGCTGCTCCGAGGTCGCAGCAGAGGACAGGGCGGAGGGCCCAGGTGCCGCTGTCAGACTGAGGCAGGCTTGCTTCATTCCGCTTTGTGCCAGACTCCATGTGACGTGGCTCTCCTGGCACAGAGCGAGGCTCTCCCTGTGGGGCCATCACTGTGAGAGGACTCTCCTGCATTGGGGCATTTTGCCAACTGGCCCTAAAAAGTGGTCTTAATGATTTACGTGCCCTCAGTCAGGGCCAAGAAGCACCTCCACCCCCTTCATCCCCTCCTCCTTCCTTTCACTTTTCTCATTGTTAAAATGGTTTCTTTATATTATCGGCCACTGGGTTTTTCCTTTCCATGAAGAACCTATTGCTCACCTTTCTTCTTAGTGATCTCTGAGTGCTCTTTGTATATGAGGGAACCCTGCCCTTTGTCATGCCTATCATGCGTTCTCTCCCATTTTTAGGATGTTGTGGAGACCCTTGTAAGCAGGCCTCTCCAGCCAGGGAGGCTGCACATTTGCCCTGAGGACTGGTGTGGGTCAAGCCCACCTGTGGCCCCGATGGCTCTGGGGCCCCAGCCTGCTCCTGGGTCACCTCTCAGCTCTTCAGGAGGTCCAGGCTGGTGGGCGGCTGTGGGCTGGGGAGTCAGCTTTGTCTGTGCTCAGTGGGTGCTGGATCAGGGTGTGTGGCCAGTGGTCCTAGGGGCCCCCATCAGCCTCCACCTTGGTGACTGTGCAGCTGCATTCTTGGGGCCTCCTGTGCTGACCACAGCATGGGCCTCTTCTGGTTTTGCCCACAAAGGGGTCGATGTTGATTGTTGCTTTGACTTTACCTGAGAAGGAGGCATGAGTCTGGGCTGGAGACCAGCAGACCAGGTATGACAGGGCCGAGCTGGGGAGTCTCTGGGGTGCTGAGGGGTGATTGATGGGAACCACTGCTTGGGCACTTTGGCTCTCAGGACCCCAGAATGGCCCCTGCCCTTCCTTCCCCTCTGGCTCCTCCTGCACGTCCTCAGGGGTCCTGCCTCCCGCCAGCCACTCCAGGGCCACACACACCTCCCACAGAGCCCTCCGGAGACGTGGGGTTTGTGAAAAGGATCTTTACTAAGAAACCCAGAGAGAAAGAAGTATGACTGCTGAAGCCAGAGGCTGGACGAGGTCATAGGGACGAGGTCGGCAGCTGCTGTCCCTGCAGGAAACCCCTTCTCTGGCTGTGGGAGCCCCTCTACCCACTCCAGGGGCCCGAAGCCCTCAACTGTCCTGTGGCCTGGCCTCAGAGGGCTTCCCTGTGCCTTCAGGCTGCAGAAATGGGGGCTGCAGGTGGATGGCAGGAGGGGTGGGTGAAGGGATGGGGGCTCAGGTGGATGGCAGGAGGGGTGGGTGAAGGGATGGGGGCTGAGGATAGATGGCAGGAGGGGTGGGTGAAGGGATGGGGGCTGTGGATGGATGGCAGGAGGGGTGGGTGAAGGGATGGGGGCTGAGGATAGATGGCAGGAGGGGTGGGTGAAGGGATGGGGGCTGTGGATGGGTGGCAGGAGGGGTGGGTGAAGGGAAAGAAGGTCTGGGTGAGGCTTGGGGGACGGGGATGCCAGACACTTGGACCTCAGGGCTAGAAGGGTCAGACCGAGGCTGGGGAGTGAGGCCGTGGGCTGGTGTTGGGCTGGACGCAGACTCAGCTGTGTCCTGGGCTGGGTGCCGGGCCCTCCTTGGCTTTTGGTGATTGTACAGTCAGAATGGGAGTGACCCGGAGACCCAGGGGCCTGGGATGAGCTCAGAACGGCTAGCAGCCACCCCTCCTCGATGACTCTGTTGAAGGGACAGACACGGTTTTCGGGTGGGGGCTGCGACTGGTGGTTCTCTCGGCGCCTGTAACCTTGCGGCTGAGCCGGCCCCTCTGGGCTCAGGTTCACTGGCCATCAGCCCACAGTAGTGACCTTGTGCCCCCTTTTCTTGTCTGCTTCCCTTTTCCCACCCAGGGCAGGGCGCAGCCCGAGGGAGGCTCAGGCGCTGGCAGAGAAAAAGCTGGGCCTGGTGGAGCGTGAGTGGCCCGCGGCCTAGGCGTGGGGCTGGAGGACGTTGGTGTAGTCGAGGGAGGTCTGGGGCCTCCCCTGCCGCGTGGCTGAGAGGAACCGCTGCACCTGAGGGGAGGGCGTGGGTCAGGGCGCTCTGCTGGCTCTGCCCAACCCCCTGCCCTGGCCGGGCCCCTGGAGGTGGGTGCCCACCATGAGGAGCGTGATGGCGGCGCTGTAGCTCACGCTGAGCAGGAAGAGTGCGGCGAAGATGCAGAGGCCGGTCCACGTCCACGGCGCCTCGCCCTCGGCCTCCTCCACGCACACGTCCAGCTCTGGGGGACCTGGCCAGTCAGCCCTCCCGGCTCCACAGTGGCAGCGGGGGTGGGGGACAGAGCCTCCTGCTGCTCTCGGCAGTCCCTGCTGCTGTCCGGAGTGGCAGAGCACCCTATCCGGGGCCCTCTGGGACTGCGCGGAGCCGCCAGCCAGCCCTGAGGGTGGGCACCCAGGTCCCGAGTCAGTCAACGGCCCAGAGCCAGGCCGACCACTCCTGACCTCTCGTCCCTGCGCCCCGACTCTGGCCCCATTTTCCCTCTGTTCCTTACGGCTTCTCTCCTGACCTCTGGTTACCTCCACTCCGCCTCTCTAGACCCCACGCCCTCCCCAGAGAAGGACCCAACCCCTCGGCACAGCAGTGGCCGCCTCACTCAGGGCCCTCGGAAGGATGCGTGAGCTCTGCGGCCTGGCTCCCAAGACCTGGGACTCACTGCATGGGTGCTCTGAGGGGCTGTCCTGGTGTGGACTATGAGCCCAGGCCTGTGGGTGTCCAGAGCTGCCTCCTGGCCCTACCCCGGCCCGGCCCCGCCCACCAGCCTGGTCCCTCTGGCTCCTGCCCTGGGTGCCCTCCACTCCCTTCCCCAACACCGTGAGCTGCCTGCTGGTCCCGGGTCATCAGCAGGTGCAGGTCCCGCCTCGGGCCCTCACACCTCTTTCTGCTGCTCCAGGCCCAGAGCTGGGTGCAGGTGGGCTGGGACGTGAGAGTGAAGCTGAATGTATGGCTGTGACGGTGTGCAGGGACTGTCTTCAGACATGGAGGGGCTTTGTGCTCATGGGGTGCCCGGTGCCCGTGTTTCCGTGTGGATTTGGTGGGTGCTGTGCCCTTGGTGTGCATGACCGGGGGGAGCGTTTGGATCTGGGGTGTCAGATGCACATGTGGGTTTGAGGTCTGTGAGGGGCACGTAGCCTGCTCTGGGGTTCCGGTGTGGGTGAGTGGGGGATGGAGCCCACGCATCCATCCTGTGTTTGGCTGTGGGGTGCTGCTGCTGACAGGGTGACAGGGAGGGTTGGACTGGAGGACACCACGTGAGGGCCTCTCCATTTCTCTCTGGGATCCAGCGGCCCAGGTATGGCTCAGAGGAAGGGCTTGGCAGTAGCCTCGCTGGAGGCAGCGTGAGAGGCGGAGTGTGGGCCACGTGTGACCACGTGTGGGGTGTCTATGGCGCCCTGGTGGTGGTACAGGGTGCTGTGGAGTTGCTATGGGGCCTAGTGTGTGCACAGCTGTGCCTTGAGTGAGGCGTGAGTGGGCGAGACTGGGTGTGTGAGGCTGGCGATCCCCTGGGGGCCGATTCAGGATGGACCAAGGGGCGGTGGGGGGCAGTAGGAGAGGGGGCCTGGCTGCTGACCTGGGCCTGGTGTGCCCACAGGGCAGGGTGGCGGAGGCTGCGGGGTGTGAGTGGGCTCGGCTCCACCGGCCCCGGTGCTGGGGCCAGGACTCGGCAAGGCGGGACAGGGCAGAGAGGCGAACGCCAGTGGCACAGACTTGGGCGAGGGCTGTCGGGTCGTGTGTGTCTGTGTGGGGGTTTCACTTAGGGCTGTTTTTCCACCTGGAGGGGCCTGTGTGCCCATCTATACCTGGGGGTGCAGGGGCTCCTGTCCAGGGGGGTAGAAGCCAAGCCCCCAAGAGAGAGGGCTGTGGGGGCTCCCTTGCCCCTTCCCTGAGGACCTCCCCTGGGTCTTTGGACTCCTTGGAGGGGGTAGACCCAGAGTGGGGGCAGAGAGGGCCCGGGGTAGCTGTGATGAGTCCCTGCAGATATGCTGTTTGACAAATAACCCTGACACGAAGGCAGATGGATGAGTGGCACCTCAGCCCTGCCCACCTCCTCCCACCGCCTCTCCTGGGGGGACTCAGCCCTGCCCACCTCCTCCCACTGCCCCTCCTGGGGGGCCCATTCCTCTGTGCCAAGATGCACCTGCCCACAGCCCTGCCCGCTCCCAAGAATGGGTGTACCTGGGGCTCTGAGCAGGCACAGTTTATTGGGGGTAGCTTCCTGGGGTCATTGCAACAGTGGACAGAAGGTCTGGCCAGTCCTCCCCACTGCACAGCTGGATGGAGCCCTGGGAGGGAGGGAGGCAGGAGTACGTCATTTACCGGGATTTACAGACACCGCTCGCTGGACGGTCTGTGAGGGGCTTGCTGCCTCATGGACTGCACGGCAGATGAACTCATCTTTCTGCTCCCATTCGGCCCTGGTCACCTCCAGGCGGCTGAAGACGAAGAAGCCGGAGCCCTTGGTCTTGCGGGGCTGCGTCGTGCTGTGCCGGGCGTCCGGGAGCTGCACCTCGTTGTGCAGCCACTGCACCGAGATGTCCTCAGGCATGAAGTTCTGGATCAGGCAGGCGAGGGTGCGCTTGTCCCGGCTCCCCGGCCACTCCGGCGTCGCAAACGCATAGACTTCCGGGGCAGCACGCGGGCCTGTGGCCAGACGTGGGGTCAGCCCGGGCCCCGCTCACTCGCTCCCTCCCTTCCCCCACGACCCCGGCCTGCCCATGGCTCACCGCTGGTCTTGGTCGTGGACCGCATGAGGGCCCTGGGCAGGTGGGGGTGGGTCACCCTGCACTGGTAGGTCTCCCCCTCGATCCAGTCTCGGGTGCCCACCGGCAGGGTGGACGTGACGGTTAACGTGCCATTGCGCTGCTTCTCCTCCTTTCTGGTGGAGTGGTTCACAGGCTTCCCACTGGCCCGGGACCAGGTCAGGTTCACGGTCCCCTTGCTGGGTGCCAGGTCCACCACCAGACAGGTGATCGTGGGCGACTTGCGGATGAACAGGTCGAACGGGCTGGGCCGGCTTAGGTAGGCGCTCACCCCTCTCGGGTTGGAATCTGTGGTACACCGGAGGGCTGTGTGAGGCCCACCCGCCCCTCTTCTCTGGCCTCCGTGGCGGCCACCAGGGCAGGTGGGAACGTACCTGCACACTTCTTGGTGCTGTCCTCAAAGGTGTGACCTTGATAGGTGACCTGGCAGGTGTAGGTGCGGTCTGACAGCCAGTGCTTCTGGCTGAGGGTGAGCTCGCTTTGTGTGGAGGCCAGCTCACCCTCCTGCGTGGTAGAGGCGGTGGACAAGTCCACGTCCATGACCTGCCCGTCCTCCAGCCAGGTGATGTTGATAGTCCCTGGGGTGTACCCAGAGACGAGGCACAGGAGCTGGATGGTCGGGGGGAAGTGCCCGCCGCCGTCGCAGGACGACTGTAAGATCTTCACGGTGGGCGGGGTGAAGTCCCTGGAGCAGACTGGGGGAGAGCTGGTGGTCATGAGGGTTGTTGGCCTCTCTGAGCTCTGTGTGCCCTCCTCTTGCCCCCGCGTCCTGGCCCGGGTCCCCAGGCATGCTGGGTGTTCCCACGTTTGAGCCCACCCACCCCCTCAACCCCTGCCCACTCTGCCAGCCCTCAGCCTGGCACTCCTGGGAACTGTGGTCTCTGAGCTTGGCCCTCTCTTACCGCTGAAGGTTTTGTTGTCGACCCAGTCTGTGGACGATGGAGTGTGTGCCACACGGCAGGTGAACATCTGCTTGGCCCACGCACCCGAGACGGTCAGCAAGCTGATGGTGGCATAGTGACCAGAGAGCGTGAGGGTGGTGGCTGGTAAGGTCATAGTTGTCCCGTTGAGGGAGCCTGTGTCCCAGGTCACCATCACCGGCTCCGGGAAGTAGCCCGTGGCCAGGCAGCCCAGAGTCACGGAGGTGGCATTGGAGGGAATGTTTTTGCAGCAGCGGGTCAAGGGGAAGACGGATGGGCTCTGTGTGGAGGCTGTGAGGACAGAACCTAGTCAGTGCCAGCCTCAGGCCAGCGCCCATCAGGCCTGGGGGGCCTGGATGGGGGAGCTGGGGACCCCGTGGCAGGGATCCAGATGGCCAGGCTCATTCTGGGCCTTTTTCCCCACAATCCCCAGGCCCAGGGCGGCTCCCAGGGCCCCCATTCCCCCACCAGAAGCTGTTGCTCAGCCACTATCATCAGGCTGGGCTCAGGAAGGGGGGTGCCTCCAGGATGACCCCAGCCTCCCCCTGCAAGTGCTGCACGGTGGGCACTCAGGAGCAGAGACACTGGGCCATGCCCCTAGGCTGAAACCCAGGGACCCCATGGGGCCTGGGACCCCAGAGCCCTCCCCCTTCAAACTCTCTCTGGGCTCATGGTGGATGGTCTGCCTGCCCTCCAACCCTGACCCCAACCCCCCAAGGCTGTGGTCTCAGCTCCTCGGGCTCTTGAGTGCCAAGCCTGGATCTCCCCATCACAGCAGCCCTCACCTGACCTGCCAGACCCCCATGGTGCTCTGCCCACCCCTGACCTCTAGGGGAGGGCGGGAAGACTTGCCCTGATGCCCCAGGCAGTCAGTCCCTCCCACCACAGAACCCTGGCCCAGATAGTGCGGTCTGTACAGCGTGGCCCTTCGCCCCTGGCCTGGAGTCCCAAGTCCCCAGCCCATCCTGCCCCTGGAGCCCAGTTTAGCTTGGTCTTGAAGTCTGCTCTAGGTACCCCCAAAATCACAGTATCCAGCCCCGCTCTGCCCACCGGGACAGCCAAGTTCAGCTGAGACTGGCCTACCGGGGGAGTCGCCCTCTGAAGTTCACTCTAAGCCAGCCTGGTTCAGCCTGGCCCAGGTCAGCCCAGGACCTCCCCTTGCAGGCAGCAAACTCTTATTTCAGTCCAGCCAGCTCAACCAGCTTGCTTCTGACTCAGCTCCTCTTAGCCAGGTGAGAATGGTCAGTCCAGATCAATTTAGCCCGGTCCAGTTTAGCTCAGCAAAGCTGGACCTAAAGTAGCCACCTCACCCCAGCTTCATCCAGATGAATACAGTCCAGATCAGCTTAGTCAGTTAAGCCTAGCCTAGCTAGTTAAATCCAGTTACGACCAGCTCAACTAATCCTGCTCAGGCCTGCTCAGCCCAGCCCAGCTGAACCCAGTTTAGCCGAGGCCAGGCCAGCCCAGCTGAATACAGTTGCCCAGTCTAGCTCAGCCCAGTCCAGCACTGCCCAGTTTAGCTGAGCTCAGCCTGGCCCAGCCCAGCTCATATCAGCCCATCTCAGCTGAACCAGTTTGACCCAGTCTAACCCAACCCCGCTCAGCTGAACCCAGCCCAGCCCAGCCCAGCCCAGCCAAACCCAGTTTAGCCTAGCTCAGCTCAGCCCATTTCCACCCAACCCAGCTCAGCCCAGCTTACCCAGTCCAGCCCAGCAGCCCAGTTCAGCCCACTCAGGCTAGCCCAGTTTAGCCCAGCCCAGCTAGGTTCAGCTCTGCTCAGTTCAGCCCAGCGTAGATCAGCTTATCCCAGCAGAACTCAGTTTAAATCACCCCAACCCAATTCGGTTCAATAATCCAAGCCCAGCTCAGTCCAGCTTCTTATAACCCTGTCCATCTCAGGTCACTCACCCAGCCTAGTCCTCCCCAGCTCAACCCAGTTTAGCCCAAACCAGCTTAGTCAGCCCAACTAGCTAAGCTTGGCTCAGGTCTGTCCAGCTCAGCCCAGGTCTTCCAATCACAGCTCAGGCCCGGCCAGGCCAGCTCAGCCCAGCTCCATCCACCTCAGTCCAGTTGGCCCAGCCCAGCCAAACCCAGTTTAGGCCAGGCCAGGCCAGCCCAGCCCATGTGAACTCAGTTGAGCTCAGCCCAGGTCAGCCCAGTTCAGTTAACCTCAACCTGACCCAGCCCAGCCCATATTAGCATATCTCAGCTGAACCCAGTTTAGCCCAACCCAGCCCAACCTAGGCCAGCTGAACCCAGGTTAGGTTAGGTTAGCTTAGCCTAGAGCAGCCCAGCCCAACCCAGCCCAACCCAGCCCAGCCTGCCCCAGTCTAACCTAGCTCAGCCCAGCCCAGCCCAGCTGAACCCAGTTGAGACCAACCCAGCTGAGTCCACTCAGGCGAGCCTAGTTTAGCCCAGTTCACGTGGGCACAGTTCAGCCCAGCCCAGCTCATCCCAGCTAAATTCAGATCACCCCAGCCCAATTTAGTTCAATAATTTAAGGCCTGCTCACTCCAGCTTTTAACCCTGTCCGTCGTCAGGTCTCTCCCCCAGCCTAGCCCTCCTCAGCTCAATCCCATTTAGCTCAGCCCAGCTTACTCAGCCCAACCAGCTAAGCTTGGCTCAGGTCTGTCCAGCTCAGCGCAGCCCTGCTGAACTCAGGCCAGGTCAGGTAAGCTCAGCAGGTAATACCCCAGCTTGGTCTCCTTCAGCCCGGATAGTCCACGAGCACCCATTTTATCCTAAGTAGAGAACTGTAGCTTGTCCCTACTCCTGTGTCGGCCCAGCTTATTTCAACCAAGTCCAGTCAAGTCCAGGTCAGCCTAATTCAGCTTAACTCAATCCTGGACCACCCAGGGCAGGCCACCTCAGCTCAGCCTGACTTTGCCCTGCCCCCCAGATAAGTCCAGCTCAGCCCAGCTCAGTCCACCTTAGGGCTTAGGATAACCCAGCTCAAGCCTAGCTCAGCTGAGCCTAGCTCATTTCCCTCTACCCAGTCCACTCACTCAACTCAGCTAAACCCGCCTGGCCCGGGCCAGCCCCGATCGCCCTGGCTCAGGACAGCCCAGCTTGGCCACCTGTCCTCTAAGGGACAGGGTAGCCCTCTCAGCCCACCCAGCTCGCCTCAGCTCAGTCTGTTAGGCCCGTCTCAGTCTAGTCCACTCAGCCAAGCCCCCCTCAGTCCGCCCAGCTCAGACTTGCCAAGATCAGCCAGTTGCGCAGTGGAGCTCAGGACAGCTCCCTGCTGCCGCCTCCCCACCCTCCCTCCCAGCTCTGGGTTGGCTGTCCCTGTCCTAGGGGTGGCAGGCAGTCTGCACCCAGCCTAGCCCTGCCCAGCGTGGGGTCTCTGACCTTCTTGGTCTTGGGCCCAGCCAAGATTCCCAGCCCCCTGCCTTCTCCAGGTCGGCGTTAGGCTGTTTCTAGCTTTCCTGTGTCCCCATGCAGGGAAGGGATGCCTAGAGTCCACGCAGTGACCAAGAAGCTTGGTTGATGCTGTGAGGGTGGCCCAGGAGTCCCCTCGCTGTCAGGGGCCCAGGCAGCCTCTCCCTCACTGCTGCCTGGGCCGGCCCCTCGATTGGGGCTCCCGGTGGGCTGGGATACCTGAAGCGCCGGGTCGTCCATTTGGTGCCTGTGGATGGTGTGGCCCGTCCGGCTCCCTGTCGGGTTCCTGGACAGCTCCCAGATGATCAGTAACCGTGGTTGTTATTTCTGTGCCGGGCAGTGGAGCCTGGGTAGGGGGAGCTCTGCCTCAGTGCTTTCAGCTAAAAATGGGGTGGGAACCCCCGGAGGCCCGGGCCGCCCTGGAAGTTCCCTTTTCTCTCTGTTCTTGGGAAGTCGATTGAGCAACAGCGGGGGTCAGGTGAGGCTCCTTCACTACCGATGCACACCGAGTGCTGGGGGAGGTTCTCTTCTCTCTCAGGCCCAACCCCAGGGCCCCTGCCTAGGTCCCGGACTCTCACTCTTGACGCATGCGTGGCTTGGTGGTCCCAGTCAGCAAACTTGGGGTCCCGTTGCCTGGGAAAGGGAGAGGGTACTGGGCATCGACGCCTCTGCTTCCACGAAAGCCTTGTGAAGAAAGGATGGGGGCGCTTTTGTGCAGGAGAATGAGGCGCACTGAGGTGAACTGGCCCTCGGGGGCCGCGTGTCCCAGATGTGTGTGCAGGGCCTCCTGATGGCCGCAGCCCTCGTCCCTGTGACCCGCTTGGAGCTGGCACCCTGAGTGGTGGCCTCACCTTGTACTCACTCCCAGGTCACTGTCCTGCAGCCGGGGGTCCCAAGCTGGGCTGCTCCTCAAGGCGAGCACATGAAGGCTGGGGCCTGGCTGGGGGCTGGCAGGGAGCTGTGCGGAGGTGGCTGGTGGCTCTGCAAGGTCCTTGAAGCTGCTGGAGGCTGGGGACACTGTGCCCCGTCTATGCCATGGGTGGGCGTGGGCACATGGAGAAGGCTGGGCTCGGGCTCGGTGGCCTTCCTGGAGGCGCCCATGGCATTCGTCCCTGGTTGCACCCAGTGCTCTGCTCTGAGCGAGATAATTTCCTTCACACCATTGGCCTGCCTGTCCCCTGGAGGCCAGCATGCATGGAGTGGCCACTGGGGAGGGGTGGGTTGTATAGAATCTTTGGGGAGGGAGACACTGGGACCTGCCCCTGGGACCCTGGGTGCCCAGGGCTGGTTGTCCTGTGGAGGGAGAGGGGCTGTCGGGCCTGGTGCCCTCAGAGAGATGCTCACCACGTGTGGAAGACACCAGAAGGGCTGCTGGCTGCCAGGGCCCTGGAGGGCTATGATGTGAGGCTCAGGGAACGCAGGCTGGGGGTGAGTGTTCCCAGGCTGTCCAAGGCCCCCATGCCCTGCTTGTGGCCCTGGAGAAAGGTGCCGTGTGGGAGGCTGAGGGGAAAATGCTGAGTTCCCTGGAAGGACCCATGATTCTGAGAGAAACCACAGCAGGGGTGGTGAGCCTCCTGTTCCCCCACTTCCCGGGCCCCGGTGAGGCTGTGTGCACTGTGTGGGTGTGCCTGGGGCTCCACTTGCCCCTCCCATGTACCTGCTCATTTTCCCCAGGCTGTGGGCATTTGGGGCAGGGGCCTCAGTGCCTGGTCGGCTCTCTCCCGGTTCTATCCAATGCCCCAAGCTGTGCTGGGCTGGAGGGGCCGGGCAGGGTGAGCCCCCAGGAAGGAGGTTGGCATCCCAGCTGGGGCTCCATCTCTGGCCTCTGCCAGCCTTGAGATCCCCAGTCGTCTGTGTCTCCCTCCTGGGGCCCAGCAGGCCTGCTCAGCTCTGAGCCCCATGTCCGTTCTCACCCTGCTCTGCTTTTCCTTGGGGTGCTGGCCCTGCCCTGGCCTCCAGAAATGGCCCCTGCCCCCACCCCTTCCTGTCTGAGGGGCCGGGCTGTTCCTCTCCTGCCCGGCGTGTGCCCACCTAGGCCCAATAGGCATAGTGCCCCCAGCCCCTCCTGCCCTGTTCTGGCCTTCACGCCCAGCCATGCCGGCAGCCTGCCTCAGTGGCCTGGGCCTTCGCCAGCGCCTGGCTCTGTGTCCAGCTGCCACTCCTGTGGCCCTACGGTGCTGCCCCTTTCCCTCAGTGATGGGGGCTGGGCTTCCTGGGAACGGGCTGTGTCTCAGCTGCACACACCTGTGTGTGTCAGTGTGCGCATGGGAGTGCGTGTGTGTGCTGGGGGTGTGTGCAGGAATGCTTGTGTCTGGGGGCAGGGGGAGCGTCTGCCTTCCTGCCCCAGGCCTGGAATGGCCATGCCAGGGTGGGTGGGAGCAGCGGGTGCGAGGACAGTGCTGCTTTGACGTCTGCGTGTGGCTGGTGGGGGCGGGAGGACGTGGTGTGGCACGAGTCTCGGGCTCCCCATCTCCATCCAGCTGATCCCAGATGGCTGCGCTCCTGAGGGTTTAGAGCAGCCCAGGGGGTCAGGAGGCTGTTGGGACGCTGGAGGCAAGCGCTGGCAGGGATGGGGGTGGGCTGGCCAGGCAGCGTGGCCAGGGGGCTTCGAGCCGGGGCAGTGAACCATCCCCCAACTTTTTAAAGTTTTAAAAGTCATATTTACACAAGTGTAGTTTACATTCAGTATAATCCATCCTGTGACATGTGAGTTTCAACAAATGCACACTCATGCAACCACCACCGTAATCCAGATGAACAGTTGCAAGAAGATGTAGAATCTCTCCAAATATTCCACCAGGCCCCTTTGCAATCAACGCCTCCCTGATGGCCAGGAATCCATTGATCTGCATTCTGTCAGAAGATTCAGAGTTTATCATTAAAATGATCTATTATGGAAAATATTATAAGCATACAAAACACAAAACCAAGTTTTAAAAAGTGAGGTATTTCTTAAAAGTTTAGTATACAAACAAAATGAAGGTACCTTCACATTTTACTACAGATGTGCAGATAGTTTTCTTGGTGCACAGAGATAAGGCAGAATTAAGTCAGAATAAACGTTCTAAAACTGACCTCCGGAAGAACTAGTCTTAGTCATTTCTTTGCAGAGTATGTGAACCAAGATTCGGGTTTGGTCTTTGGTGTTAGCACTGTGTCAAGGATCAGATAGAAAGTACAAATGGAGGGGCCCCTTTCTGAGGCCAGGCCCCACTGTCGGGGCATGTGGGGTGACCAGGGGCCAATACCAGCTGAGGCTAAGAGGCTGCTCTCAGAAGGGTAGGTTTCCAGGTGTCTCTTGAACCCTTTGTTCAGAACCAGGACATGTGTGGCTGGGCAGCAGCCTTCAGACCCCCCACAGGCTGGTGCCCGGTGCCCACAGCCCTCTCTTGGGTCGTCAGGCCCCTGCACCCGTGGTGGGGTGTTGGGCTCCAGAGTTCCCTGGGACCAGCTGATCTCTTGTCCTTGGTTTTGGCCCAAATGCAAGCCCCTGGTCTCCTCCAAGTAACTTCCTTTCCCCAGGGCTGTCCAGGCCCCACCGCTCCCTGTTCCTTCCCAGGGCCTCCTGCAAGTCCCGATGCTGACGCCTCTCTGCCCACCTAGTTTGTGGCCGCCGCCTCCAGCTCTGTGTCTGCCTCCCAGCGAGGGAGCTGTGGTTGATGATCTCGTGAGTGTCTGCCCTTCTGAAGGGTACAGTGTGAAGTCTCGTCAGTCTCACTTCAATGCCTAAGCACCTCTTCAGAAACCAGGGATTCATCCGGGTTTCTCCATCTTTAACCATGTTTTCTAAAGGTTTTCTTGGCAATTTCCTGGCAATTTGCAAGACAGGATTTTTTGGTTGCCAACTTCCAATTAGCTTTAAACTTGCCACGATCTCCCAGGTCATCCCATCCATCGAGGATGCTTATTACATTCTTCCTGATTTCCATGTGGCCAAATTCAATAGTTATTTACCCCAGGCTTGTATTTTGGAGGCTAAAGAACTCTGTTACCAGCTATATCCGTGCTGTGGCTGCCGTAACAAAATATCACAAATGTGGCTTAAAACAACAAAAATTTTTTCAGAGTTCTGGGAGTCAGGAATCTGAGATCAAGGTGTTGGTGGCTGTCTCTGAGTGCTCCAGGGGAGGACCGTCCACCTCTTCCAGCTTCCTGTGGTGCAATAGTTTGGATGTGTGTCTCTTCAAATTTCGTGTTGAGATGTGATTCCCAGTGTTGGAGGTGGGCCTGGTGGGAGGTGATTAGATCATGGGGCTGGACCCCTCATGAATGGCCTAGCACCATCTCCCAGGTGATGAGCGAGTTCTCCCTCAGTTAGTCCCTGTGACAGCTCATTGTTTAAAAGTCTGGGACGTGCCACTTCTCTTCTCTTGCTCCCTCTTGCCATGTGACATGCCTGCTCCCCCTTCGCCTTCTGCCGTGATTGCAATCTCCCTGAGGCCTCGCCAGAAGCAGATGCCAGGGCCGTGTTTCCAGAATGGCTGCAGAACTGTGAGCTAGTTAATCCTCCCTTCCTTGCCACAGTGCCTGGTGCAAACCTCTTTTCTTTATAAATTACCAGATTCATGTTTTTTTTTTTTTCTAGTAACACAAATAGACTAACTCAGAACATTGGTATTGAGGAGTGGAACATTGCTATAAGGATACCTGAAAATGTGGAAGCAGCTTTGGAATCAGGTAACAGGCAGAGAGGTTAGAAGAATTTGGAGGACTCAGAAGAAGACAGGAAGATGAGGGAAAGTTTGGAATTTCTTAGAGACTATTAAATGGTTGTCACCAAAATGCTGATAGACATATGGACTGTGAAAGCCAGGCTGATGAAATCTCAGATGGAAATGAGGAACTTATTGGGAACTGGGGTAAAGGTCACGCTTGTTAAATCCTAAGAAACAACTTGGCTGCATTGTGTTCATGCCTTAGGGATCTGTGGAAGTTTGACCTTAAGAGTGATGACTTAGGGCATCTGTGGAAGACATTTCTAAGCAGATGTTTCTAAGGTGTGACCTGGTTGCTTCTAACAGTCTATGGTAAGATATGGGAGCAAAGAAATGACTGAAAGTTGGAACTTATATTTAAAAGGTGTAAACGACAAAATAAAATGCTAAACCAAGGGGATTCCAAAGAAACCTGGAAAACCAGTTCAGGCCATGACAGGAAGGGGAGGGTGGTTTGGACTCCCTCACTATACCCTCTCCCTGTTGGAGCTTAGGCTCAGCTGACCAGTGTTAACATTAAAACAGGGAGCTTAAGACTGACAAAGCAGACTCTTTGTAGCAATAAGGTATCAAATCCCAACCTGACTCTGGTATAGCATCACATGACAGGTGGCAGGCATGGAAGGAAATTAAAGTATTTATTGCCAGAATATGTTTCTCTGACACATTTTGGAAGGGCCCTGCAAAGCCGTCTCTTGTGGAGGAAATGTATATTCTGTTGAGAATCTTTTTCCCTTTCCAGGTCTCTTCCTGATTCAGGAGAGATTTATCCAAGAGTCTGGCACCTTTTAGGTTCTGATAAGAGACATTGACCATCTCTTCTCTCTGGAACGTGGAGCCTTCGTCTACATAACAAGAACCTTGGCTTCCACAACCCCCTTATCTTAAGCATTGCTTTTCGCTGACTTCAACTTTTTAGATAATTTAAATTTTTCAGCCAATCGCCAATCAGAAAATCTTCAAATCCACCATGATTTGGAATTCCCCACTTTGAATTGTCCTGCTTTTCCAAACCAAATCAAACCAATGTATACTTTACATGTATTGATTGATATGTCTCCCTAAAACATAAAAGCAGGCCGCAACCCAACCACCTTGCACAGGTGTTCTCAGGACCTTTTGAGGCTGTGCCACAGTTCATGGCTCTCATATTTGGCTCAGAATCAATTTTTCAAGTGTTTTATGGAGTTTGGCTTTTTTCATCAACAAAGGGAAGCAGAGCATAAAAAATGTGGAAAATTCACAGCCTGGCCATGTGGTAGAAAAGAAAAGGTATTTTCAGGAGACAAATATAAGTAGGCTATGGAGCAGCCAGTTGCTAGAGAGATTAGCATAACTAAAAGGGAGCTAAGTGCTCATATCCAGAACAAAGGGAAAAAGGCCTTGAAGGCATTTTGGAAATCTCTGAGGTGGTCTTTCCCATCACAGGCCCAGAGGCCAAGAGGGAAAGGATGGTTTTGTGGGCCATGGCCATGGCCACTGCTGCCTGTGCAGCCTTGGGACACTGCTCTCCACATCCTGGTTCCTCTGGCTCCAGCCTTGGCTCAAAGGGCCCCAAGTACAGCTTAGGCTGCTGCTTTGGAGAGTGCAAGCCACTATAAGCCTTGGTGACTTCCATCTGGTGTTAAGCCTGTAGGCCCCCAGAATGCAAGAGTGAAGGAAGCTTGGCATCTTCCCTCTAGATTTCAGAAATGTATGAGAAAGCCTAGCTGCCCAGACAGAAGCCTCCTGCCAGCATGGAGCCCTCACAGAGAACCTCTACTAGAGCAGTGCCAAAGAGAATGTGGGGTTGAACCCCCATATAATGTCCCCACCAGGGCACTGCCTAGCGGAGCTGTGGGAAGGGGGCCACTGTCCTCCAGACCCCAGAATGGTGGATCCACTGGCAGCTTGCACCCTGAATCTGGAAAAGCCACAGGCACTCAACTCTATCGTGTGAGAGAAGCCACAGGGGCTACATCCTCCAAAGCCACAGGGGTAGAGATTTCCAAGGCCTTGGGAGTCCACCCCCTGCACCAGTGTGCCCTGGATATGGGACACGCAGTCAAAGGAGATTACCTTGGAGCTTTAAGATTTAATAACTGCCCTGCTGGATTTCTGACAAGTATGGGGCATGTAGATCCTTTCTTTTTGCCAACTTCTCCCTTGTGGAATGGGAATGTTTACCCAATGTCTGCACACTCATTGTATTTTGGGAGTCAATTTGTCTTTGATTTCCTAGGCTGATAGGTGGAAGGGACTCATCTTCAGATGAGACTTGGGACTTGGGAATTTTGGGTTGATTCTGGAATGAGGTAAGACTTTGGGGGATTGTTGAGAAGGCATAATTATATTTTGCAACATGAGAAGGACATGAGATTTGGGGGACCAGGGGTGGAAGGATATGGTTTATATATTTGTCCCCTCCAAATCTCATGTTGCAATATGATTCCCAGTGTTGGAAGTGGGGCCTGGTAGGAGGTGATTAGATCAAGGGGGAAGATCCCTCATGAATGATTGAGCATCTTCCCCTTGGTGATGAGTGAATTCTCCCCCAGTCAGCTCACACACAATCTAGTTGTTTAAGTCTGGGGCCCCCCTCAGCCTCTTGCTCCCATTCTTGCCATGTGGCATACCTGCTGTCCCTTCACCTTCTGCTATGCTGTAAGTTTCCTGAGGTCCTCGCCAGAAGCAGATGCTGGTGCCATGCTTCCTATACAGCCTGCAGAACTGTGAGCCAATTCAACCTCTTTCCTTTATAACTTACTCAGCCTCAGGTATTTCTTTACAGTAATGCAAATGGACAAACACAGGTGGCTCCTGACACACCCCTCATCTTCTTCTTTGTCATCATGTGGCTTATCTCCACGTGTGTCTGTGTCCTCTCCTCTTATGAGGACACCAGTGTTTGGACTTGGGATCCATCCAAAATTTAGTATGATATCATCTCAAGTCCTTAACCTAATTTGTAAAGACCCTATTTCTAAATATGGTCACATTCTGAGGTTCCAGGTGGGCATACATTTGGCCAGGGAGATGCCATCAGCCCACCACACCAGCCTATGCAGGTACATTTGCATATAGCTTAGGGTTGACCTTTCCCATGGAAGTATTACATCCCCCTCTGGACTCCAGTTTCACATGTTTTAGAATGCTTCGCCTTCTCCAGCAGGATGAGTCTTTTTTCCTTTTTTAGTATTTTTCTCTCTTTTCTTTGGATTGGATTAAAAATAATTGATATATTCTATTGATGCATCTTTAAGTTTTCAGTTCCTTCTTTTGTCTTCTCCAATCTGTTATTAAACTTGGGTAATGTTTTTCTCTTTCTTTTCTTTTTTAATAAAATAGAGATGGGGTTTCACCACGTTGCCCAGGCTGGTCTCAAGCTCCTGAGATCAAGTGATACTTCCCTGTTGGGCCCCCAAAGTGCTAGGATTACAGGTATGAGCCACTGGGCCTGGCCAAATGTTTTTCATTTCAGAATCATACTTTTAGTTCTAGAATTTTCATTTGGTTCTTGTAACTATTTTCAGTTTTTTATAGAGATACCTCATCTAGTCACTCATGATAACCATATTCTCTAAGTCTTTGAACATTTTTAACATAACTTCTTTAAAGTCCTTGTCTGATAACTGTATCTGCATCTAGGTCATCTTGGAGTTGATCTCCATTGATCCCTTTTTCTTCTGACTTTGGATCACATTTTCATGTTTCTTTGCATCCATGGTAATTTTGGATGTGCACCTGATGTTGTTGATAACATGTGTACAGGCTATGGGGTTTGCATCCTTCCTTAGCAGAGCATTAATTGTTTTTTTCATGTTAGCAAGCAGTTAGCTTGAGTTGACTCAAACTCCCAAGTCTGTCTGCCTGGGAGTTGGCAGTATCTGCAATCTCAGTTCTCTTGACTATACAGGTGCTGCTTTCTGCTGGACCCTTTGGAGTTTTCCCTACCCATGCACACCTAAGGGATCGGCCAGAGGTTTCAGTGGAGTTTACCTGCAGGTTGTGGGGTTTCCCTTCGGTGACCTTCTCCTTTATGGACATCTTCTCTTCATTTCCAGCTGCTCTGAAAATGTAGCCCTGCATCCCACTCCTCACCAGGAGGACTGCAGTTTCCTGCTTGAACTCTAGCTGCACCCATTACATGCCCTGGGGTGTGACTTCAGATGAATATTTCAGGGAATAATCCTTACTAGTGTTTGCCTACTTCTGGTCATGTTCCAGTGCCTGTAATTGGTGTGTGTGGGTGTTGTGTGTGCTTACAGCATTTCCAGTGTTTATAATTGCCATCTGCCAAAGGGCTAGTCTGATATTAGCTGCTCCAGCATTATTGGAATCGGAACTACTTTCTCTCATGTGGTTTTTCATTTTCATTTCCCTGTTGACTAGTGTGGTTCAACACCTTTTCATATGTTTAGTGGCTATTTGGATATCTTCTGTAAAACATCTGTTCAATTCTCTTGCCTATTCCTCGTTGGATTATTTGATTTTTTTTCTCATTGGTTTACAGGGGTCTTCTTTATATTATGGATCTGTTTGTGTCAGTCAGTTATATATGTTTATAGGAAGCATTAAGAAGAACTGAAATGGACCAAATGATTACTAGGTGCCTTCCATGGAAAGCAAGGCATCGTCTTGTACACTCTTCCAGGTTATTTCATTCTGTGGAGCTCTGCATCTTTCATTTCCTTTGAACTATTTTACACCTCTATAAGCCAGGGGTCCCCAACCCCTGGGTCATGCACTGGAACCGGTTCATGGCCTGTTAGGAACTGGGCCACAGAGCAAGAGGTGAGGGATGTGTGAGCATTCCTGCCCGAGCTCCACCTCCCGTCAGATCAGTGGCAGCATTAGATTCTCATAGGAGCGAACCCTATTGCGAGCTGCACATTCCTGGGATCTAAGTTGCACACTCCTCGTGAAATCCTAATGCCTAATGATCTGAGGTAGAACAGCTTTGTCCCCAAGACATCCCCCGATCTTGGTCTGTGGAAAAATTGTCTTCCATGGAACTGGTTCCTGGTGCCAAAAATGTTGGGGACCACTGCTCTAAGTTGTACATAATTGATAGCAATGCAAAAACTCTTTGAGTTGGTAGAAATGCAAGTTCTCACCTTTGGAAGGACAATGAATTGCTCCTCATCTTCCAGGGAAAAGGCCAGTTTTGCATCTATCTATGAACTCCTTTTAGCATTCCTGAATCAATTATGTTAAGTGTAGTACTTAGAATTCCACTTTGAACTGGTTACGACACCTTAATTAATGAGATAAAGAGCATCTCTGAAATGTGTCGTCATATGTTTATGTGAGTCCTGATCATAATAGTTTTAAAAAATGATCTCTTAACTCGTTGTGATTTCTTCTCCCCCACGGCCCCACCCAGCCGCAGTATCCACGGAGCTTAGTTTTCTGTGGCCCAGGAGGGCAGGAGACCCGGTGTTGACGGGGAGATCTGAGATTGGCCCCAACTTTTCCCCACAGCTCTGCTTCAAGGAGTGCCCTGGGAAGGCCTCCCAACCCCACACCTGTCCTGTTGGCCAAGGCGAGCTCCATGCCATGTGGCATCTCTGCCGCTGGCCACCTGGTGAGTATCTGTTGAATAGAGAAATGTGCAGCATCTCCACAGAGCTTCCAGGGCTTCTGTGCTCTCCAAACATCTCTGGGCTCCCGGCACCCTCTCAGGGTATGATGTGTTGGTGGCTGGGTTGGGCCCCTGTCCCTGAGGGTAGGACTCAGGCAAGGACAAAGCTCTGGACTCAAAGAGCTGGTGTGGGGGTGAGTGAAAGGAACAGGAGCTTTGGGGTCAGAAATGCGGGTTTCAGCCTGCATTGTCCCCATGAGCAGGGGCTTGCAGGCTCACCAAGGCCTCAGTTTCTTCGATGGTGAGAGAGTGTCAGAGACTGCAGCACGTATTTGAAAGTGTCCAGGGACGGCAGGGGTCTGGGTTGGACCAGCTCTCCTGAATACTGAGGGTGCGATCTTGACCATTGTGAAAGGAAAATAAAATCTCAGGACCCTAAAGTCACTATGCCAAAAAGAACAGTTGAGGTGGGAAGCTGAGTCATGAAAAAAAAAAAAAGTCATGCGTTTCCTTTTGTTTCCAAACTGAGAGCAGCAGCAGATAGGCCAGGTCTACCCAGGTGGCCTCCCTCACCCTGACAATATAAATTAACAGCCCGGTCTTCATGACATGGGACAAAATGAGACAAGAAATCATCCCTCCTGCCCCTGAGACAAATGCATATTTGACTTCTTCCTCTACTCTGTTTATTTTCTTATAAAGTGCAGATTTACTGAGCACAAGGCGAATGCGTAATTGCTCCCTCCACCCCTCCTTTTCATGCAACGTGGGGGCTCAGTGAGATGTAATCAAAGCCTCAGAAGAATGTGACTCTCCCGTCTTGCTTTTTTCTCTTTCATCTTTCCCCTCCTCCAGCTTTTCCCCTTTTCAATATTGAAGCAGGACATAGTGTGACTGCATCTGGGGTCAGGTGTGGGGTGGTCCATGTGGATAGTGAGGAAGGTGGTCCCTGCCCGTGGTGGTCCGGGTTTCCTGGGAGATGGCCAGACGTGGGTGCTGAGGGGAGGAGGCCAGTGCAGTCACTGGACGGGAGAGAGCATGTCCATTGTGCTGAGTGGGCTGGGAGGGATCCACAGAGAAGACGGTGTGGCTCAACAGCTGGCACTGGGGACAGGAACGTGGGTGAAGGGCCTGGCACATGGAGTAGCTCAAGGCGTGAGGCTGTGACCCACCTGGAGAGCCTGTGCCTGAGTGTGCTGGGTGGGTGCTGGGGTTGCAAACATTCGTGTGCCTGTGAGGCCCGTGTGTGTATGTGTGTGTCACGTGGCCCCCATGCGTGTCAGGCATTGTTGCGTGTCCCCCATGCGTGGCAGGCAGCATCACATGTCCCCCATGCGTGGCAGGCATTGTCGCGTGGCCCCCGTGCGTGGCAGGCATGTGCAGCCTGAGTACCATGCCAGATGGGGCGTTCTGTCTCCTCCAGGCCCTGCCCTGCCATGTGAGCAGGGAGCTTCCCCATGGGACTGATGTTCTGTCTCCTCCAGGCCTGGCCCTGTCCTACCATGTTAGCAGGGAGCTTGGCCATGGGAGTGGTGGGCACAGGCGTGGCTGTGCCGGGCCTCACTGGCTGGATTCGGTGGGGACACCATACCCCTTGCTGAGTGTGGGTGTTAGAGGGTTCGAGGTGCCCTCTGGGAGGTGGTCGGGCAGAGGCAGGGTTGGGAGTGTGTGGGGAGATGGGTGTTCAGCTAGGTTCCTTCCCTGTGCAGGGGCTCAGCTGAAACCTGGGCTCTCACTCCCCTCACCCCTGCCTCCCCAGCATCCTCACTCTGCCCCTCTCTTCAGCCTGCCTCGGGCCTTGCCCTGGGACCCCTGCTGAGATGACAGGAGGGGCTTCAGCAGCACCCTGTGCTGGGTGGACGCCGAGGTCACAGGCTCGCTCTGTGTCTCCTCACAAGGCCACGTGGTGGCAGGTCCTTCCTCCTGTCTAACCAGAGTCCTGCTTGCTGCTCTGCAACCCCCTTGGGTCACGTGGGGCAGGGGCACCTAGCAGGGTGGGCTTCGTGGACTCAAGGGCCACCAGTTCCTCCAGGTCAACCTGCTCAGATCGTTCCATTCTCCCCCTTCCCTTGGCCACAGAGACCTCTGTATGCTGGGGTGACCACAAATGTCACAACAGCAGAGTCACACCAGGAATGTCACACCATGTCACACCACATCACACTATGTCATGCCAGGGATGTCACGCCACATCACACCATGAAACTCATCATCACACTAGGGATGTCGTACCCTGCCACACCCCATCCTGCCACATCACACCATGTCACACCGCATCACATCACACCAAGGATGTGGCACCCTGTCACAGCACGTCACACGTCACATCATGTCACACCACACCTCATCACACCACAGATGTCATACCCCATCACACCACATCACATTACATCACACCACGTCAAACTACCTCACACCCCATCACACCAGGGATGTCACACCCCATCACACCACATCACATGTCACACCACGTCACATGCCACACCATATCACAGTATGTCACAGCCTGTTACACTTCATCACACCACATCACACCAGGGATGTCACACCTTGTCCCATCACATCACATCATGTCACACCATTCCACATCATTTCATATTATAGCTCATCATACCAGGGATGTCATACCCATCACACTATGTCACAGCACATCACACCAGGGATGTCACACTGTGTCACACCACATCCCACCATGTGCAACACCACCTCACACCAGGGACATTACACCATGTCACACCACATCCCACCATGTGCAACACCACCTCACACCAGGGACATTACAACATGTCACACCACATCACATCACCCCTCGGATATCACACTGTCATACCACATCATACAACATCACACCATGTCCTGTCACATCATGCCACATGACATCCACGTCACACCAGAGACATCACACCACGTCACACCATGTCATGTTACATCACAGCACGGACTGCTGGGGTATGTGCAGGGGCCGCCCACAGTGCAGCCTTGCTGGAGAGTTGAGGGAGGGTCCTGGGGCTGGGCATGGTGTTCCCTCAGGAGGGCTGACCCTCTGGAGGATGCTCGGTCCCAGGTGGAAAGGGGGCGGTGGGCCCCGGGTGGCTCAGGGAGGGGCCCAATTTCCCTAGGGGAACCTGGTCCAGGCGCCAGGCCCTGCAGGGGCAGGAGCTGCAGGAAGCATCTGCTTCTTCCCAACTCAGCCTGCTCAGTGCACGGAATGACCCGGAGCCCGGCACCATCCTGGGTTTCCTTTCCTTATCCTGGCCAGGCCGTCCATCCTCAGACAGTGGACTGGAGCCCACCCCACCAGGGCACCCGGAGGCCCGTAGGGCCCCTTGAAGGGCAGAGGGTGGAGATCTCTCCAGCAGGGTCCCTGAGGGCTGGCACCTTCTCTGGACAAAGCTCTCCTGCATCTCTGGGACGCCATCCTTGGGCTTGGGATAGAGCCGGTGATGCAGCAGCTGCCCGCCCTGCACCCCAGGTGCTGTCTCCCTCACCCCCCGCGGGGCTGCAGCAGCGTGTCCTGAGAGTTAAAGGGCTGGGCTTCAGCACCCAGTTCAGGCCAGGCCCCCTGGAGCCCACCCTCCAGTGGCGAGCCTTCCCACGGCATGGCAGGGCCTGGAGTCTGGGGATTTAGTCCCCAACTCCGTGTTTGGTGCAGCTCCAGCTGCTCGATGCCACACAAACGAATCCAACCACTCCTCCTTCCTGGGTGAGATGGTCTCTCTCCTGCCACAGGCAACTCCGACGGCATTTTCCAGCCACCGCAGCCACCGCAGCCACTGCAGTAACAAGACCCTGTCCTTGACTGAGTTCCAGCCAGGCTCCTCGGAGCCTCTCCACTCGGCCTCAACCTTGGCTTGTAAAGACTTGAGCAGACACTAACAGTTTCTAACAGCTTCTGGCCGTACCCCTAGGCCGACCCCTGCCCCGTCAACACCTGCCTGAGAAAGCTCCGTGCACCAGAACTCACCGTTTGGACCAACCCCGACCTCCCTTTCTCAGGGTGTCTGCTGAGAGGGCCGCAACCACACGTCCTTCTATCCGTTCCCGATGTCTGTGCATTTCCTGTGACCCAGGAGGGTCTTTCTCAAGACTTGAGAGCCGCTCCCTGAAGTGTCCCCTTTGTGAAGGATGGGGCCTGTGTCTCCAGGCTCTGGGAGGACAGAATCCTGACCTCAACAGTGGCCGGCACGGACACAGCAGGTCCCATCCCGGGGACGCTGACCAGCGCTGGGCAACTTTTCCCTTCCCCGACGACTGAGCCCCGAGCACCCACCCTGCTCCCCCTACCACCTCCCTTTACAAGGCTGTGGCCTCTGCACAGATGAAGGTGAGTCCAGGTCATGCCGGACTCTTTCTTCTGTTGCAATAGTTATTTCTGTTGAAAATCCGTCCTTGCTACATGATCTAGTGCCCAGCTTTATCTTTGAAAATGTCTCTCTCCACCTTTGCCTCTCCTGCCTTGTCCTCGTTCCTGGCACCCACCATGTGTCCTATGGGCTGAATTTTACCATAGAATGAATCACACACCAGGTTTCACCTGTGCCTGATGAGGGTGACAGTTTGATGAGATTTTAGGCTTAGAATTGATGCTGAAAGGACTAAGACTTGGGGGATGCTGAGACAGATGAATGTATTTTGCATGTGAGAAGAACATGAAATTTGGGGGGCCATAGCATGGACTGTTATGAGTTAAATTGTGGCCCCTACAAATTCATATATTCAAGTCTTAATCCCTGGCCTCACAATGTGACTATTTGGAGATGGGGTCTTTACAGAGGTCATTAAGTTCATATGGGGTCACTAATCTAATGCGATGTGTGTTCTTATAAGAAGAGAAGCTTAGGACACGGGCACACAGAGGGATGGCCATGTGAGGACCAGGGAGGAGACGGTGTCTACAAGCCAAGGAGAGAGGGCTTGAGAGAAACCAGCCCTGCCTGCATCCTGATCTCAGATTCCTGGTCTCTAGGCCTGGGAGGATCCATGTCTGCCGTGGGAGCTGCCCCGCTGTGGTCCTGAGCTGACGCACACAGATCTGACACCCACCTCTCGCTTCGGACCATGGTTGGTTCTGGAAGGCCCTCCCTGTGGCTCTGCCTGGCCAGCCTGAGCCAGCTCCCAGCCTCGACCCAGCTTTCCCTGGAGGCCCTGTCCCCCGCAGAGTGACCAGGGCAGGCAGCACCGTGCCCAGCAGGAGGAGAAACTGCATCCATGTAGAAAAGAGGAGAAGCCCCGGGGGTCCATGTAGCGACAGGGGCCAGGGAGGGCCGCTCGGGCAATGCGTGTGGCTGCAGGAGGCGGGGGGCGAGTGCAGGGAGCCCCCGAGGTGCAGCTCGACCAGCCTCCTCCTGACCGTGCTTCCCACCGGGGGCAGGAGGCGCGTGGACACAGGAAGGCGGCTCCCATCACGAAGTACAAGACTTAAAAAGGATATTTTATTGTCATCACAAAAGAAACATCAAAGACAATTAATGAGCTTTAGAAAATTTAAAAGAAGAAGAAAAGCCAAAGCTGAAATGGTGACACCTCCTTCGAGTGAGCCCGGGAGTCCTCCCTGACGGCCGAGGCAGGCGCTGGCCGCAGTCCCGCTCGAGCCTCCCTTCCTGTCTGTGGATTCTGCGTGACAGTCACGGAACGGTGTGATGGGGGCAGCAGAGCGTGGGGGCCTCTGTCCAGCACTCGTGGCCAGCAGCCCCGCTTTCGCAAGAACACGGGCACCCTCTTTGTCGTCTTGCCTCTCCACCTGGTGCCCCCAGAGTGGCTGCTTGTTCCTGCTGCACGTGACCCGGGACTGGACGCCAGCCTCTGTGATGAGTTCTGGCTGTGTCCACGCTCCTGGCTCTCCCGGTGTCCCTCCACCTCTCTCCCCGATGCTCCTGGGCCTCCTCTGTCCTCAGGCCCCACCAAGGCTGAGTCTTGCCCGCCTGGGACCTGGTCACCAGCCTTCTGTGGGAGGCCTGTCTGGGCAGATGCCCAGCCCTTCCTTGGGCTATCCTCACCCTTGCACTGTGGGGCTCCTGCAGCGGCCACATGGCCCAGGCTCTTCTCCGAGTGATCTCGGTGGACTGGAGTGGGTGGTAGGTGGCAGTGTCCTGGGCCTGGCCCTTTCTCTCCCCAGTGCGGACTCTGGGGCTGGCTGTCCCTGCGGGTCCAGTTCCACCCGAGAATCCAGCAGTGTGGGCAGGCAGCCAAGGGGTGGTGCTGGCACCGAGACTGTTCCCAGGAGCCAGAGAGCAGCGTTCTTTGCTTGAAATCAGAACAACCTCATTCCTCATGTCAGGAGTTCACGGGAGTGCCCGGAATGGAGGCTGGCTGGCTGCGGGCTGGGAGGAAGGCCGTCTGAGTGAGCCTTCGCAGCTCTCGGAAGCCTCCCCAACAGGGCCTGATGGTGCTGTGGCTTCCCTACCTTGGCGACTGATGCTCCCACTCACCATCTGGAAACCATGCCTGTGTTCAGGAGGCTGGCGTGGACGGGGTTGGCTCCAGGGCGAGGTCCTGCCTGAGTGGGGGCCTGGGATGCCGGTTACCTCCTTTTGTGTGAGCACCTGGTGGTCCAGAGGGCAGGGACGTCCTGCTGAGGGGACACCTGGCCCTCAGCGCCCTGCATGCACCAAGCAGCGGAGGTCTGGGGTAGACCTGCTATGCACAGGGTCTGGAAGGGGGGCGTTTCAGGGCTCAGAGGGCGACTGCGAAGCCAGAGAGCCATGGGGTTGAGGGCGGTGAGGTCAGGGGGCAGGTGTGGCCTGGGTGGTGGCTGAGCATGGCCCACGGCTCGTGTGTGGGGTCTGGGCGGCCCTGGACACCCCGCAGAGGGTGGCCCTAGGCCCCCTGCCTTATCATGTTCCTGTAGTCGGGGACGATGGTCTGCTTCAGGTCCACCACTGAGGAGAAGATCCACTTCACCTGTAGGCAAGGCACAGCACAGGGGTGAGCGAGGCCACAGCCCTGCCCCTGAGCCCCACCCACCCCTCAGGCCACCCAGGCCACAGCCCTGCTCCCAAGGCCCATCTGCCTTTCAGGCCACCCAGGTACCGGGGCTCTACACTGCCTGCCCCCAGGCCTGGACATGGAGAGCAGAGCCATGGTAGTGACAGCATGTGGATAACACAGAAGACAACGTCAGGGACAGGTGGGGACAGCGTGGGGGACAGGGAGAGGTGGGGAGATTGGGGGACAGGTGGGGACAGCATGGGGGACAGTGTCAGGGACAGGTAGGGACAGCGTGGGTGACAGGGAGAGGTGGGGAGAGTGGGGGACAGGTGCGGACAGCATGGGGGTCAGTGTCAGGGACAGGTAGGGACAGCGTGGGGGACAGGGAAAGCTGGGGAAAGTGGGGGACAGCATGGGGGACAGTGTCAGGGACAGGTAGGGACAGCGTGGGGGACGGGGACAGGTGCGGACAGCATGGGGGACAGTGTCAGAGACAGGGACAGTGTGGGGGGTGAGTGGGGGACAGGTGGGGACAGCATGGGGGAGTGTCAGGGACAGGTGGGGACAGTGTTGGGGAAGGTGGGGACTGTGGGGTACAGTGTTGGGGAAGGTGGGGACAGCATGGGGGACAGTATCAGGAATGGGGGACCGCATGTGGGACAGCGTCAGGGACAGGCGGAGACTGGGGGACAGTGTGGGGGAAAGGTGGGACAGCATGGCGGACAGTGTTGGGGACAGGCTGGGGGAGAGCATTGGGGACAGGTACAGCGTGGGGGACAGAATCAGGGAGAGGTGGGGAGACCGTGGGGCACAGCATCAAGGACAGGTGGGGACAGTGTGGGGGACAGTGTCAGGATGGGGGATAGCATGGGGGACAGTGTCGGACATGTGGAGACAGCCTGGGGGACACTGTTGGACAGGTGTGTACAGCATGGGGGACAGTGTCAGGGACAGTTTGTGGAGAGAGTGGGGGACAGTGTCAGGGACAGTGTGTGACAGCATGGGGGACAATGTCAAGGACAGCTGGGGACAACGTGCGGCCGACCTTGAAGAAGGTGACGGTGGCACTGTAGCACACGCTTAGCAGGAAGAGTGTGATGAAGATGGTGATGGTCGTCCACAGCCCGTCCAGCTCCCCGTCCTGCGCCTCCGCACAGCTCTCCTCCAGTTGCAGCTCTGGACAGGAAGGGGGTGGTCAGTGCTGTGTCCCCCTGGGCTTGGGCCTCTGGGGGTGATTCCCTCTGTGGCGGGGCCCAGGATGTAGGGCCCGGCCGGGATGGGCCAACAATGTCCTGAGGTCAGCTCCCGGAAGCTGTCCACCCTGGGCACCAGCTTTGGCCCTGGGGCTCAGCCAGACACCCGGCCCTAGATAGCGACCTGGCCCTCAGCAGGACCCACTCCCCGTCTCCCGTGTCCCTCCCTGAGCCCCAGAGGGCAGGAGGATGGTGAAACCCACCCCTCATGTGACCCCAGCTGCAGGGAAGGGCTGTATTGGGACGTGGGCCAGTGCCAGGGACGCGACGTGGCGTGTGTTCCCCTGTGTGTGTGGCGGCTGCAGGGGCACCTTGTGAGAGGAGGGCTGGGTTTGTCTGAGCTGGTCAGCATGTGGAGAAGCTGCCGAGCGGCTCGTGGGCCTTGAGGTGCCGCGTGGGGCTCGTGGGGGCCTGTGTCTGAGGAGTGTTCACGTGTGCGAGGACCTTGCTCTGGTCTGGGTGCTGTGCGGTTCGCCCGGGTGAGGCTCCGTGTGTGAGGCGTGCACGTGTGTGTGTGGTGGCCGTGTGGCCGGCCAACCTCAGTGCGGGGTTTGTTGAACGGGTCTGGGCTGAGTGTGTGTGTGGGCATCTGGACCAGTCCCTCCACAGGGCCCGAGAGTGCATGTCCCCGGAGTCGGTTGTGTCCCCATGTGGGTTCGAGGCTGGGCAGGGCTGCCAGGGGTTAGTGCCGTGGGGGTAGATGGGTGAGGGAGGGCCTGTCCCTACGCACATGGACTAGGCATGCCCCCGAGTGGGCATGCGGGTCGGAGGACAGGGCGCTCACAGAACAGGACAGTCTCCTACAGAGGCAGGGGCTGTGTGTCTGTCCCCAGGGGCTCCTAGGGCTTCTCGTGGCCCAGCCCAGGGCAGGTGCTGCTGGAGGGAGGGCCACGCTGGCAAATCCCCCACCCTGCCGAGGGCAGCCCCTGGCTGAGCCCCACCCTAGGCGGCCCAGGCACACCTGCACAGCCTGGGCCAGTGTGGGGACAGTGGGACCCGCTCTGCCTCCCTCATGCCACTCAGGCCTCAGACTCGGCCTGACCCGTGGAAAGAACCATCACAGTCTCGCAGGGGCCCAGGGCAGCGCTGGGTGCTTTATTTCCATGCTGGGCGCCCGGGAAGTATGTACACGGGGTACGTGCCAAGCATCCTCGCGCGACCCCGAGAGCCCGGGGAGCGGGGGCTTGCCGGCCCTGGCACTCATTTACCCAGAGACAGGGAGAGGCTCTTCTGTGTGTAGTGGTTGTGCAGAGCCTCATGCATCACGGAGCATGAGAAGACATTCCCCTCCTGCCACCTGCTCTTGTCCACGGTGAGCCTGCTGTAGAGGAAGAAGGAGCCGTCGGAGTCCAGCACGGGAGGCGTGGTCTTGTAGTTGTTCTCCGGCTGCCCATTGCTCTCCCACTCCACGGCGATGTCGCTGGGGTAGAAGCCTTTGACCAGGCAGGTCAGGCTGACCTGGTTCTTGGTCATCTCCTCCTGGGATGGGGGCAGGGTGTACACCTGTGGCTCTCGGGGCTGCCCTGTAGGGACAGAGGTTGGCACAGCGGTCACTCCCAGGGCAGAGGGTGGGCCGAGCTGACCTCTGTCCATGTGGCCCTCGCACCCCGTGGGTCCCACCTTTGGCTTTGGAGATGGTTTTCTCGATGGAGGACGGGAGGCCTTTGTTGGAGACCTTGCACTTGTACTCCTTGCCGTTCAGCCAGTCCTGGTGCAGGACGGTGAGGACGCTGACCACACGGTACGTGCTGTTGAACTGCTCCTCCCGCGGCTTTGTCTTGGCATTATGCACCTCCACGCCATCCACGTACCAGTTGAACTGGACCTCGGGGTCTTCCTGGCTCACGTCCACCACCACGCACGTGACCTCAGGGGTCCGGGAGATCATGAGAGTGTCCTTGGGTTTTGGGGGGAACAGGAAGACTGATGGTCCCCCCAGGAACTCAGGTGCTGAGGAAGAGATGGAGGTGGATGCGTCAGCACCCGGCTGGGGCCTGTCCCTGGATGCAGGCTACTCTAGGGCACCTGTCCCGCCTTGAGCTGGAGGGCGAGGCCTGGGTTGGCTTACCTGGGCATGATGGGCATGGGGGACCATATTTGGACTCTGCAGAGAGAAGATTGGGAGTTACTCAGATCTGGGAGGAGAGAAGGTGTCTGAGCTGAGGGAGTGGAGAGTTTGGCCTTTGGGGTGGGCTTAGGTCAGGGGCAGGGTCCTCCCGGATATGGCTCTTGGCAGGTCTGAGCGCAGCACCTGCCCCTGTATGCGCAGGGCCTGGGGTAGGGGCATCCAGCCTGTGGCTGCCCGGAGCCTGGTGGAAAAATCCAGAAGACCCTCTCCCTGAGCATGAGTGGGGTGGTCAGAGGCCTCCGGGTGAGGAGACAGATGGGGCCTGCCTTGCTGCCCTGGGCTGGGGCTGCACAGCCGGGGTGCGTCCAGGCAGGAGGGCTGAGCCTGGCTTCCAGCAGACACCCTCCCTCCCTGTGCTGGCCTCTCACCAACTCTCTTGTCCACCTTGGTGTTGCTGGGCTTGTGATCTACGTTGCAGGTGTAGGTCTTCGTGCCCAAGCTGCTGGAGGGCACGGTCACCACGCTGCTGAGGGAGTAGAGTCCTGAGGACTGTAGGACAGCCGGGAAGGTGTGCACGCCGCTGGTCAGGGCGCCTGAGTTCCACGACACCGTCACCGGTTCGGGGAAGTAGTCCTTGACCAGGCAGCCCAGGGCGGCTGTGCTCTCGGAGGTGCTCCTGGAGCAGGGCGCCAGGGGGAAGACCGATGGGCCCTTGGTGGAAGCTGCAAGAGAGGTGGTGCCATGTGACCGCGGTGTGGGACAGAGCTGGGCCCAGGGCGCAGAGGCCCCTCGGTTCTTGTCTATCTGCGATGGTCCATGCAGGGTCCAGTGTCTGGGCTCACGGGCATTGGGTGTGCGCCTGGCTGGCGCCACCTGCGTCACCTTAGCCCCCTCCCTGCCCCCAGCCAAAGTCAGGCCCGGCCTGCCCCAGAAAGCTTGCAGGACCGGTGGCCCTGTGGTGCCCTTCTGCAGGCACCCCTGCAGCCTAGGGGGCGGGGCTCGGCAGCCAGGTCAGCGCTCTGTGCCTGCCGGGAGTCAGCACAGTCCAGTGTCTCTAGCTTGGCCTCAGCTCTGGCCATCGGTGCCACCTCAGGGACGGCTCATGCCCATTGGCCCCACTCCAGCCTTTTATGGGTGCCTGGCTTGACCAGTGGACACTGTTCTCAGATGGCTTCTCGTGGGTCCCCCGAGTCCCCTGAAGCTCCTGACCCTGCCGCCCCAGCGTGGCCCTCCGCTAGTGAGTGGGCCTGACTTGCCCAGGGCCCTGGTCATAGCCTGCCCTCTGCCCTCCAAGGCCCTTTTCTTCTGTGCAGCAGAGGGGCCAGACACTGCATAGGGTCGGCGCCCTTCAGCCCCAGGGCCCCGGAACCCCCTGCCTTGGAATAGCCTCCTGGAGCCTCCTCCTCAGCCTCTCCCCTCCTTTCCCCTTAGCCCCAGTGTGCAGCAGCCCAGGTCAGGGCCCTGAGTGCCTGGATGCCCCCTGCCTCCCAGTGTCCTGCATTACTTCTGGAGGCTCAGTCACCACAACCTCACCCTCCCAGCCCTGGCCTGGCCTTCTCGGCCACCAGCCCACCTCCTCCCTCTCTCCAGAGCTTCCCCCGGCAAGGTCCCTGCTGGGCTCAACCCAGGCCCCCCAGCACAGGTAGGAGCCTTGCACCTGCCCTTGGCCCTCCCCACCCTGCATGGTGCCAGGACCCCCAGGCCACAGGGAGGCCCCATTTCTCTCTGCCGCTGGCCCAGTGGCCCTGGAGTCCCACTGCAGGTGGGGTGTGCCCCTGACCTCTGAGGAGGCTAAGCGCCCTGCCCTCAGCCAGGCCATCCCCTCTGCTCGGCCCCAGGGCCCCGCTCACCACCCCTTCCCCTCACCTGCACCACAGGCTCTGGCTGACTCTGCCCAGGCCCTGAATGGGCCCCTCTGGCAGCCCTCTGCTGCTACACTGCCCTGCACCACCTCCACTCAGCTTCATTGTGCTGATGGTCCTGGCTCCTGGCAGCCCATCTTGCTCCTTCTGGGGCGCCAGCCTCAGAGGCCTTCCTGCCCAGGGTCCGCTGGGGCCAGCCCTGGGACCCTCCTGGTCTCAAGCACACGTTCCCCCTGCAGCCACACCTGCCCCTGCCTGAGAGCCCAGCCCTGAGCCCTGGAATGCCTTCCCTTCTCCATCCCAGCTCGCCCTTGCCAACTGCTCAGTGGGATGGACTCACACTCCCTTCCCGGCACCAGGAGGCTGCACTGCACTTTCACCAGCTCTCAGCTGTCTGCTGCCGGCAACTACCCAGCTCCTGCCAAAGTCTAGGAGCTGAGTGATGCCTCCCACCAGCCCTGCTCACCTGTGGCTGCCTTGCCCTGAGCTCTAGTGCCTGTCCCCTGCTCGTCCTGCCTCCCACCGGCCCTGCTGACCTGCGGCGGCTCTGCCCTGGTCCCCTGACCTCCAGGAGCTGCCCCTTGCTCCTCCTGCCCCCCACCGGCCCTTTTCACCTGAGGCTGCTCTGCCCCGGTCGCCTGAGCTCCAGGAGGTGCCCCCTGCTCCTCCTGCCCCCCACCTGCCCCTGCTCACCTGCGGCGGCTCTGCCCTGGTCCCCTGAGCTCCAGGAGCTGTCCCCTGCTCTGCAACCTCCCACTGGCCCTGCTCACCTTCTGATGCTCTCCCCTGTTTCCTGAGTTCCAGGAGCCGCCCCCTGTTCATCCTGCCTCCCACCTGCCCCTCCTCCCCTGTGGCTGCTCTGCCCTGGTCCTCTGAGCTCCAAGAGCTGCCCCCTACTCCTTCTGCCCCCCACCTGCCCCTGCTCACCTGTGGCTGCTCTGCCCTGGTCCCCTGAGCTCCAAGAGCTGCCCCCTGCTCCTCCTGCCCCCCCACCTGCCCCTGCTCACCTGCGGCGTCTCTGCCCTGGTCCCCTGAGCTCCAAGAGCTGCCCCCTGCTCCTCCTGCCCCCCCTCCCCTCTCCTGTTTGCCTGTGGCTGCTCTGCCCTGGTCCCCTGAGTTCCAGGAGCTGCCCCCTGCTCCTTCTACCCCCACCTGCCCTGCTCACCTGTGGCTGCTCGGTCCTGGTACCCTGAACTCCAATGCCTGCCCCCTGCTCACTCTGTCCTCCCTCAACCCGGGGCAGCAATGTCACTCAGGCCACTGTTGCCCCCCTGCCTGTCCTGGCACCCTCTGTCCAGGTTTGGGCTGTTTTTCTGGCCTCATTTTTGTTTTTGCAGCACTTGGCTTGTTCCCTATGCTGTGGAGCAGCCCCAGTGTCCAGTCAGGTCTCCCCAACAGAGCCCCTTGCCTATGTGCCCCTCCTGGATGAGCTCCCGGATCCTCCCGTCCCTGCACTGCTCCTGCTCTGGAAGCCTCTCCGGAACCTCAGCTCCTCAGTGGCCTCTGCTCTGCTGGGCCTCAGCCCCTCCCCTCGCCCCAGGCCTGCTGCACTCTGGGCCTTTCTGGGCCTCCCTGGACTCTTCCCTCCTCCCGCCCGTGCACTCAGCACAGCTCTCCCCTCCTCTCCGCTGCTGACCACAGCCCTGCTCCCCGCCAGCAGGTGCCCCAGCCCCATCAGCTGGCTCTGAGCCCAGCCCCTGTCCCTCCCCTGTCCCTGCCTCTGCCTCTGGGCTCCTTGGCTTCCACCCTTCTGTCCTGCTGCCACACTCACCCTCGCTGCTCTGCTCCCGGCTCACCTGCTGTCCTTGGTCCTGGCTGAGAGGAGGGCCCTACGGCCAGCTCTGCTGACCCTGCCCTGGGCTCTGGTGATGCTGCCGGCCTGGACAAGCCCCTCCGTTCACCTGGGGCCTCTCCTCCTCCCTCGCTCTGCTGCCTCCTGAGCTCAGGTCGGTCGTGCCCATCCTGGCATCACCCCACAGCCGGTTCTGCCGCATCCCGTCATGTTCCTCGTGCTCCCAGCCCGGTCGTCCTGGAGGCCTCAGTCAGCCTCTGGTGTGTCCTGCCCTGTTGGCTTGGAAGCCCCTGCCCACGGTCCCCGTCGTCTCGCACTGGGTGGGCATCAGTGCCTGAAGGCTGCCCACCTCCCCCGTGCTGGCTCCGCTTGGGCTTCCATGTGGGGCTGGCCTCGCGCCCGCGTCTCCCCAGCCTCTTGCAGCCTGTTCAGCAGCTCAGGTCTAGGAGCGCCGACGGCTGCGCCCAGGCTGTCCTCCTCCCGAGCCTGTGCCCCTGCCCTGTGCTGACCCCACTCACCGAGGTGGGGGTCTCAACCCTTCCTGTTCTGGCGAGGTACATGTGGGCGGCCCCGCCCCCGCCGTCAGCCGCTATTTGTCTTCCTAGGAAATCACAGCTCAGGTCCCAGGTCCCCAGGGGTGTGAACTCCACGCTGCAAAGACTAAGAACAGGATTGAAACCAGCGGCACCCCTTACTTCCTGAAGTTCCCTTTTCTTCTGGTGGTTTCTGTGTCAGAGGGCGAGGGGGAGTCCACACAGAGCCGAGGCTGCCTCATGGGTGTGTGGGGATGGGGGTGGTGGCTGCCCCCATACTCCCCCATACTCACGGGAGAAGGTGGGGAGCCCGGACCTTGTGTGCTGCTCTTTTCTCTGTCTCTGAGTCCCTGGGGCTGGACTGAGACTGGCAGCGATTATGACCATTCTGCCCATGGTCTCAGCCTCTCAATACCTGGGCCTCTCACCTGAAGCTTCTGGCCCCCCACTGGGCCCTGGTGGCTGCTTTGGCCTGGGCATCTCTCCAGCTGACTCTCACTCATGGTGGAGGGAGGGGAGTGTGAGTTCATCCCACTGAGCAGCTGGCAAAGGCGAGCTGGGATGGAGAAGGGAAGACGTTCCAAGGCTCAGGTCTGAGCTCACAGGCAGGGGCAGGTCTGGCTGCAGGGAGAACGTGTGCTTGAGACCAGGAGGGTCCCAGGGCTGGCCGAGTGGACCCTGCACAGGAAGGCCTCTGAGGCTGGTGCTCCAGAAGGAACAAGATGGGCTGCCAGGAACCAGGGCCACCAGCTGTGCTCCTGGGGGCCGAGGGGACTTGGGACAGGTGGATGAACACACTGAAGCTGAGTGGAGGTGGTGCAGGGCAGTGTAGCAGCAGAGGGGAGCCAGAGGGGCCCATTCAGGGCCTGGGCAGAGTTGGCCAGAGCCTATCGTGCAGGTGAGGGGAAGGGGTAAGGGGCAGGGCCCTGGGGCTGAGCAGAGGGGATAGCCTGGCTAGGGACAGGACACTTAACTTCCTCAGAGGTCAGGGGCACACCCGAGTTGCAGTGGGACTCCAGGGCCACTGGGCCAGCAGTAGAGAGAGAAATGGGGCCTCCCTGGGGCCTGGGGATGCTGGCATCATGCAGGGTGGGGAGGTCCAAGGGCAGGTGCTAGGCTCCTACCTGTGCTGGGGGAGCCTGGACTGAGCTCATCAGGGACCTTGCCAGGTGGAAACTCTGGAGAGAGAGAGGAGCTGGGCAAGGACGGATGTGGAGGTGGGAGGTAGCGGGGGACGAGATGCAGCCAGAGGGACTGGGCAGACCAAAAGCCCGAGGAGGTTTCGCACAGGAAGCATCCAGAGTGGAACAGGAAGCATGCAGAGTGGAACAGGAAATGTCCAGCATGGAACAGGAAGCATCCAGAATGGAACAGGGAGCATCCAGAGTGGAACAGGAAATGTCCAGCATGGAACAGGAAGCATCCAGCATGGAACAGGAAACATCAAGCGTGGAACAGGAAGCGTCCAGCGTGGAACAGGAAGCGTCCAGCGTGGAACAGGAAGTGTCCAGCGTGGACCAGGAAGCATCCAGAATGGGCACTTTGAAGGGAAATCATGTCCCTCCCACTAAATGTGCTCTCCACAAGGACCCGGCCCACCCTTGTGTCCCTGCTGGATCCCTGAGCTGACACCAGCCCTGCCCTCAGAGAGAATGTCCAGGAGACAGGTGGAGGTGCACGTGTGGGTCCCTGGGGAAATCCATCCTCCAGCCGCAGGCTCCCAGTCGGCTCCCAGCTTCTGGCTCCGGCTTCACCCCATGGAGCTCATAATGGGCTCAACCTCCCAGGCTGGGGGAGGATGCAGTGAGGGGCCCCGCACTGCCCATGGCACACCCAGGGGGCTGGGGAGTCTGCACTGGGCTGGGGCAGGGAGGCCTCGTGCAGCCTGTGGGGCTGGCAGCTCAGGACAACACTCGTATCCGTTAACTGTGGCCCTGGCAACACAGCACCCCAGACTGCGTGGCTTAAACAACAGACGTTTATTCCGTCCTGGTTCTGGAGGCCGGGCATCTGGGATGGAGGCCTCGGCGGGGCTGGCACCTCTGTGTCATGGGAGACTCTGTCCCAGGCTCTCTCCTTGCTGCTGGGCTTTGCCGGCCGTCTCTGCTGCTCTTGGCTTATGGAAGCAGCACCATCTTCACAGGGTGTTCTCCCCACGTGCTGTCTGTACCCAGATTCCCCCTTTTCATGAGGACAGCAGTCATATTGGATCAGAGGCTTGCCCTACTCCAGGGTGACCTCATCTGAACTTGATTGCAGTTGCAAAGACTGTTTCCAAACAAGGTCACATTCTGTGGTCCTGGGGGTTAGGACTTCAACACATGAATTTATAGGGGACACATTTTAACCCACAACAGTTTGCCCTCCGCTCCCCCCATAATCATGTCCTTCTCACATGCAAAATCCCTGCACCCCATAGCAACATCTCCAAGATGGCTAACCCCTTCCAGCACCAACTCTTAGTCCACAATCTCAGAGGAATATCACCTGCATCAAGTGTGGGAGAAACCACAGCAGGGGTGGCGAGCCTCCTGCCCCCTCTGGCCCAGGTGGGGCTGTGTGCACTGTGTGGGTGTGCCTGGGGATCCACTTGCCCCCCCATCTATCTGCTCATTTTCCCCAGGCTGTGGGCATTTGGGGCAGAGGCCTCAGTGCCTGGCCTGCTCTCTCCCGGTTCTATCCAATGCCTGTGCTGGGCTGGAGGGGCCGGGCAGGGTGGGCCCCCAGGAAGGAGGATGGGTCACCTGTTGCTCCCATAAGCCCAGGTCCAGTCCCAGCTGGGGATCCATCTCTGGCCTCTGCCAGCCTTGAAATCCCCCAGTCCTCTGTGTCTCCCTCCTGGGGCCCACCAGGCCTGCTCAGCTCTGAGTCCCATGTCCATTCTCACCCTGCTCTGAAAAATGATGTTTTTCATTTCAGAATCATACTTTCAGTTCTAGAATTTTCATTTGGTTCTTGTAAATATTTTCCGTCTCTTATAGAGATTCCCCATCTAGTCACTCATTATAATAGTATTTTCCTTTAAGTCTTTGAACATGTTTAACATAACTTCTTTAAAGTCCTTGTCTGATAACTGTATCTGCATCTAGGTCATCTTGGAGTTGATCTCCATTGATCCCTTTTTCTTCTGACTATGGATCACATTTTCATGTTTCTTTGCATCCATGGTAATTTTGGATGTGCACCTGATGTTGATAACATGCGTACAGGCTATGGGGTTTGCATTCTTTCTTAGCAGAGCATTAATTGTTTTTTTCAATGTTAGCAGTTAGCTTGAGTTGACTCAAACTCCCAAGTCTGTCTGCCTGGCAGTTGGCAGTAGCTGGAATCTCAGTTCTCTCGACTTACAGGTGTTGCTTTCTGCTGGGCCCTTTGGAGTTTTCCCTACCCATGCACACCTAAGGGATCGGCCAGAGGTTTCAGTGGAGTTTACTTGCAGATTGTGTGGTTTCCCTTCGGTGAGCTTCTCCTTTATGGACATCTTCTCTTCATTTCCAGCTGCTCTGAAAATGCAGCCCTGCATCCCACTCCTCACCAGGAGGGCTGCAGTTTCCTGCTTAAACTCTAGCTGCACCCATTACATGCACTGGGGTGTGACTTCAGACGAATATTTCACGGAATAATCCTTACTAGTGTTTGCCTACTTCTGGTCATGTTCCAGTGCCTGCAATTGGTGTGTGTGGGTGTTGTGTGTGCTTACAGTGTTTCCAGTGTTTATAATTGCCATCTGCCAAAGGGCTAGTCTGATATTAGCTGCTCTAGCATTACTGGAATCAGAACTACTTTCTCTCATGTGGTTTTTCATTTTCATTTCCCTGTTGACTAGTGTGGTTCAACACCTTTTCATATGTTTAGTGGCTATTTGGATATCTTCTGTAAAACATCTGTTCAATTCTCTTGCCTATTCCTCGTTGGATTATTTGATTTTTTTTCTCATTGGTTTACAGGGGTCTTCTTTATATTATGGATCTGTTTCTGTCAGTCAGTTATATATGTTTATAGGAAACATTGAGAAAAATTAGTAGGTGCCTTCCATGGAAAGCAAGGCATCGTCTTGTACACTCTTCCAGGTTATTTCATTCTGTGGAGCTCTGCATCTTTTATTTCCTTTGAACTATTTTACACCTCTATAAGCCAGGGGTCCCCAATCCCTGGGTCATGCACTGGAACCGGTTCATGGCCTGTTAGGAACTGGGCCACAGAGCAGGAGGTGAGGGGTGTGTGAGCATTCCTGCCCGAGCTCCACCTCCTGTCAGATCAGTGGCAGCATTAGATTCTCACAGGAGCGAACCCTATTGCGAGCCGCACATTCCCGGGATCTAAGTTGCACACTCCTTATGACACCCTAATGCCTAATGATCTGAGGTGGAACAGCTTTGTCCCCAAGCCATCCCCCGATCCTGGTCTGTGGAAAAATTGTCTTCCATGGAACTGGTTCCTGGTGCCAAAAATGTTGGGGACCACTGCTCTAAGTTGTACATAATTGATAGCAATGCAAAAGCTCTTTGAGTTGGTAGAAATTCAAGTTCTCATCTTTGGAAGGACAATGAATTGCTCCTCATCTTCCAGGGAAAAGGCCAGTTTTGCATCTATCTATGAACTCCTTTTAGCATTCCTGAATCAATTATGTAAGTGTAGTACTTAGAATTCCACTTTGAACTGGTTACGACACCTTAATTAATGAGATAAAGAGCATCTCTGAAATGTGTCGTCATATGGTTATGTGAGTCCTGATCATAACAGTTTTAGAAAATGATCTTTTAACTCGTTGTGATTTCTTCTCCCCCACGGCCCCACCCAGCCGCAGTATCCACGGAGCTTAGTTTTCTGTGGCCCAGGAGGGCAGGAGACCCGGTGTTGACGGGGAGATCTGAGATTGGCCCCAACTTTTCCCCACAGCTCTGCTTCAAGGAGTGCCCTGGGAAGGCCTCCCAACCCCACACCTGTCCTGTTGGCCAAGGCGAGCTCCATGCCATGTGGCATCTCTGCTGCTGGCCACCTGGCGAGTATCTGTTGAATAGAGAAATGTGCAGCATCTCCACAGAGCTTCCAGGGCTACTGTGCTCTCCAAACATCTCTGGGCTCCTGGCACCCTCTCAGGGTATGATGTGTTGGTGGCTGGGTTGGGCCCCTGTCCCTGAGGGTAGGACTCAGGCAAGGACAAAGCTCTGGACTCAAAGAGCTGGTGTGGGGGTGAGTGAAAGGAACAGGAGCTTTGGGGTCAGAAATGCGGGTTTCAGCCTGCATTGTCCCCATGAGCAGGGGCTGCAGACTCACCAAGACCTCAGTTTCTACCATGGTGAGAGAGTGTCAGAGACTGCAGCACGTATTTGAAAAGCGTCCAGGGACGGCAGGGGTCTGGGTTGGACCAGCTCTCCTGAATACTGAGGGTGTGATCTTGACCATTGTGAAAGGAAAATAAAATCTCAGGACCCTAAAGTCACTATGCCAAAAAGAACAGTTGAGGTGGGAAGCTGAGTCATGAAAAAAAAAAAAAAAGTCATGCGTTTCCTTTTGTTTCCAAACTGAGAGCAGCAGCAGATAGGCCAGGTCTACCCAGGTGGCCTCCCTCACCCTGACAATATAAATTAACAGCCCGGTCTTCATGACATGGGACAAAATGAGACAAGAAATCATCCCTCCTGCCCCTGAGACGAATGCATATTTGACTTCTTCCTCTACTCTGTTTATTTGCTTATAAAGTGCAGATTTACTGAGCACAAGGCAAATGTGTAATTGCTCCCTCCACCCCTCCTTTTCATGCAACGTGGGGGCTCAGTGAGATGTAATCAAAGCCTCAGAAGAATGTGACCCTCCCCTCTTGCTTTTTTCTCTTTCATCTTTACCCTCCTCCAGCTTTTCCCCTTTTCAATATTGAAGCAGGACGTAGTGTGACTGCATCTGGGGTCAGGTGTGGGGTGGTCCACGTGGACAGTGAGGAACGTGGTCCCTGCCCGTGGTGGTCCGGGTTTCCTGGGAGATGGCCAGACTTGGGTGCTGAGGGGAAGAGGCCGGTGCAGTCACTGGACGGGAGAGAGCATGTCCATTGTGCTGAGTGGGCTGGGAGGGATCCACAGAGAAGACGGTGTGGCTCAATAGCTAGCACCGGGGACGAGTACGTGGGTGACGGGCCTGGCACATGGACTAGCTCAAGGCGTGAGGTTGTGACCTGCCCAGGGAGCCTATGCCTGAGTGTGCTGGGTGGGTGCTGGGTTCGCAAGCATTTGTGTGCCTGTGAGGCCCGTGTGTGTATGTGTGTGTCACGTGTCCCCCATGCGTGGCAGGCATCGTCGCGTGGCCCCCATGTGTGGCAGGCATCGTCGCGTGGCCCCCATGTGTGGCAGGCATCGTTGCGTGGCCCCCATGTGTGGCAGGCATTGTCGCGTGGCCCCCGTTCGTGGCAGGCATGTGCAGCCTGAGTACCATGCCAGATGGGGTGTTCTGTCTTCTCCAGGCCTGGCCCTGCCGTGTGAGCAGGGAGCTTCCCCATGGGACTGATGTTCTGTCTCCTCCAGGCCTGGCTCTGTCCTGCCATGTTAGCAGTGACCTTGGCCATGGGAGTGGTGGGCACAGGCGTGGCTGTGCCAGGCTTTGCTGGCTGGGCTTGGTGGGGGCACCATACCCCTTGCTGAGTGTGGGTAGCAGAGGGTTCGAGGTGCCCTCTGGGAGGTGGTCGGGCAGAGGCAGGGTTGGGAGCGTGTGGGGAGATGGGTGTTCAGCTAGGCTCCTTCCCTGTGGAGGGGCTCAGCTGAAACCTGGGCTCTCAGTCCCCTCACACCTGCCTCCCCAGCATCCTCCCTCTGCCCCTCTCTTCAGCCTGCCTTGGGCCTTGCTCTGAGACCGCTGCTGAGAGGACCGGAGGAGCTTCAGCAGCACCCTGTGCTGGGCGGACGCCGAGGTCACAGCCTCGCTCTGTCTCCTCACAAGGCCACGTGGTGGCAGGTCCTTCCTCCTGTCTAACCAGAGTCCTGCTTGCTGCTCTGCAAGCCCACTTGGGTCACGTGGGGCAGGGGCACCTGGAAGGGTGGGCTTCGTGGACTCAAGGGCCACCAATTCCTCCAGGTCAACATGCTCAGATGGTTCCATTCTCCCCCTTCCCTTGGCCACAGAGACCTCTGTATCCTGGGGTGACCACAAATGTCACAACACAAGAGTCACACCAGAAATGTCACACCATGTCACACTGTGGGGAAAAGAAAGATCAGACTGTTACTGTGCCTATGTAGAAAAGGAACACATAAGAAACTCCATTTTGATCTGTACAAAGAAAAATTGTTCTGCTTTGAGATGCTGTTAACCTGTAACTTTAGCCCCAACCCTGTGCTCACAGAAACATGTGCTGCATGGAATCAAGGTTTAATCACACCCCATCACACCAGGGATGTCCCACACCATCACACCACATCACATCATGTCACACCACCCACATCACACTATGTCACAGCCTGTTACATCACATCACACCAGGGACGTCACACCCTGTCCCATCACATCACATCATGTCACACCATTCCACATCATTTCATATTATACCTCATCAAGCCAGGGATGTCATACCCATCACACTACGTCACACCAAATCACACCAGGGATGTTACATCTGTCGCATCACATCACACTATGTCCAACACCACCTCACACCAGGGACATCACACCATGTCACACCACATCCCACCATGTCACACCACATCACACCAGGGATGTCACACTGTGATAGGACATCACACCATGTCACACGATGTCATGTTACATCACAGCATGGGCTGCTGGGGGGTGTGCAGGGGCAGCCTTGCTGGAGAGTTGAGGGAGGGTCCTGGGGCTGGGCATGGTGTTCCCGCAGGAGGGCTGACCCTCTGGAGGATGCTCGGTCCCAGGTAGAAAGTGGGAGGTGGGCCCCGGGTGGCTCAGGGAGGGGCCCAATTTCCCCAGGGGAACCTGGTCCAGGCGCCAGGCCCTGCAGGGGGCAGCAGCTGCAGGAAGCATCTGCTTCTTCCCAACTCAGCCTGCTCAGTGCACGGAATGACCCGGAGCCCGGCACCGTCCTGGGTTTCCTTTCCTTATCCTGGCCAGGCCGTCCATCCTCAGACAGTGGACTGGAGCCCACCCCACCAGAGCACCTGGAGGCCCGTAGGGCCCCTTGAAGGGCAGAGGGTGGAGATCTCTCCAGCAGGGTCCCTGAGGGCTGGCACCTTCTCTGGACAAAGCTCTCCTGCATCTCTGGGACGCCATCCTTGGGCTTGGGATAGAGCCGGTGATGCAGCAGCTGCCCGCCCTGCACCCCAGGTGCTCTCTCCCTCACCCCCCGCGGGGCTGCAGCAGCGTGTCCTGAGAGTTAAAGGGCTGGGCTTCAGCACCCAGTTCAGGCCAGGCCCCCTGGAGCGCACCCTCCAGTGGCGAGCCTTCCCACGGCATGGCAGGGCCTGGAGTCTGGGGATTTAGTCCCCAACTCTGTGTTTGGTGAAGCTCCAGCTGCTCGATGCCACACAAACGAATCCAACCACTCCTCCTTCCTGGGTGAGATGGTCTCTCTCCTGCCACAGGCAACTCCGACGGCATTTCGCAGCCACCGCAGCCACCGCAGCCACTGCAGTAACAAGACCCTGTCCTTGACTGAGTTCCAGCCAGGCTCCTCGGAGCCTCTCCACTCGGCCTCAACCTTGGCTTGTAAAGACTTGAGCAGACACTAACAGTTTCTAACAGCTTCTGGCCGTACCCCTAGGCCGACCCCTGCCCCGTCAACACCTGCCTGAGAAAGCTCCGTGCACCAGAACTCACCGTTTGGACCAACCCCGACCTCCCTTTCTCAGGGTATCTGCTGAGAGGGCCGCAACCACACGACCTTCTATCCGTTCCCGATGTCTGTGCATTTCCTGTGACCCAGGAGGGTCTTTCTCGGGACCTGAGAGCCACTCCCTGAAGTGTCCCCATTGGGAAGGATGGGGCCTGTGTCTCCAGGCTCTGGGAGGACAGAATCCTGACCTCAACAGTGGCCGGCACAGACACAGCGGGTCCCATCCCGGGGACGCTGACCAGCGCTGGGCAACTTTTCCCTTCCCCGACGACTGAGCCCCGAGCACCCTCCCTGCTCCCCCTACCACCTCCCTTTACAAGGCTGTGGCCTCTGCACAGATGAAGGTGAGTCCAGGTCATGCCGGACTCTTTCTTCTGTTGCAATAGTTATTTCTGTTGAAAATCCGTCCTTGCTACATGACCTAGTGCCCAGGGGGATGCTGAGACAGGATGAATGTGTTTTGCATGTGAGAAGAACATGAATTTTGGGGGCCAGAGTCTGGACTGTGATGGGTTAAATCGTGGCCCCTACAAATTCATATATTCAAGTCTTAATCCCTGGCCTCACAATGTGACTATTTGGAGATGGGGTCTTTACAGAGGTCATTAAGTTCATAGGGGGTCACTAATCTAATCCGATGTGTGTTCTTATAAGAAGAGAAGCTTAGGACACGGGCACACAGAGGGATGGCCATGTGAGGACCAGGGAGGAGACGGTGTCTACAAGCCAAGGAGAGAGGGCTTGAGAGAAACCAGCCCTGCCTGCATCCTGATCTCAGATTCCTGGTCTCTAGGCCTGGGAGGATCCATGTCTGCTGTGGGAGCCGCCCCGCTGTGGTCCTGAGCTGACTCACACAGATCTGACACCCACCTCTCGCTTCGGACCATGGTTGGTTCTGGAAGGCCCTCCCTGTGGCTCTGCCTGGGCAGCCTGAGCCAGCTCCCAGCCTCGACCCAGCTTTCCCTGGAGGCCCTGTCCCCCGCAGAGTGACCAGGGCAGGCAGCACCGTGCCCAGCAGGAGGAGAAACTGCATCCATGTAGAAAAGAGGAGAAACCCCGGGGGTCCATGTAGCGACAGGGGCCAGGGAGGGTCGCTCGGGCAATGCGTGTGGCTGCAGGAGGCGGGGGGCGTATGCAGGGAGCCCCCGAGGTGCAGCTGGACCAGCCTCCTCCTGACCGTGCTTCCCACCGGGGGCAGGAGGCGCGTGGACACAGGAAGGCGGCTCCCATCACGAAGTACAAGACTTAAAAAGGATATTTTATTGTCATCACAAAAGAAACATCAAAGACAATTAATGAGCTTTAGAAAATTTAAAAGAAGAAGAAAAGCTACCAAAGCTGAAATGGTGGCACCTCCTTCGAGTGAGCCCGGGAGTCCTCCCTGACAGCTGAGGCAGGCGCTGGCCGCACTCCCGCTCGAGTCTCCCTGTCTGCGGATTCTGCGTGACAGTCACGGAACGGCGTGATGGGGGCAGCAGAGCGTGGGGGCCTCTGTCCAGCACTCGTGGCCAGCAGCCCCGCTTTCACAAGAACACGGGCACCCTCTTTGTCGTCTTGCCTCTCCACCTGGTGCCCCCAGAGTGGCTGCTTGTTCCTGCTGCACGTGACCCGGGGCTGGACGCCAGCCTCTGTGATGAGTTCTGGCTGTGTCCACGCTCCTGGCTCTCCCGGTGTCCCTCCACCTCTCTCCCCGATGCTCCTGGGCCTCCTCTGTCCTCAGGCCCCACCAAGGCTGAGTCTTGCCCGCCTGGGACCTGGTCACCAGCCTTCTCTGGGAGGCCTGTCTGGGCAGATGCCCAGCCCTTCCTTGGGCTATCCTCACCCTTGCACCGTGGGGCTCCTGCAGCGGCCACATGGCCCAGGCTCTTCTCCGAGTGATCTCGGTGGACTGGAGTGGGTGGTAGGTGGCAGTGTCCTGGGCCTGGCCCCTTCTCTCCCCAGTGCGGACTCTGGGGCTGGCTGTCCCTGCGGGTCGAGTTCCACCCGAGAATCCAGCAGTGTGGGCAGGCAGCCAAGGGGTGGTGCTGGCACTGAGACTGTTCCCAGGAGCCAGAGAGCAGCGTTCTTTGCTTGAAATCAGAACAACCTCATTCCTCATGTCAGGAGTTCACGGGAGTGCCTGGAATGGAGGCTGGCTGGCTGCGGGCTGGGAGGAAGGCCGTCTGAGTGAGCCTTCGCAGCTCTCGGAAGCCTCCCCAACAGGGCCTGATGGTGCTGTGACTTCCCTACCTTGGCGACTGATGCTCCCACTCACCATCTGGAAACCACGCCTGTGTTCAGGAGGCTGGCGTGGACAGGGTTGGCTCCAGGGCGAGGTCCTGCCTGAGTGGGGGCCTGGGATGCTGGTCACTACCTCCTTTTGTGTGAGCACCTGGCGGGCCGGAGGGCAGGGACGTCCTGCTGAGGGGACACTTGGCCCCCAGCGCCCTGCATGCACCAAGCAGCGGAGGTCTGGGGTAGACCTGCTATGCACAGGGTCTGGAAGGGGGGCGTGTCAGGGTCAGAGGGCGACTGCGAGGCCAGAGAGCCATGGGGTTGAGGGCGGTGAGGTCGGGGGCAGGTGTGGCCTGGGTGATGGCTGAGCATGGCCCACGGCTCCTGTGTGGGGTCTGGGCGGCCCTGGACACCCCACAGAGGGTGGCCCTAGGCCCCCTGCCTGATCATGTTCCTGTAGTCGGGGACGATGGTCTGCTTCAGGTCCACCACTGAGGAGAAGATCCACTTCACCTGTAGGCAAGGCACAGCACAGGGGTGAGCGAGGCCACAGCCCTGCCCCCAAGGCCCGCCCACCCCTCAGGCCACCCAGGTGCCACGGCCTCACCACTGCCTGCTCTGAGGCTTGAACTTGGAGAACAGAGCCAGGTCACCAACAGTATGTGGACAGCACAGACGACAGCATCAGGGACAGGTGGGGACAGTGTGGGGGACAGTGTCAGGGACAGGTGGAGACAGTGGGGGAGAGTGTTGGGGACAGGTGAGGACAGCATGGAGGAAAGTGTGAGGGACAGGGGACAGCATGGGGACAGTGACAGGGAGAGGTGGGGACAGTGTGGAGGACAGCATCAGGGACAGGTGGGGACAGCATGGGGGAGAGTGTCAGGGACAGGTGGAGAGAGTGTGGGGGAGAGTGTTGGGGACAGGTGAGGACAGCTTGGAGGAAAGTGTTGGGACAGGTGGGGGCAGCATGGGCGACAGTGACAGGGAGAGGTGGGGACAGTGTGGAGGACAGTGTCGGGGATAGGGGACAGGAGGAAACTGTGGGGGACATTGTTGGGGATGGGGGGATAGCGTGGGGGACAGTGTTGGGCACAGGTCAAGACAGCGCGGAGGAGAGTGTCCGGGACAGGTGGGGACAGCATGGGGGACAGTGTCAGGGACATGTGGGGACAGCATGGGGACAGTGTGTGACAGCATGGGGGACAATGTCAAGGACAGCTGGGGACAACGTGCGGCCAACCTTGAAGAAGGTGATGGTGGCACTGTAGCACACGCTTAGCAGGAAGAGTGTGATGAAGATGGTGATGGTGGTCCACAGCCCGTCCAGCTCCCCGTCCTGCGCCTCCGCACAGCTCTCCTCCAGTTGCAGCTCTGGACAGGAAGTGGGTGGTCAATACTGTGTCCTGCTGGGCTCGGGCCTCTGGGGGTGATTCCCTCTGTGGCAGGACCCAGGATGTAGGGCCCGGCCGGGATGGGCCAACAGTGTCCTGAGGTCAGCTCCCCACAGCTGCCTGCCCTGGGCACCAGCTTTGGCCCCGGGACTCAGCCAGACACCCAGCCCTAGATAGCGACCTGGCCCTCAGCAGGACCCGCTCCCCATCTCCTGTGTCCCTCCCTGAGGCCCAGAGGGCAGGAGGATGGTGAAGCCCACACCTCATGTGACCTCAGCTGCAGGGAAGGGCGGCATTGGGAAGTGGGCCAGTGCCAGGGACGCGACGTGGCGTGTGTTCCCCTGTGTGTGGGGGCCTGTGTGTGTGTGGCGGCTGCAGGGGCACCTTGTGAGAGGAGGGCTGGGTTTGTCTGAGCAGGTCAGCATGTGGAGAAGCTGCCGAGCGGCTCGTGGGCCTTGAGGTGCCGCGTGGGGCTCGTGGGGGCCTGTGTCTGAGGAGTGTTCACGTGTGCGAGGACCTTGCTCTGGTCTGGGTGCTGTGCGGTTCGCCCGGGTGAGGCTCCGTGTGTGAGGCGTGCACGTGTGTGTGTGGTGGCCGTGTGGCCGGCCAACCTCAGCGCGGGGTTTGTTGAACGGGTCTGGGCTGAGTGTGTGTGTGGGCATCTGGACCAGTCCCTCCACAGGGCCCGAGAGTGCATGTCCCCGGAGTCGGTTGTGTCCCCATGCGGGTGCGAGGCTGGGCAGGGCAGCCAGGGGTTAGTGCCGTGGGGGTAGATGGGTGAGGGAGGGCCTGTCCCTACGCACATGGACTAGGCATGCCCCCGAGTGGGCATGGAGGTCGGAGGACAGGGCGCTCACAGGACAGGACAGTCTCCTACAGAGGCAGGGGCTGTGTGTCTGTCCCCAGGGGCTCCTAGGGCTTCCCGTGGCCCAGCCCAGGGCAGCTGCTGCTGGAGGGAGGGCCACGCTGGCAAATCCCCCACCCTGCCGAGGGCAGCCCCTGGCTGAGCCCCACCCTAGGCGGCCCAGGCACACCTGCACAGCCTGGGCCAGTGTGGGGACAGTGGAACCCGCTCTGCCTCCCTCATGCCACTCAGGCCTCAGACTCGGCCTGACCCACGGAAAGAACCATCACAGTCTCGCAGGGGCCCAGGGCAGCGCTGGGTGCTTTATTTCCATGCTGGGTGCCCGGGAAGTATGTAGACGGGGTACGTGCCAAGCATCCTCGCGCGACCCCGAGAGCCTGGGGAGCGGGGGCTTGCCGGCCGTGGCACTCATTTACCCGGAGACAGGGAGAGGCTCTTCTGTGTGTAGTGGTTGTGCAGAGCCTCATGCATCACGGAGCATGAGAAGACGTTCCCCTGCTGCCACCTGCTCTTGTCCACGGTGAGCTTGCTGTAGAGGAAGAAGGAGCCGTCGGAGTCCAGCATGGGAGGTGTGGTCTTGTAGTTGTTCTCCGGCTGCCCATTGCTCTCCCACTCCACGGAGATGTCGCTGGGGTAGAAGCCTTTGACCAGGCAGGTCAGGCTGACCTGGTTCTTGGTCATCTCCTCCCGGGATGGGGGCAGGGTGTACACCTGTGGTTCTCGGGGCTGCCCTGTAGGGACAGAGGTTGGCACAGCGGTCACTCCCAGGGCAGAGGGTGGGCCGAGCCGGCCTCTGTCCATGTGGCCCTCATACCCCGCGGGTCCCACCTTTGGTTTTGGAGATGGTTTTCTCGATGGGGGCTGGGAGGCCTTTGTTGGAGACCTTGCACTTGTACTCCTTGCCGTTCAGCCAGTCCTGGTGCACGACGGTGAGGACGCTGACCACACGGAACGTGCTGTTGAACTGCTCCTCCCGTGGCTTTGTCTTGGCATTATGCACCTCCACGCCGTCCACGTACCAGTTGAACTGGACCTCGGGGTCTTCGTGGCTCACGTCCACCACCACGCACGTGACCTCAGGGGTCCGGGAGATCATGAGGGTGTCCTTGGGTTTTGGGGGGAAGAGGAAGACTGACGGTCCTGCCACAGGTGGTGCTGAGGAAGAGATGGAGGTGGACGTGTCAGCACCCAGCTGGGGTCTGTCCCTGGATGCAGGCTACTCTAGGGCACCTGTCCCGCCTTGAGCTGGAGGGCGAGGCCTGGGCTGGCTTACCTGGGCACGGTGGGCACTCGACACAACATTTGCGCTCTGCAGAGAGAAGATTGGGAGTTACTCGGATCTGGGAGGAGAGAAGGTGTCCGAGCTGAGGGAGTGGACAGTTTGGCCTTTGGGGTCGGCTTAGGTCAGGGGCAGGGTCCTCCCGGATATGGCTTTTGGCAGGTCTGAGCCAAGCACCTGCCCCTGTGTGTGAAGGGCCTGGGGTAGGGGCACCCAGCCTGTGCCTGCCTGGAGCCTGGTGGAAAAAGCCAGAAGACCCTCTCCCTGAGCATGAGTGGGGCGGGCAGAGGCCTCCGGGTGAGGAGACAGATGGGGCCTGCCTTGCTGCCCTGGGCTGGGGCTGCACAGCCGGGGTGCGTCCAGGCAGGAGGGCTGAGCCTGGCTTCCAGCAGACACCCTCCCTCCCTGAGCTGGCCTCTCACCAACTGTCTTGTCCACCTTGGTGTTGCTGGGCTTGTGATCTACGTTGCAGGTGTAGGTCTGGGTGCCGAAGTTGCTGGAGGGCACGGTCACCACGCTGCTGAGGGAGTAGAGTCCTGAGGACTGTAGGACAGCCGGGAAGGTGTGCACGCCGCTGGTCAGAGCGCCTGAGTTCCACGACACCGTCACCGGTTCGGGGAAGTAGTCCTTGACCAGGCAGCCCAGGGCCGCTGTGCTCTCGGAGGTGCTCCTGGAGCAGGGCGCCAGGGGGAAGACCGATGGGCCCTTGGTGGAGGCTGCAAGAGAGGTGGTGCCATGTGACCGCGGTGTGGGACAGAGCTGGGCCCAGGGCGCAGAGGCCCCTCGGTTCTTGTCTATCTGCGAGGGTCCAGGCAGGGTCCAGTGTCTGGGCTCACGGGCATTGGGTGTGCACCTGGCTGGCGCCACCTGCGTCACCTTAGCCCCCTCCCTGCCCCAAAGCCAAAGTCAGGCCCGGCCTGCCCCAGAAAGCTTGCAGGACCGGTGGCCCTGTGGTGCCCTTCTGCAGGCACCCCTGCAGCCTAGGAGGCGGGGCTCGGCAGCCAGGTCAGCGCTCTGTGCCTGCCGGGAGTCAGCACAGTCCAGGGCCTCTAGCTTGGCCTCAGCTCTGGCCATCGGTGCCACCTCAGGGACGGCTCATGCCCATTGGCCCCACTCCAGCCTTTTATGGGTGCCTGGCTTGACCAGTGGACACTGTTCTCAGATGGCTTCTCGTGGGTCCCCCGAGTCCCCTGAAGCTCCTGACCCTGCCGCCCCAGCGTGGCCCTCCGCTAGTGAGTGGGCCTGACTTGCCCAGGGCCCTGGTCATAGCCTGCCCTCTGCCCTCCAAGGCCCTTTTCTTCTGTGCAGCAGAGGGGCCAGACACTGCATAGGGTCGGCGCCCTTCAGCCCCAGGGCCCCGGAACCCCCTGCCTTGGAATAGCCTCCTGGAGCCTCCTCCTCAGCCTCTCCCCTCCTTTCCCCTTAGCCCCAGTGTGCAGCAGCCCAGGTCAGGGCCCTGAGTGCCTGGATGCCCCCTGCCTCCCAGTGTCCTGCATTACTTCTGGAGGCTCAGTCACCACAACCTCACCCTCCCAGCCCTGGCCTGGCCTTCTCGGCCACCAGCCCACCTCCTCCCTCTCTCCAGAGCTTCCCCCGGCAAGGTCCCTGCTGGGCTCAACCCAGGCCCCCCAGCACAGGTAGGAGCCTTGCACCTGCCCTTGGCCCTCCCCACCCTGCGTGGTGCCAGGACCCCCAGGCCACAGGGAGGCCCCATTTCTCTCTGCCGCTGGCCCAGTGGCCCTGGAGTCCCACTGCAGGTGGGGTGTGCCCCTGACCTCTGAGGAGGCTAAGTGCCCTGCCCTCAGCCAGGCCATCCCCTCTGCTCAGCCCCAGGGCCCCGCTCACCACCCCTTCCCCTCACCTGCACCACAGGCTCTGGCTGACTCTGCCCAGGCCCTGAATGGGCCCCTCTGGCAGCCCTCTGCTGCTACACTGCCCTGCACCACCTCCACTCAGCTTCATTGTGCTGGTGGCCCTGGCTCCTGGCAGCCCATCTTGCTCCTTCTGGGGCGCCAGCCTCAGAGGCCTTCCTGCCTAGGGTCCGCTGGGGCCAGCCCTGGGACCCTCCTGGTCTCAAGCACACATTCCCCCTGCAGCCACACCTGCCCCTGCCTGAGAGCTCAGCCCCGAGCCCTGGAATGCCTTCCCTTCTCCATCCCAGCTCACCCTTGCCAACTGCTCAGTGGGATGGGCTCACACTCCCTTCCTGGCACCAGGAGGCTGCACTGCACTTTCACCAGCCCTCAGCTGTCTGCTGCCAGCAACTACCCAGCTCCTGCCAAAATCTAGGAGCTGAGTGATGCCTCCCACCGGCCCTGCTCACCTGTGGTTGCCTTGCCCTGAGCTCTAGTGCCTGTCCCCTGCTCGTCCTGCCTCCCACCGGCCCTGCTCACCTGTGGCTGCTCTGCTCTGATTCCCTGAGGCTAAGCCTCAGTCCTGCTCACCTTCTGATGCTCTCCTCTGTCCCCTGAGCTCCAGGGGCTGTCCCCTGCTCGTCCTGCCTCCTACCTGCCCCTGCTTACCTGAGGGTGCTCTGCCCTGGTGCTCTGAGCTCCAGGGGCTGTCCCCTGCTCCTCCTGCTTCCTACCAGCCCCTGCTCACCTGTGGCTGCTCTGCCCTGGTCCCCTGAGCTCCAGGGGCTTCCCCCTGCTCTTCCTGCCCCCACCAGCCCCTGTTCACCTTCAGATGCCCTCCCCTGGTCCCCTGAAGTCCCAGAGCTGCCCCCTGTTCCTCCTGCCTCCCACCAGCCCGTGCTCACCTGCCGCTGCTCTGCCCTGGTCCCGAGTTCCAGGGGCTGCACCCTGTTCGCCCACCTCCCACTAGCCATGCTCAGCTCTTGATGCTCTGTCCTGGTCCCCTGAGCTCCAGGAGCTGTCCCCTACTCGTCCTGCCACCCACCAGCCCCTGCTCACCTGAGGCACCTGAGGCTGCTCTGCCCTGGTCCCCTGAGCTCCAGGGTCTTCCCCCTGCTCATCCTGCCTCCCACCTGCCCTTGTTCACCTTCAGTTGCTCTGCCCTGGTCTGCTGAGCTCCAGGAGGTGCCCCCTGCTCCTTCTGCCCCCACCTGCCCTGCTCACCTGTGGCTGCTCGGTCCTGGTACCCTGAACTCCAATGCCTGCCCCCTGCTCACTCTGCCCTCCCTCAACCCGGGCAGCAATGTCACTCAGGTCACTGTTGCCCCCCTGCCTGTCCTGGCACCCTCTGTCCAGGTTTGGGCTGTTTTTCTGGCCTCATTTTTGTTTTTGCAGCACTTGGCTTGTTCCCTATGCTGTGGAGCAGCCCCAGTGTCCAGTCAGGTCTCCCCAACAGAGCCCCTTGCCCTTGCCCATGTGCCCCTCCTGGGTGAGCTCCCAGATCCTCCCGTCCCTGCACTGCTCCTGCTCTGGAAGCCTCTCCAGAACCTCAGCTCCTCAGTGGCCTCTGCTCTGCTGGGTCAGCTCCCTGAACGCACGGAGCCTCACCCCTCCCCTCGCCCCAGGCCTGCTGCACTCTGGGCCTTTCTGGGCCTCCCTGGACTCTTCCCTCCTCCCATCTGTGCACTCAGCACAGCTCTCCCCTCCACTCCGCTGCTGACCACAGCCCTGCTCCCCGCCAGCAGGTGCCCCAGCGCCATCAGGTGGCTCTGAGCCTAGCCCCTGTGCCTCCCCTGTCCCTGCCTCTGCCTCTGGGCTCCTTGGCTTCCACCCTCCTGTCCTGCTGCCACACTCACCCTCCCTGCTCTGCTCCCGGCTCACCTGCTGTCCTTGGTCCTGGCTGAGAGAGGGCCCCACGGCCAGCACTGCTGACCCTGCCCTGGGCTCCAGTGATGCTGCTGGCCTGGACAAGCCCCTCCGTTCACCTGGGGCCTCTCCTCCTCCCTCGTTCTACTGCCTCCTCAGCTCAGGTGGGTCCTGCCCATGCTGGCATCACCCCACGGCCGGCTCTGCCGCATCCCGTCAGGTTCCTCGTGCTCCCAGCCTGGTCGTCATGGAGGCCTCAGTCAGCCTCTGGTGTGTCCTGCCCTGTTGGCTTGGAAGCCCCTGCCCACGGTCCCCGTCATCTTGCACTGGGTGGGCGTTGGTGCCTGAAGGCTGCCCACCTCCCCCGTGCTGGCTCCGCTTGGGTCTCCATGTGGGGCTGGCCTTGCCCCCACGTCTCCCCAGCCTCTTGTAGCCTGTTCAGCAGCTGAGGTCCAGGAGCGCCCACGGCTGCACCCAGGCTCTGTCCTTCTCCTCCCGAGCCTGTGCCCTTGCCCTGTGCTGACCCTACTCACCGAGGTGGGGGTCTCAGCCCTTCCTGTTTTGGCGCGGTACATGTGGGCAGACTTGCCCACGCCGTCAGCTGCTATTTGTCTTCCTAGGAAATCACAGCTCGGCCCTCAGGTCCCCAGGGGTGTGAACTCCACGCTGCAAAGACTAAGAACAGGATTGAAACCGGCGGCACCGCTTACTTCCTGAAGTTCCCTTTTCTTCTGGTGGTTTCTGTGTCACAGGGTAAGGGGGAGTCCAGACACAGCCGAGGCTGCCTCATGGGTGTGTGGGGATGGGGGTGGTGGCTGCCCCCATACTCGTGGGAGAAGGTGGGGAGCCCGGACCTTGTTCACTGCTCTTTTCTCTGTCTCTGAGTCCCTGGGGCTGGACTGATACTGGCAGTGATTATGACCATTCTGCCCGTGGTCTCAGCCTCTCAATACCTGGGCCTCTCACCTGAAGCTTCTGACCCCCACTGGGCCCTGGTGGCTGCTTTGGCCTGGGCGTCTCTCCAGCTGGCTCTCACTCATGGTGCAGGGAGGGGAGTGTGAGTTCATCCCGCTGAGCAGCTGGCAAAGGCGAGCTGGGATGGAGAAGGGAAGGCGTTCCAAGGCTCAGGTCTGAGCTCACAGGCAGGGGCAGGTCTGGCTGCAGGGAGAATGTGTGTGCTTGAGACCAGGAGGGTCCCAGGGCTGGCCGAGTGGACCCTGCACAGGAAGGCTTCTGAGGCTGGTGCTCCAGAAGGAACAAGATGGGCTGCCAGGAGCCAGGGCCACCAGCTGTGCTCCTGGGGGCCGAGGGGACGTGGGACAGGTGGATGAACACACTGAAGCTGAGTGGAGGTGGTGCAGGGCAGTGTAGCAGCAGAGGGGAGCCAGAGGGGCCCATTCAGAGCCTGGGCAGAGTTGGCCAGAGCCTGTGGTGCAGGTGAGGGGAAGGGGTAGGGGGCAGGGCCCTGGGGCTGAGCAGAGGGGATGGCCTCTGCTTAGCTTAGGGCACTTAGCTTCCTCAGAGGCGAGGGGCACACCCGAGTTGCAGTGGCACTCCAGGGCCACTGGACTACAAGCAGAGAGAGAAATGGGGCCTCCCTGGGGCCTGGGGGATGCTGGCATCATGCAGGGTGGGGAGGTCCAAGGGCAGGTGCAAGTCTCCTACCTGTGCTGGGGGAGCCTGGACTGAGATCAGGAGGGACCTTGCCAGGCCGAAGCTCTAGAGAGAGGGAGGAGCTGAGGAAGGACGAACGTGGAAGTGGGAGGTAAGGGGGGATGGTATGAGGCCAGAGGGACTGGGCAGACCAAAAGCCCGAGGAGGTGTCGCACAGGAAGTGTCCAGAATGGAATAGGAAGTGTCCGGAATGGAAAAGGAAGCATCCAGCATGGAACAGGAAGCATCCAGAGTGGAACAAGAAAGGTCCAGCATGGAAAAGGAAGCATCCAGAGTGGAATGGGAAGCGTCCAGAGTGGAACAGGAAGCATCCAGAATGTAACAGGAAGCATCCAGAGTGGAACAGGAAATGTCCAGCATGGAACAGGAAGCATCAAGAATGTAACAGGAAGCATCCAGAGTGGAACAGGAAATGTCCAGCATGGAACAGGAAGCATCCAGAATGTAACAGGAAGCATCCAGAGTGGAACAGGAAATGTCCAGCATGGAACAGGAAGCATCCAGAATGTAACAGGAAGCATCCAGAGTGGAACAGGAAATGTCCAGCATGGAACAGGAAGCATCAAGAATGTAACAGGAAGCATCCAGAGTGGAACAGGAAATGTCCAGCATGGAACAGGAAGCATCCAGAATGTAACAGGAAGCATCCAGCATGGAACAGGAAGCATCCAGAGTGGAACAAGAAACGTCCAGCATGGAACAGGAAGCATCCAGCATGTAACAGGAAGCATCCAGAGTGGAACAAGAAACGTCCAGCATGGAACAGGAAGCATCCAGCATGGAACAGGAAGCATCCAGCATGGAACAGGAAGCATCCAGAGTGGAACAAGAAATGTCCAGCATGGAACAGGAAGCATCCAGAGTGGAATGGGAAGCGTCCAGCGTGGAACAGGAAGCATCCAGAGTGGAACAAGAAACGTCCAGCGTGGAACAGGAAGCGTCCAGCATGGAACGGGAAGCATCCAGAATGTAACAGGAAGCATCCAGCATGGAACAGGAAGCGTCCAGCCTGGAGCAGGAAGCGTCCAGTGTGGAGCAGGAAGTGTCCAGCGCGGAACAGGAAGTGTCCAGCGTGGAAAAGGAAGCATCCAGCGTGGAACAGGAAGCATCCAGAGTGGAACAAGAAACGTCCAGCGTGGAACAGGAAGCGTCCAGCATGGAACGGGAAGCATCCAGAATGTAACGGGAAGCATCCAGCATGGAACAGGAAGCGTCCAGCGTGGAGCAGGAAGCGTCCAGTGTGGAACAGGAAGCATCCAGAGTGGAACAGGAAGCATGCAGAGTGGAACAGGAAATGTCCAGCATGGAACAGGAAGCATCCAGCATGGAACAGGAAGCATCCAGCATGGAACAGGGAGCATCCAGAGTGGAACAGGAAATGTCCAGCATGGAACAGGAAGCATCCAGGATGGAACAGGAAGCATCCAGTGTGGAACAGGAAGCATCCAGAGTGTAACAGGAAACATCCAGCGTGGAACAGGAAGCATCCAGCGTGGAACAGGAAGCATCCAGCGTGGAAGAGGAAGCGTCCAGCATGGAACGGGAAGCGTCCAGAATGGGCACTTTGAAGGGAAATCATGTCCCTCCCACTAAATGTGCTCTCCACAAGGACCCGGCCTGCCCTTGTGACCCTGCTGGATCCCTGAGCTGGCACCAGCCCTGCCCTCAGAGAGAATGTCCAGGAGACAGGTGGAGGTGCACGTGTGGGTCCCTGGGGAAATCCATCCTCCAGCCGCAGGCTCCCAGTCGGCTCCCAGCCTCTCGTTCCAGCTTCACCCCATGGAGCTCATAATGGGCTCAACCTCCCAGGCTGGGGGAGGACGGAGTGAGGGGCCCCCCACTGCCCATGGCACACCCAGGGGGCTGGGGAGTCTGCACTGGGCTGGGGCAGGGAGGCCTCGTGCAGCCTGTGGGGCTGGCAGCTCAGGACAACACTCGTATCCGTTAACTGTGGCCCTGGCAACACTGCACCCCAGACTGCGTGGCTTAAACAACAGACGTTTATTCCGTCCTGGTTCTGGAGGCCGGGCATCTGGGATGGAGGCCTCGGTGGGGCTGGCTCCTCTGTGTCATGGGAGACTCTGTCCCAGGCTCTCTCCTTGCTGCTGGGCTTTGCCGGCCGTCTCTGGTGCTCTTGGCTTATGGAAGCAGCACCATCTTCACAGGGCGTTCTCCCCACGTGCTGTCTGTGCCCAGATTCCCCCTTTTCATGAGGACAGCAGTCATATTGGATCAGAGGCTTGCCCTACTCCAGGGTGACCTCATCTGAACTTGATTGCAGCTGCAAAGACTGTTTCCAGACAAGGTCACATTCTGCGGTCCTGGGGGTTAGGACTTCAACACATGAATTTATAGGGGACACATTTTAACCCATGACAGTTTGCCCTCCGTTCCCCCCATAATCATGTCCTTCTCACACGCAAAATCCCTGCATCCCATAGCAACATCTCCAAGATGGCTAACCCCTTCCAGCACCAACTCTTAGTCCACAATGTCAGAGAAACATCATCTGCATCAAGTGTGAGAGAAACCCAGGGTGAGATTAGGAGAGAAACCACAGCGGGGTGGCGAGCCTCCTGCCCCCTCCGGCCCAGGTGAGGCCGTGTGCACTGTGTGGGTGTGCCTGGGGCTCCACTTGCCCCTCCCATGTACCTGCTCATTTTCCCCAGGCTGTGGGCATTTGGGGCAGGGGCCTCAGTGCCTGGTCGGCTCTCTCCCGGTTCTATCCAATGCCCCAAGCTTGCTGGGCTGGAGGGGCCGGGCAGCGTGGGCCCCCAGGAAGGAGGATGGCTTCCCAGCTGGGGCTCCATCTCTGGCCTCTGCCAGCCTTGAGATCTCCGGTCATCTGTGTCTCCCTCCTGGGGCCCAGCAGGCCTGCTCAGCTCTGAGCCCCATGTCCGTTCTCACCCTGCTCTGCTTTTCCTTGGGGTGCTGGCCCTGCCCTGGCCTCCACAAATGGCCCCTGCCCCCACCCCTTCCTGTCTGAGGGGCTGGGCTGTTCCTCTCCTGCCCGGCGTGTGCCCACCTAGGCCCAATAGGCATAGTGCCCCCAGCCCCTCCTGCCCTCTTCTGGCCTTCACGCCCAGCCATGCCGGCAGCCCGCCTCAGTGGCCTGGGCCTTCACCAGCTCCTGGCTCTGTGTCCAGCTGCCACTCCTGTGGCCCTACGGTGCTGCCCCTTTCCCTCAGTGATGGGGGCTGGGCTTCCTGGGAACGGGCTGTGTCTCAGCTGCACACACCTGTGTGTGTCAGTGTGCGCATGGGAGTGCGTGTGTGTGCTGGGGGTGTGTGCAGGAATGCTTGTGTCTGGGGGCAGGGGGAGCATCTGCCTTCCTGCCCCAGGCCTGGAATGGCCGTGCCAGGGTGGGTGGGAGCAGTGCGTGCGAGGACAGTGCTGCTTTGACGTCTGCGTGTGGCTGGTGTGGGCGGGAGGACGTGGTGTGGCACGAGTCTCGGGCTCCCCATCTCCATCCAGCTGATCCCGGATGGCTGCGCTCCTGAGGGTTTAGAGCAGCCCAGGGGGTCAGGAGGCTGTTGGGACGCTGGAGGCAAGCGCTGGCAGGGATGGGGGTGGGCTGGCCAGGCAGCGTGGCCAGGGGGCTTCGAGCCGGGGCAGTGAACCATCCCCCAACTTTTTAAAGTTTTAAAAGTCATATTTACTCAAGTGTAGTTTACATTCAGTATAATCCATCCTGTGACATGTAAGTTTCAACAAATGCACAGTCATGCAACCACCACCGTAATCCAGATGAACAGTTGCAAGAAGATGTAGAATCTCTCCAAAAATTCCACCAGGCCCCTTTGCAATCAACGCCTCCCTGATGGCTAGGAATCCATTGATCTGCATTCTGTCAGAAGACTCAGAGTTCATCATTAAAATGATCTATTATGGAAAATATTATAAGCATACAAAACACAAAACCAAGTTTTAAAAAGTGAGGTATTTCTTAAAAGTTTAGTATACAAACAAAATGAAGGTACCTTCACATTTTACTACAGATGTGCAGATAGTTTTCTTGGTGCACAGAGATAAGGCAGAATTAAGTCAGAATAAACGTTCTAAAACTGACCTCCGGAAGAACTAGTCTTAGTCATTTCTTTGCAGAGTATGTGAACCAAGATTCGGGTTTGGTCTTTGGTGTTAGCACTGTGTCAAGGATCAGATAGAAAGTACAAATGGAGGGGCCCCTTTCTGAGGCCAGGCCCCACTGTCGGGGCATGTGGGGTGACCAAAGGCCAATACCAGCTGAGGCTAAGAGGCTGCTCTCAGAAAGGTAGGTTTGCAGGTGTCTCTTGAACCCTTTGTTCAGAACCGGGACGTGTGGCTGGGCAGCAGCCTTCAGAATCCCCACAGGCTGGTGCCCGGTGCCCACAGCCCTCTCGGGTTGTCAGGACCCTGCACCCGTGGTGGGGTGCTGGGCTCCAGAGTTCCCTGGGACCAGCTGATCTCTTGTCCTTGGTTTTGGCCCAAATGCAAGCCCCTGGTCTCCTCCAAGTAACTTCCTTTCCCCAGGGCTGTCCAGGCCCCACCGCTGCCTGTTCCTTCCCAGGGCCTCCCGCAAGTCCCGATGCTGACGCCTCTCTGCCCACCTAGTTTGTGGCCGCCGCCTCCAGCTCTGTGTCTGCCTCCCAGCGAGGGAGCCGTGGTTGATGATCTCGTGAGTGTCTGCCCTTCTGAAGGTACAGTGTGAAGTCTCATCAGTCTCACTTCAATGCCTAAGCACCTCTTCAGAAACCAGGGATTCATCCAGGTTTCTCCATCTTTAACCATGTTTTCTAAAAGTTTTCTTGGCAATTTCCTGGCAATTTGCAAGACAGGATTTTTTGGTTGCCAACTTCCAATTAGCTTTAAACTTGCCACGATCTCCCAGGTCATCCCGTCCATCGATGATGCTTATTACATTCTTCCTGATTTCCATGTGGCCAAATTCAATAGTTATTTACCCCAGGCTTGTATTTTGGAGGCTAAAGAACTCTGTTACCAGCTATATCCGTGCTGTGGCTGCCGTAACAAAATATCACAAATGTGGCTTAAAACAACAAAAATTTTTTCAGAGTTCTGGGAGTCAGGAATCTGAGATCAAGGTGTTGGTGGCTGTCTCTGAGTGCTCCAGGGGAGGACCGTCCACCTCTTCCAGCTTCCTGTGGTGCAATAGTTTGGATGTGTGTCTCTCCAAATTTCATGTTGAGATGTGATTCCCAGTGTTGGAGGTGGGCCTGGTGGGAGGTGATTAGATCATGGGGCTGGACCCCTCATGAATGGCCTAGCACCATCTCCCAGGTGATGAGTGAGTTCTCCCTCAGTTAGTCCCTGTGACAGCTGGTTGTTTAAAAGTCTAGGACGTGCCACTTCTCTTCTCTTGCTCCCTCTTGCCATGTGACATGCCTGCTCCCCCTTCGCCTTCTGCCGTGATTGCAATCTCCCTGAGGCCTCGCCAGAAGCAGATGCCAGGGCCGTGTTTCCGGAATGGCTGCAGAACTGTGAGCTAGTTAATCCTCCCTTCCTTGCCACAGTGCCTGGTGCAAACCTCTTTTCTTTATAAATTACCAGATTCATGTTTTTTTTTTTTTTCTAGTAACACAAATAGACTAACTCAGAACATTGGTATTGAGGAGTGGAACATTGCTATAAGGATACCTGAAAATGTGGAAGCAGCTTTGGAATCAGGTAACAGGCAGAGAGGTTAGAAGAATTTGGAGGACTCAGAAGAAGACAGGAAGATGAGGGAAAGTTTGGAATTTCTTAGAGACTATTAAATGGTTGTCACCAAAATGCTGATAGACATATGGACTGTGAAAGCCAGGCTGATGAAATCTCAGATGGAAATGAGAAACTTATTGGGAACTGGTGTAAAGGTCACGCTTGTTAAATCCTAAGAAACAACTTGGCTGCATTGTGTTCATGCCCTAGGGATCTGTGGAAGGTTGACCTTAAGAGTGATGACTTAGGGCATCTGTGGAAGACATTTCTAAGCAGATGTTTCTAAGGTGTGACCTGGTTGCTTCTAACAGTCTATGGTAAGATATGGGAGCAAAGAAATGACTTAAAGTTGGAACTTATATTTAAAAGGTGTAAACGACAAAATAAAATGCTAATCCAAGGGGATTCCAAAGAAACCTGGAAAACCAGTTCAGGCCATGACAGGAAGGGGAGGGTGGTTTGGACTCCCTCACTATACCCTCTCCCTGTTGGAGCTTAGGCTCAGCTGACCAGTGTTAACATTAAAACAGGGAGCTTAAGACTGACAAAGCAGACTCTTTGTAGCAATAAGATATCAAATCCCAACCTGATTCTGGTATAGCATCACATGACAGGTGGCAGGCATGGAAGGAAATTAAAGTATTTTATGCCAGAATATATTTCTCTGACACATTTTGGAAGGGCCCTGCAAAGCCGTCTCTTGTGGAGGAAATGTATATTCTGTTGAGAATCTTTTTCCCTTTCCAGGTCTCTTCCTGATTCAGGAGAGATTTATCCAAGAGTCTGGCACCTTTTAGGTTCTGATAAGAGACATTGACCATCTCTTCTCTCTGGAACGTGGAGGCTTCATCTACATAACAAGAAACTTGGCTTCCACAACCCCCTTATCTTAAGCATTGCTTTTTGCTGACTTCAACTTTTTAGATAATTTAACTTTTTCAGCCAATTGCCAATCAGAAAATCTTCAAATCCACCTATGATTTGGAATTCCCCACTTTGAATTGTCCTGCTTTTCCAAACCAAACCAAACCAATGTATACTTTACATGTATTGATTGATATGTCTCCCTAAAACATAAAAGCAGGCCGCAACCCAACCACCTTGCACAGGTGTTCTCAGGACCTTTTGAGGCTGTGCCACAGTTCATGGCTCTCACATGTGGCTCAGAATCAATCTCGTCAAGTGTTTTATGGAGTTTGGCTTTTTTCATCAACAAAGGGAAGCAGAGCATAAAAAATGTGGAAAATTCACAGCCTGGCCATGTGGTAGAAAAGAAAAGGTATTTTCAGGAGACAAATATAAGTAGGCTATGGAGCAGCCAGTTGCTAGAGAGATTAGCATAACTAAAAGGGAGCTAAGTGCTCATATCCAGAACAAAGGGAAAAAGGCCTTGAAGGCCTTTCGGAAATCTCTGAGGTGGTCTTTCCCATAACAGGCCCAGAGGCCAAGAGGGAAAGGATGGTTTTGTGGGCCATGCCCATGGCCACTGCTGCCTGTGCAGCCTTGGGACACTGCTCTCCACATCCTGGTTCCTCTGGCTCCAGCCTTGGCTCAAAGGGCCCCAAGTACAGCTTAGGCTGCTTCTTTGGAGAGTGCAAGCCACTATAAGCCTTGGGAACTTCCATCTGGTGTTAAGCCTGTAGGCCCCCAGAATGCAAGAGTGAAGGAGGCTTGGCATCTTCACTCTAGATTTCAGAAATGTATGAGAAACCCTAGGTGCCCAGAGAGAAGCCTCCTGCCAGCATGGAGCCCTCACAGAGAACCTCTACTAGAGCAGTGCCAAAGAGAATGTGGGGTTGAACCCCCATATAATGTCCCCACCAGGGCACTGCCTAGTGGAGCTGTGGGAAGGGGGCCACTGTCCTCCAGACCCCAGAATGGTAGATCCACTGGCAGTTTGCACCCTGAATCTGGAAAAGCCACAGGCACTCAACTCTATCGTGTGAGAGAAGCCACAGGGGCTACATCCTCCAAAGCCACAGGGGTAGAGTTGTCCAAGGCTTTGGGAGCCCACCCCCTGCACCAGTGTGCCCTGGATATGGGACATGAAGTCAAAGGAGATTACCTTGGAGCTTTAAGATTTAATAACTGCCCTGCTGGATTTCTGACGTGTATGGGGCATGTAGATCCTTTCTTTTTGCCAACTTCTCCCTTGTGGAATGGGAATGTTTACCCAATGTCTGCACTCTCATTGTATTTTGGGAGTCAATTTGTCTTTGATTTCCTAGGCTGATAGGTGGAAGGGACTCATCTTCAGATGAGACTTGGGACTTGGGAATTTTTTGTTGATTCTGGAATGAGGTAAGACTTTGGGGGACTGTTGAGAAGGCATGATTGTATTTTGCAACATGAGAAGGACATGAGATTTGGGGGACCAGGGGTGGAAGGATATGGTTTATATATTTGTCCCCTCCAAATCTCATGTTGTAATATGATTCCCAGTGTTGGAAGTGGGGCCACTAGGAGGTGATTAGATCAAGGGGGCAGATCCCTCATGAATGATTGAGCATCTTCCCCTTGGTGATGAGTGAATTCTCCCCCAGTCAGCTCACACACAGTCTAGTTGTTTAAGTCTGGGCCCCCCCTCAGCCTCTTGCTCCCATTCTTGCCATGTGGCATACCTGCTCTCCCTTCACCTTCTGCTATGATTGTAAGTTTCCTGAGGTCCTCGCCAGAAGCAGATGCTGATGCCATGCTTCCTATAAAGCCTGCAGAACTGTGAGCTAATTCAATCTCTTTCCTTTATAAGTTACCCAGCCTCATGTATTTCTTTACAGTAATGCAAAGGGACAAACACAGGTGGCTCCTGACACACCCCTCATCTTCTCCTTTGTCATCATCTGGCTACTTCCATGTGTGTCTGTGTCCTCTCCTCTCATGAGGACACCAGTCTTTGGATTTGGGACCCATCGAAAATTTAGTATGATATCATCTCAAGTCCTTAAACTAATTTGTAAAGACCCTATTTCTAAATATGGTCACATTCTGAGGTTCCAGGTGGGCATACATTTGGCCAGGGAGATGCCATCAACCCAGCACACCAGCCTACGCAGGTACATTTGCATATAGCTTAGGGTTGACCTTTCCCATGGAAGTATTACATCCCCCTCTGGACTCCAGTTTCACATGTTTTAGAATGCTTCGCCTTGTCCAGCAGGATGAGTCTCTTTTCATTTTTAGTATTTTTCTCTCTCTTCTTTGCATTAGATTAAAAATAATTGACATAGTCTATTGATGCATCTTTAAGTTTTCAGTTCCTTCTCATGTCTGCTCCATTCTGTTATGAAACTTGAGTAATGTTTTTCTATTTCTTTTCTTTTTTAATAAAATAGAGATGGGATTTCTCCATGTTGCCCAGGCTGGTCTCAAACTCCTGGGATCAAGTGATCCTTCCTTCTTGGCCTCCCAAAGTGCTAGGATAACAGGCATGGGCCACTGTGCCTGGCCAAATGATGTTTTTCATTTCAGAATCATACTTTTAGTTCTAGAATTTTCATTTGGTTCTTGTTAATATTTTCCCTTTCTTACAGAGATTCCCCATCTAGTCACTCATTATAACCATATTGTCCTTTAAGTCTTTGAACATATTTAACATGACTTCTTTAAAGTCCTTGTGTGAAAACTGGGTCTGCATCTAGGTCATCTTGGAGTTGATCTCCATTGATCCCTTTTTCTTCTGACTATGGATCACATTTTCATGTTTCTTTGCATATATGGTAATTTTGGATGTGCACCTGATGTTGTTGATAACATGTGGTACAGGCTATGGGTTTTGCGTTCTTCCTTGGCAGGGCATTGATTGTTTTTTTCAATGTTAGGAAACAGCTTGAGTTGACTCAAACTCCCAAGTCTGTCTGCCTGGCAGTTGGCAGTAGCTGGAATCTCAGTTCTCTCGACCTTACAGGTGCTGCTTTCTGCTGGGCCCTTTGGAGTTTTCCCTACCCATGCACACCTAAGGGATCGGCCAGAGGTTTCAGTGGAGTTTACTTGCAGATTGTGGGGTTTCCCTTTGGTGACCTTCTCCTTTATGGACATCTTCTCTTCATTTCCAGCTGCTCTGAAAATGCAGCCCTGCATCCCACTCCTCACCAGGAGGGCTGCAGTTTCCTGCTTGAACTCTAGCTGCACCCATTACATGCCCTGGGGTGTGACTTCAGACCAATATTTCCGGGAATAATCCTTACTAGTGTTTGCCTACTTCTGGTCATGTTCCAGTGCCTGCAATTGGTGTGTGTGGGTGTTGTGTGTGCTTACAGCTTTTCCAGTGTTTATAATTGCCATCTGCCAAAGGGCTAGTCTGATATTAGCTGCTCCAGCATTACTGGAATCAGAACTACTTTCTCTCATGTGGTTTTTCATTTTCATTTCCCTGTTGACTAGTGTGGTTCAACACCTTTTCATATGTTTAGCGGCTATTTGGATATCTTCTGTAAAACATCTGTTCAATTCTTTTGCCTATTCCTTGTTGAATTATTTGATTTTTTTTCTCGTTGGTTTACAGGGGTCTTCTTTATATTATGGATCTGTTTGTGTCAGTCAGTTATATATGTTTATAGGAAACATTGAGAAAAACAAAAGATTAGTAGGTGCCTTCCATGGAAAGCAAGGCATCGTCTTGTACCCTCTTCCAGGTTATTTCATTCTATTGAGCTCTGCATCTTTTATTTCCTTTGACCTATTTTACACCTCTATAAGCCAGGGGTTCCCTTCATCACACCATATCACACTATGTCACACCAGGGATGTCACACCACATCACACTATGTAACTCCTCATCACACTGGGGATGTCGTACCAGGTCACACCCCATCATGCCACATCACACTGTGTCACACCGCATCACATCACACCAAGTATGTGACACCCTGACACAGCACATCAGACATCACATCATGTCACACCACACTTCATCACACCCCACCCCACCAGAGTTGTCACACCCCATCACACCACATCACATTACGTCACGCCATGTCAAACTACATCATACCCCATTACCCCAGGGATGTTATGCCACATCACATTATGTCACACCACAATACACCACATCAAATTGTGTCACACCACATCACACCCCATCACACCAGGGATGTTATGCCACATCACCTTATGTCATGCCACATCACACCACATCACACCCCATCACACCGTGGATGTCACCCGTCATCACACCACTTCACATAATGCCACACAACATCACACCCCATCACACCAGGGGCGTCACGCCCCATCAGAACACGTCACATTATGCCAAACCACATCACATCATGTCACACCACACCACACCACACTATGTCACAGCCTGTTACACTTCATCACACCACATCACACTAGGGATGTCACACCTTGTCCCATTACATCACATCATGTCACACCATTCCACATCAAACCATATTATGCCCCATCATACCAGGGATGTCATACCATATAATACTATGTCACACTGCATCACACCAGGGATGTAACACCACATCACACCATGTCCAACCTTGTAGCCCAACACCACATCACAGAAGGGACATTACACCATGTCATACCACATCACACCATGCAACTCCTCATCACATGAGGGAGGTCGAACCCTGTCACACCCCATCATGCCACATCACACCATGTCACACTGCATTACATCACACCAACGATGTGACACTCTGTCACACCACATCACACATGTCACACCAGAGATGTCACACTCCATCACATCACATCACATCACACCCGTTAAATGATATCATACCCCATCACACCAGGGATGTCACACCGCATCACATCAGGTCATATCACATCACACTACGTCACACCACATCACACCAGGGGTGTCACACTCTGTCACAGGATGTCCCACCATGTCACACCATACCACATCACACCATATCATATCCTATCATACTAGGGATGTCATGCCCCATCCCACTATGTCACACCACATCACACCATGTCCAACCATGTCACATCACATCACACCACATCACACCATGTCACACCAGGGATGTCACACTCTGTCATACCACATCACACCATGTCCTGTCACATCACACATTACACCCTGGCACACCATGGATATCACACCACATCACACCATGTCATGTTACATCACAGCATGGACTGCTAGGGGGTGCGTGGAGGCAGCCTTGCTGGAGAGTTGAGGGAGGGTCCTGGGGCTGGGCGTGGTGTTCCTGCAGGAGGACTGGCCCTCTGGAGGATGCTCGGTTCCAGGTGGAAAGGGGGAGGTGGGGCCTGGGTGCTTCAGGGAGGGGCCATCCTTGGGCTTGGGATAGAGCCGGTGATGCAGCTGCTGCCCGCCCTGCACCCCAGGTGCTCTCTCCCTCACCCCCCGCGGGGCTGCAGCAGCGTGTCCTGAGAGTTAAAGGGCTGGGCTTCAGCACCCAGTTCAGGCCAGGCACCCTGAAGCCCACCCTCCAGCGGCGAGCCCTCCCACGGCACAGCAGGGTCCGGGCTCTGGGGATTTCACCCCCAACTCTGGTGCAGCTCCAGCTGCTCGATGCCACACAAACGAATCCAACCACTCCTCCTTCCTGGGTGAGATGGTCTCTCTCCTGCCACAGGCAACTCCGACGGCATTTTCCAGCCACCGCAGCCACCGCAGCCACTGCAGTAACAAGACCCTGTCCTTGACTGAGTTCCAGCCAGGCTCCTCGGAGCCTCTCCACTCGGCCTCAACCTTGGCTTGTAAAGACTTGAGCAGACACTAACAGTTTCTAACAGCTTCTGGCCGTACCCCTAGGCCGACCCCTGCCCCGTCAACACCTGCCTGAGAAAGCTCCGTGCACCAGAACTCACCGTTTGGACCAACCCCGACCTCCCTTTCTCAGGGTATCTGCTGAGAGGGCCGCAACCACACGACCTTCTATCCGTTCCCGATGTCTGTGCATTTCCTGTGACCCAGGAGGGTCTTTCTCAAGACTTGAGAGCCGCTCCCTGAAGTGTCCCCATTGGGAAGGATGGGGCCTGTGTCTCCAGGCTCTGGGAGGACAGAATCCTGACCTCAACAGTGGCCGGCACGGACACAGCGGGTCCCATCCCGGGGACGCTGACCAGCGCTGGGCAACTTTTCCCTTCCCCGAAGACTGAGCCCCGAGCACCCTCCCTGCTCCCCCTACCACCTCCCTTTACAAGGCTGTGGCCTCTGCACAGATGAAGGTGAGTCCAGGTCATGCCGGACTCTTTCTTCTGTTGCAATAGTTATTTCTGTTGAAAATCTGTCCTTGCTACATGACCTAGTGCCCAGGGGGATGCTGAGACAGGATGAATGTATTCTGCATGTGAGAAGAACATGAATTTTGGGGCCCAGAGTCTGGACTGTGATGGGTTAAATTGTGGCCCCTACAAATTCATATATTCAAGTCTTAATCCCTGGCCTCACAATGTGACTATTTGGAGATGGGGTCTTTACAGAGGTCATTAAGTTCATAGGGGGTCACTAATCTAATCCGATGTGTGTTCTAAGAAGAGAAGCTTAGGACACGGGCACACAGAGGGATGGCCACGTGAGGACCAGGGAGGAGACGGTGTCTACAAGCCAAGGAGAGAGGGCTTGAGAGAAACCAGCCCTGCCTGCATCCTGATCTCAGATTCCTGGTCTCTAGGCCTGGGAGGATCCATGTCTGCCGTGGGAGCCGCCCCGCTGTGGTCCTGAGCTGACTCACACAGATCTGACACCCACCTCTCGCTTCGGACCATGGTTGGTTCTGGAAGGCCCTCCCTGTGGCTCTGCCTGGCCAGCCTGAGCCAGCTCCCAGCCTCGACCCAGCTTTCCCTGGAGGCCCTGTCCCCCGCAGAGTGACCAGGGCAGGCAGCACCGTGCCCAGCAGGAGGAGAAACTGCATCCATGTAGAAAAGAGGAGAAGCCCCGGGGGTCCATGTAGCGACAGGGGCCAGGGAGGGTCGCTCGGGCAATGCGTGTGGCTGCAGGAGGCGGGGGGCGTGTGCAGGGAGCCCCCGAGGTGCAGCTGGACCAGCCTCCTCCTGACCGTGTTTCCCACCGGGGGCAGGAGGCACGTGGACACAGGAAGGCGGCTCCCATCACGAAGTACAAGACTTAAAAAGGATATTTTATTGTCATCACAAAAGAAACATCAAAGACAATTAATGAACTTTAGAAAATTTAAAAGAAGAAAAGCTACCAAAGCTGAAATGGTGGCACCTCCTTCGAGTGAGCCCGGGAGTCCTCCCTGACGGCTGAGGCAGGCGCTGGCCGCACTCCCGCTCGAGTCTCCCTTCCTGTCTGCGGATTCTGCGTGACAGTCACGGAACGGCGTGATGGGGGCAGCAGAGCGTGGGGGCCTCTGTCCAGCACTCGTGGCCAGCAGCCCTGCTTTCGCAAGAACACGGGCACCCTCTTTGGCGTCTTGCCTCTCCACCTGGTGCCCCCAGAGTGGCTGCTTGTTCCTGCTGCACGTGACCCGGGACTGGACGCCAGCCTCTGTGATGAGTTCTGGCTGTGTCCACGCTCCTGGCTCTCCCGGTGTCCCTCCACCTCTCTCCCCGATGCTCCTGGGCCTCCTCTGTCCTCAGGCCCCACCAAGGCTGAGTCTTGCCCGCCTGGGACCTGGTCACCAGCCTTCTCTGGGAGGCCTGTCTGGGCAGATGCCCAGCCCTTCCTTGGGCTATCCTCACCCTTGCACTGTGGGGCTCCTGCAGCGGCCACATGGCCCAGGCTCTTCTCTGAGTGATCTCGGTGGACTGGAGTGGGTGGGAGGTGGCAGTGTCCTGGGCCTGGCCCCTTCTCTCCCCAGTGCGGACTCTGGGGCTGGCTGTCCCTGCGGGTCGAGTTCCACCCGAGAATCCAGCAGTGTGGGCAGGCAGCCAAGGGGTGGTGCTGGCACCGAGACTGTTCTCAGGAGCCAGAGAGCAGCGTTCTTTGCTTGAAATCAGAACAACCTCATTCCTCATGTCAGGAGTTCACGGGAGTGCCCGGAATGGAGGCTGGCTGGCTGCGGGCTGGGAGGAAGGCCGTCTGAGTGAGCCTTCGCAGCTCTTGGAAGCCTCCCCAACAGGGCCTGATGGTGCTGTGGCTTCCCTACCTTGGCGGCTGATTTTCCCACTCACCAACTGGAAACCACGCCTGTGTTCAGGAGGCTGGTGTGGACGGGGTTGGCTCCAGGGCGAGGTCCTGCCTGGGTGGGGGCCTGGGATGCCGGTCACTGACTCCTTTTGTGTGAGCACCTGGTGGTCTGGAGGGCAGGGACGTCCTGCTGAGGGGACACCTGGCCCCCAGCGCCCTGCATGCATCAAGCAGCGGAGGTCTGGGGTAGACCTGCTATGCACAGGGTCTGGAAGGGGGGCGTGTCAGGGGTCAGAAGGTGACTTCGAGGCCAGAGAGCCATGGGGTTCAGGGCGGTGAGGTCGGGGGCAGGTGTGGCCTGGGTGGTGGCTGAGCATGGCCCACGGCTCGTGTGTGGGGTCTGGGCGGCCCTGGACACCCCGCAGAGGGTGGCCCTAGGCCCCCTGCCCGATCATGTTCCTGTAGTCGGGGACGATGGTCTGCTTCAGGTCCACCACCGAGGAGAAGATCCACTTCACCTGTAGGCAAGGCACAGCACAGGGGTGAGCGAGGCCACAGCCCTGTCCCCGAGCCCCACCCACCCCTCAGGGCACTGAGGGCCACATCTCTTCCCCCAAGGTCCACCCACCCCTCATGCCACCCAGGCCACAGCCCTGCCCCTGAGGCCCATCCGCCCTTCAGTCCACCCAGGTGCCAGGGCCTCACCACTGCCTGCTCTGAGGCCTGGACATGGAGAGCAGAGCCAGGGCACCAACAGCATGTGGGCAGTACAGAAGACAGCGTCAGGGACAGGTGGAGACAGTGTGGGGGATAGTGTTGGGGACAGGTGGGGACAGAGTGGGGGACAGTGTCAGGGACAGGAGGAGACAGAGTGGTGGACAGTGTTGGGGACAGGAGGAAACAGTGTGGGGGACATTTTTGGGGACAGGAGGGGACAGTGTGGGGGACAGTGTTGGGGACAGGTGGGGAAAGCATGGTGTACAGTGTTGGGGACTGGTGGGGACAGCGTGGGGGAAAGTGTTGGGGACAGGAGGGGACAGCGTGGGGGACAGTGTTAGGGAGAGGTGGGAACAGTGTAGGGGACAGTGTCAGGGGGAGGTGGGGACAGCGTGGGGGACAGTGTCAGGGAAAGGTGGGGACAGTGTGGGGGACAGTGTCAGGGAGAGGGGACAGTGTGGGGGACAGCGTCAGGGAGAGGTGGGGACAGCATGGGGGACAGTGTCAGGGAGAGGTGCGGACAGCATGGACAGTGTCGGGACAGGTGGGGACAGTGTGAGGACATTGTTGGGACAGGTGGGGACAGTGTGGGGGACAGTGTCGGGGACAGGTGGGAACAGCGTGGGGGACAGTGTCAGGGACAGGTGGGGACAGCATTGGGGAGAGTGTCAGGGACAGATGGGGACAGTGTGGGGGACAGCATCAGGGACAGGTGGGGACAGCATGGGGGACAGTGTCAAGGACAGGTGGGGACAGCATGGGGTACAGTGTCGGAGATGGGTGGGGACAGCATGAGAGACAGTGTCGGGGACAGTGTCAGGGACAGGTGGGGACAGCATGTGGGACAGTGGGACAGGTGGGGACAGCATGGGGGACAGTGTCAGGGACAGGAGGAGACAGCATGGGGGACAGTGTTGCATACAGGAGGGGAAAGCATGGGGACAGTGTCAGGGACTGTAGGGGACAGAGTGGGGGACAGTGTCAGAGACAGGAGGAGACAGCATGGGGACAGTGTTGGGGACAGGAGGGGACAGCGTGGGGGACAGTGTCGGGGACAGGTGGGGACAGTATGGGGGACAGTGTCGGGGACAGGTGGTGACAGCGTGGGGGACAGTGTCAGGGACAGGAGGAGACAGGAGAAGACAGCATGGGGGACAGTGTGAGGTACAGGAGGAAACTGTGGGGGACATTGTTGGGGACAGGAGGGGACAGCGTGGGGGACAGTGTCAGGGATAGGAGGAGACGAGAAGACAGTGTAGGGGACAGTGTCGGGACAGGAGGGGACAGGAGGAAACAGCATGGGGGACATTCAGGGACAGGAGGGGACTGTGGGGGACAGTGTTGGGGACAGGTGGGGATAGCATGGGGTACAGTGTTGGGGACTGGTGGGGACAGTGTGGGGAATAGTGTCCGGGACAGGTGGGGATAGTGTGGGGGACAGCGTCAGGGACAGGTGGGGATAGTGTGGGGGACAGCGTCAGGGACAGGTGGGGATAGTGTGGGGGACACTGTCAGTGACAGTTTGTGACAGCACAGGGGACAGTGTCAGGGACAGGGAACGTGTGGGGGACAGTGTCAGGGACAGTTTGTGACAGTGTGGGGGACAGTGTCAGGGACAGGTGGGTGCAGCATTGGGGATAGTGTCAGGCACATGTGGAGACAGTCTGGGGGACACTGTTGGACAGGTGGGTACAGCGTTGGGGAGTGTCAGGGACAGGTGGCGACAGCGTTGGGGATAGTGTCAGGGACATGTGGAGACAGTCTGGGGGACACTGTTGGACAGGTGGGTACAGAGTGAGGGACAGTTTGTGAGAGCGTGGGGGACAGCGTCAGGGACAGGTGGGGACAGCCTGGGGACAGTGTCAGGGACAGTGTGTGACAGCATGGGGGCAATGTCAAGGACAGCTGGGGACAACGTGCGGCCGACCTTGAAGAAGGTGACGGTGGCACTGTAGCACACGCTTAGCAGGAAGAGTGTGATGAAGATGGTGATGGTCGTCCACAGCCCGTCCAGCTCCCCGTCCTGCGCCTCCGCACAGCTCTCCTCCAGTTGCAGCTCTGGACAGGAAGGGGGTGGTCAGTGCTGTGTCCCCCTGGGCTTGGGCCTCTGGGGGTGATTCCCTCTGTGGCGGGGCCTAGGATGTAGGGCCCGGCCTCGATGGCCCAACAGTGTCCTGAGGTCAGCTCCCGGAAGCTGTCCATCCTGGGCACCGGCTTTGGCCCTGGGGCTCAGCCAGACACCCGGCCCTAAATAGCGACCTGGCCCTCAGCAGGACCCGCTCCCCGTCTCCCGTGTCCCTCCCTGAGCCCCAGAGGGCAGGAGATATGAAGCCCACCCCTCATGTGACCCCAGGAGCAGGGAAGGGCTGTATTGGGAAGTGGGCCAGGGCCAGGGACGTGACGTGGTGTGTGATCCCCTGTGTGTGTGTGGCGGCTGCAGGGGCACTTTGTGAGAGGAGGACTGGGTTTGTCTGAGCTGGTCAGCAAGTGGAGAAGCTGCCGAGAGGCTCGTGGGCCTTGAGGTGCCGCATGGGGCTTGTAGGGGCCTGTGTCCGAGGAGTGTTCACGTGTGCGAGGACCTTGCTCTGGTCTGGGTGCTGTGCAGTTCGCCCGGGTGAGGCTCCGTGTGTGAGGCGTGCACGTGTGTGTGTGGTGGCCGTGTGGCCGGCCAACCTCAGTGCGGGGTTTGTTGAACGGGTCTGGGCTGAGTGTGTGTGTGGGCATCTGGACCAGTCCCTCCATAGGGCCCGAGAGTGCATGTCCCCGGAGTCGGTTGTGTCCCCATGCGGGTGCGAGGCTGGGCAGGGCTGCCAGGGGTTAGTGCCGTGGGGGTAGATGGGTGAGGGAGGGCCTGTCCCTACGCACATGGACTAGGCATGCCCCCGAGTGGGCATGGGGGGTCGGAGGACAGGGCGCTCACAGAACAGGACAGTCTCCTACAGAGGCAGGGGCTGTGTGTCTGTCCCCAGGGGCTCCTAGGGCTTCTCGTGGCTCAGCCCAGGGCAGGTGCTGCTGGAGGGAGGGCCACGCTGGCAAATCCCCCACCCTGCCGAGGGCAGCCCCTGGCTGAGCCCCACCCTAGGCGGCCCAGGCACACCTGCACAGCCTGGGCCAGTGTGGGGACAGTGGGACCCGCTCTGCCTCCCTCATGCCACTCAGGCCTCAGACTCGGCCTGACCCGTGGAAAGAACCATCACAGTCTCGCAGGGGCCCAGGGCAGTGGTGGGTGCTTTATTTCCATGCTGGGTGCCTGGGAAGTATGTAGACGGGGTACGTGCCAAGCATCCTCGTGCGACCGCGAGAGCCCGGGGAGCGGGGGCTTGCCGGCCGTCGCACTCATTTACCCCGGGGACAGGGAGAGGCTCTTCTGCGTGTAGTGGTTCTGCAGACCCTCATGCATCACGGAGCATGAGAAGACGTTCCCCTGCTGCCACCTGCTCTTGTCCACGGTGAGCTTGCTATAGAGGAAGAAGGAGCCGTTGGAGTCCAGCATGGGAGGCGTGGTCTTGTAGTTGTTCTCCGGCTGCCCATTGCTCTCCCACTCCACGGCGATGTCGCTGGGGTAGAAGCCTTTGACCAGGCAGGTCAGGGTGACCTGGTTCTTGGTCATCTTCTGGGATGGGGGCAGGGTGTACACCTGTGGTTCTCGGGGCTGCCCTGTAGGGACAGAGGTTGGTACAGCGGTCACTCCCAGGGCAGAGGGTGGGCCAAGCCGGCCTCTGTCCACGTGGCCTTCGCGCTCCGTGGGTCCCACCTTTGGTTTTGGAGATGGTTTTCTCGATGGGGGCTGGGAGGCCTTTGTTGGAGACCTTGCACTTGTACTCCTTGCCGTTCAGCCAGTTCTGGTGCACGACGGTGAGGACGCTGACCACATGGTACGTGCTGTTGTACTGCTCCTCCCACGGCTTTGTCTTGGCATTATGCACCTCCACGCCGTCCACGTACCAGTTGAACTTGACCTCAGGGTCTTCGTGGCTCACGTCCACCACCACGCACGTGACCTCAGGGGTCCGGGAGATCATGAGGGTATCCTTGGGTTTTGGGGGGAAGAGGAAGACTGACGGTCCCCCCAGGGGTTCAGTTGCTGAGGAAGAGATGGAGGCGGACGTGTCAGCACCCGGTTGGGGCCTGTCCCTGGACGCAGGCTACTCTAGGGCACCTGTCCCGCCTTGAGCTGGAGGGCGAGGCCTGGGCTGGCTTACTTGCACATGGTGGGCATGTGTGAGTTGTGTCACAACATGGGGTTTTGGGCTCTGCAGAGAGAAGATTGGGAGTTACTCAGATCTGGGAGGAGAGGTGTCTGAGCTGAGGGAGTGGAGATCTTGGCCTTTGGGGTGGGCTTAGGTCAGGGGCAGGGTCTTCCCGGATATGGCTCTTGGCCAGTCTAAGTGCAGCACCTGCCCCTTTGTGCGCAGGGCCTGGGGTAGGGGCTTCCAGCCTGTGGCTGCCTGGAGCCTGGTGGAAAAAGCCAGAAGACCCTCTCCCTGAGCATGAGTGGGGCGGGCAGAGGCCTCCGGGTGAGGAGACAGATGGGGCCTGCCTTGCTGCCCTGGACTGGGGCTGCACAGCCGGGGTACGTCCAGGCAAGAGGGCTGAGCCTGGCTTCCAGCAGACACCCTCCCTCCCTGTGCTGGCCTCTCACCAACTGTCTTGTCCACCTTGGTGTTGCTGGGCTTGTGATCTACGTTGCAGGTGTAGGTCTGGGTGCCCAAGCTGCTGGAGGGCACGGTCACCACGCTGCTGAGGGAGTAGAGTCCTGAGGACTGTAGGACAGCCGGGAAGGTGTGCACGCTTCTGGTCAGGGCCCCTGAGTTCCACGACACCGTCACCGGTTCGGGGAAGTAGTCCTTGACCAGGCAGCCCAGGGCCGCTGTGCCCTCAGAGACGCTCCTGGAGGAGGGCACCAGGGGGAAGACCGATGGGCCCTTGGTGGAGGCTGCAAGAGAGGTGGTGCCATGTGACCGCGGTGTGGGACAGAGCTGGGCCCAGGGTGCAGAGGCCCCTCGGTTCTTGTCTATCCGCGAGGGTCCAGGCAGGGTCCAGTGTCTGGGCTCACGGGCATTGAGTGTGCACCTGGCTGGTGCCACCTGCCTCACCTTAGCCCCCTCCCTGCCCCAAAGCCAAAGTCAGGCCCGGCCTGCCCCAGAAAGCTTGCAGGACTGGTGGCCCTGTGGTGCCCTTCTGCAGGCACCCCTGCAGCCTAGGGGGCGGGGCTCGGCAGCCAGGTCAGTGCTTTGTCTCAAAAAAAACAAAAACAAAAACAAAAAACAAAACAAAACAAAAAACAAACAAATAAAAAGTTGTAAAAGGATTGTGGAAAAGGGATCTTATGTGGTCAAAGGCGGCTGTGATTGGATTTATTTATTTATTTTTTTGAGACAGAGTTTCACTCTTGTTGCCTAAGCTGGAGTGCAATGGTGTGATCTCGGTTCACTGCAACCTCTGCCTCTTGGGTTCAAGCGATTCTCCTGCCTCAGCCTCCAGAGTAGCTGGGATTACAGGTGCCCACCACCACGCCCAGCTAATTTTTATAGTTTTAGTAGAGACAGGGGTTTCACCACGTTGGCCAGGCTGGTCTCGAACTCCTGACCTCATGATCCACCCGCCTAGGCCTCCCAAAGTGTTGGGATTACAGGCATGAGCCACTGCACCTGGCCGGATTTATTTATTTATTTATTTTTGAGACAGGGTCCCACTGTGTTGCCTAGGCAGCAGTGCAGTGGCACTCAGCACTGAGGCTGAGGGAGGTTGAGGTGGGAGGGCTCAAGCAATCCTCCCACCTCAGCCTCCCAAGTAGCTGGGACTACGGGCACGTGCCACCATGCCTGGCCAATTTTTTTTTTGTATTTTTTGTAGAGACAGGGCTTCCCCATGTTGCCCAGGCTGATCTCAAACTCCTGGGCTTAAGTGATCCACCCTCCTGGAATGCTGGGACTACAGGTGTAAGCCACCTTGCCCAGCCTGGATGGAATTATTTATAAGGTTTAATTAAAATTAGCTTTAATATTAACAGTTCATGTGAAACTAGAATTTGGTCTTCTCTGTTAAAGTGACAGTTTTCTGGAATATTGGTCTGCTCTTCATTATGGCAGGTTTTTCTTTTTTTTTTTTCACCTTGAAAAATATATATTTACAGGAACAATTCCCCATTCTCTGGGACTCTTTAGAAAAAAAAAAGGTCCATTTTGGGGAAGCAAAACAGTGGAGACGAGTGTAGCACCGTCCCCCAAATCACCAACCCCCAGGTCCCAAGGCCTGGGCTGGGCCAGGGCTGACAGGGAAGCCCAGGAGTCTTTTGAACCCACTCTTCCTGCCTAGAATAGAGACAGGACAGGCTTTATGTCCCCCATTCCTCCCTCCCACCTCCAGGGACATTGAAAGTGTCCTTTGTACCTACCTGTAGGAAATTGGGGGGCTGGGAGGGAGGGAACTGAAAATACACATTTGTTATCAAAAATAAACATCTGGGGGGGAGGCGGCAGGAAGATTCCCTCCCAAATCCCTTTCTTCACACCCACCCCACCAAATATAGGAAGAGATGACTCCCTCTCCCCTATTGAAAAGCCCCATTTAAAAATAGATTATACTATCAAAATGGCAGCACGGGAGAGACAGGGAGACCTGGAGTACTGGCTGGAGGGGCCCCCCCAGACAGGAACCACCCCCACAAAACCCCTCCATGGGAGGAAACAGGCAGGACCCCAGGGAGTTTGGCAGACAAAGGAATGGCTTCTCAGGGGGAAGAAGAACAAAGGGACATTCCTCCCTGGCCAAAAAGTTGGTTAAAAAAGGATAAGCTGTCTGAGAGA